>NC_000011.10:134767433-135076622 GCF_000001405.40 Homo sapiens
AAACTGAGCTCTGCCCTACTTTACCACTGGCTGACTAAAGAGGCCTGGGGCCCTGAATGGATTTCAGTGGCAGCCAAGCCGTAGGGATTGTGGCCCTTGAGGAAGTCCCGGTGCTGTGCTGCTCTGTGGGCTTGGAGTACAACCCAGTAAAACACCAGCTGTGGTGGTCACAAAAGTGCCTGCATTACTTCTCCTATAATTCCAGGCAATGAAGCTTGAGAGACAAACTGCTTCTTCTTGGGAAAAGGAGACAACAGAGTATAGGGGACTTTGTCTCGCAACAGGAACCAGCTCAGCCAGAGTAAAATAAAGCACCAGGAAGAAGCCCAAAGCCTCCAATTCCAAGCTGTTGTTCTCAGATGCAATTTCTGTAACCATCTTGGGCCATAAGAGAATCTGTTGCCCTGATGGGACAAACCCAGACCTGAGTCCAGGCAGGCTTCACCAACTGCTGACCACAGTGACCTCAGGCCTTGAATAAACATCAGCAGCAATCAGGCCATAGCAATTGTGGGCCTTGGGCAAGTCCCAGTACTGCAATGGTGTGGGAGGCCATGAGCTTTGGGTGTGACCCAGCTTACTGCCAGCTGTGGCAGCCACAAGAGTGTCCATTGTCACTTCCCTTAACTCCAGGCAGCCCAATGCAGAGAAAGACTCCTTCCAGTTGAGGAAAAGAGAGGGAAGAAAGCAAGGGTCTTTGCCTGGGAACCCAGGGAATTTTCCTGTATATTTCCCAAGTCTGTCTGGGTTATATATCTATAAACCTGAAAGGGTAGCAGTGTACCTGGGTTTACGCACCCTTTCACACTGAAAGGGCTGCAGTGACAACAAACTTAGGTAACAACACTTAATCTTCTTTGAAATGATAGAAGATAAAGATCTCTCAAGAAGATCAGGTACAAACAAGGTCATACAGCAGATACCAGTATAAATACCTAACTTCAGTGGCCAGACATTGATGAACATCCACAAGCATCAAGAACATCCAAGTAAATATGACTTCACCAAATGGACTAAATAAGGCATCAGTGAATCTGGAATTCTGGACTGATGAAGATATATCACCTCTTAGATAGATAATTCAAAATGGCTGTTTTCGGGAAGCTCAATAAACTAAAAGATAACACAGAAAAAATGCAGAATTCTATCAAAGACATTTAATGAAAAGATTGAATAATTAAACACAGAAATCCTGGAGCTGAAAAATGCAATAGACCAATGGAAAAATGCATCAGAGTGTCTCAACAGCAGAACTGATCAAGCAGAAGAAATAATTAGTGAGCTCAAAGACAGCCTATTTGAAAATACACACAGGAGAAGAAAGAAAAAAGAATAAGAAAGAATAAAGTACACTTACAAAACCTAGAAAACAGCCTCAGAAAGGCAAATCTGTTATTTATCTTAAAGAGCATGTAAAGAAAGAAATCACGGTTGAAAGTTTATTTAAAAAAAACAATAACAGAGAAGTTTTCAAACCTAAGAAAAGATATGAATATCCAGGGATAAGAAGATTAAAGAACACTAAACAGATTCAACCCAAATAAGACTATCTCAAGGTACATAAAAATCAGACTCTCAAAAGTCAAGGACAAGGAGAGGATCCTAAAAGCAGCAGGAACAATGAAGCAAATGACATGTAAAGAAGCTTTGATCTGCCAAACAGCAGACTTCTCAGTGGAAAACCTGCAGGCCAGAAGGGAGCAGGAAGACAGATTTGAAAACTTTCAACCAAGAATATTATACTTAGCACAGCTATCCTTCAAACATGAGGGAGAAATAGAGACTTTTCCAGACAAACAAAAACTGAGTGATTGATCACCACCAGACCTGTCTTACCAGAAATACTAAAAGGAGCTCTTCAATTTGAAAGAAAAGGATGCTAACATGCAATAAGAAATCACCTAAAGGCATAAAAATCACCTAAAGGCATAAAACTCACTAGTGAAACTAAGTACACAGAGAAATTAAGAATACTCTCAATACAGTAACTGTGGTGTGTAAACCACTCATATTTTTAGTATGGAAACTAAAATACAAATCTATTGAAAATAGCAATAAACTTAACAATTTGTTAATAAACACTATAAAAAGATATAAATAGAGACAACAAAATATTAAAAAGGGGATGGCTTCAAAGTGTAGAGTTTTTTTTTCTTTGCTCGTTTGTTGTTTTATGATCAAAGTTAAGGGGAGTCATTAGTTCAAAATAATTTGTTATAACTCTAAGATGTTTTTAAAGCCTAATGGTAACCTCAAAACAAAAAATTGTAATATATACATCAAAAATAAAAGCAAGATATTAAAATATGCTACCAGAGAAAATCACTTATCCAAAAAAGAGGGCAGTAAGAAAGAAAAAAAAGAAAGAGAAGACTTACAAAACAAACAAAAAACAAATAACAAAATGGCAGCTGAGGTCCTTACCTTTCAACAACAACATGGAATGTAAATGCTCCCATTAAAGGATATATAGAGGCTGAGGGGATTAAAAAACAGCCCAACTAATGCTACATGCTGCCCACAAGAAATTGATTTCACTTATAAAGACATGCATAGGCTGAAAGTAAAGGAATTTATAAATATATTCTCTACAAATTAAAGCCAAGAAAGAGCATGTGTAGATAAATTTATATCAAATAAAATAGATTTCAAGTCAAATACTGTAAAAAGAGAAAAAGAAGATTATTATATGATGATAAAGGGATAAATGTAGCAATGAGATATAACAATTCTAAACCTATATGCACCCAGTAGTGGAGACCCCAGATAAATAAAGCAAATATTAATACTTGCAGGGCACAAAATCAATCTAAAAAAATTAGTAGCATTTCTATACCCCAATATTGAACTAGCTGAAAATGAAATTAAGAGTGCAATTCCATTTAAATTGCCATAAAAAATAAAATAAAATACTTGGGAATAAATGTGACCAAGCATGAGAAAGATCTCTACAAGGAAAACTACAAAACACTGTTAAAAGAAGTTGTGGAGGATACAAATGAATGTAAAGATACCCTAGGCTAATGGATTGCAAAAATTACTATCATTAAAATAACCATACTACCCAAAGCAATCTACAGATTCATTGAAATCCCTATAAAAATACATTTAATATTTTTCACAGATGCAATAAAACTACAATCCTAAAATATATATGGAATTAAAAAAAAAAATAGCCAAAGCAATCCAGATGAAAGAGAGTAAAGCTGGAGGCATCAAAATTTGTTCAACAAAGCAGCATGATACTGGTATAATAACGTACATGTAGATAAATAAAATGGAATACAGATCCTAGAAATAAGTCTACATATTTAGAGCCAACTGATGTTTGACACAGAACCAAGAACATACATTAAGGAAAGAAACTCCTTGTCAATAAATGTTGCTGGAAAACTGGATATCCATGTGCAGGAGAATAAAGCTAAATTGCTATCTCTCACCATATACAAAAATCAAATCAACATGGATTAAAAGATTAAATGCAAGACCCCCACCTATAAAATTACTAGAAAAAAAAATGAGGGAAGCACTCTAGGACATTGGTCTAGGCAAAGAATTTATGGCTAAGACCTTAAAAACACAGGCAACAAAAAGGAAAATGGACAAGTGGGACTATTTTAAACTAAAAAGCACAGCATAGGAGACAATCAACAGAGTGAAGAGAAAACATACTGAATGAGACAAAATATTTGAAAACTATTCAATATGGGACTAATATCCAGAATCTATAAGGAACTCAAACAACTCTATAGCCAAAAGCAAATAATACAATTTAAAAGTGGGCAAATGATCTGAGCAGGCATTTCTGAAAAGTAGACAAATAGCAAAGAGGTGTGTGACAAAATGGTCAACATCACTGATCATCAGAGAATTACAAATTAAAGCCACTATGAGATATGATCTCACCCCTATTCAAATGGCTACTATCAAAAAGACAAAAAATGACAGATGCTGATGAGCATGTGCAGAAAAGAGAACTCTTATGCACTGCCAGTGTGAATGTAAGTTAGTACAGCCACTATGGAAAACAGCATAGAGATTTTTCAGAAAACTAAAAAATAGAACTACCATATGATCTAGCAGTCTTACACTGTGCATTTTCCAAAGGAAAAAACAAGCAGTAATGATCAGTATCATTACTGATTGTAACCTGCACCCCCATTTTTATACCTGCACCCCCATGTTTATTGCAGCACTATTCACAATAGGGAAAATATGGACTCTAAGTGTTCATTAATGGATAAATGAATAAAAAATGTGGCATATATACACAATGGAATACTATTTTGTCATAAGAAAGAATGAAATTCTGTCATTTGCAGCAAGCTGGATGAAACTGGAGTTCATTATGTTAAGTGAAATAAGCCAGACCCAGAAAGACAAATATCACATGTTCTCATTAATATATGGGAGCTTAAAAAGTTGATGTCATGGAGGTAGAGAGTAGAATAATAGATAATAGAGGCTGGGAAGGGTGTGTGTTTGTGTGTGTGGATGGGTGGGCGGCAGGGAGAGTAAAGAGAGACTGGTTACCAGGTACAAACATACAGTTAGATGGAGTAAGTTCTAATTTTCAATAGAAAGAGTAGGGTAACTATAGTTAAGCCCAGTGTATTATATATTTCAAAATAGCCAGTAAAAGGAGGAGAAATGTTATCAACCCAGAAATAATAAATACTCAAGGTAATGGATATCCTAAATACCCTTACTTGATCACTACGAATTCCATGCATGTAACAAAACATCACATATACTGTATAAATATGTACAACTATTATGTATCCATAACAACCTAAAGTAAATTTAGAAAAGGATTAGAAATTCTGGAATTGGCTGGGTACAGTGGCTCATGCCTGTAATTCTAATACTTTGGGAGGCTGAGGTGGGAGGATCATTTGAACCCAGAAGTTCAAGATCAGCCTGAGCAACATAGAGAGACCTGGTCTCTACCAGAAATGAAAATAAAATTAGCCAGGTGTGGTGGCACCTGCCCATGGTCCCAGCCACTCAGGAAGCTGAGGTGGGAGGATCACTTGACCCTAGGAAGTTGAGGCTGCAGAGAGGCATGATCATGCCACTACACTTCAGCCTGAGTGACAGAGCGAGGCCCTGTCTCAAAATACATACATACATACATACATACATACATACATACATACATACAATAAACAAAATTCTGGAGCTGCAAATTACAATCAGTGAAATGAAATATTCAACAGCGATGTGAGCAGGCAGGTAGTAGAATCAACAAACTTAAAGACAGGTCAATTGATGTTATCCAGGTTGAGAATCAAAAAGGAAAGGAATAAAGAACAATGAATGAAGTGAAAGAGGCATGTGTAGCACCCATTCTATTCATAATGGTAGGTCTAGGAGGAAAGAAGCATGTGTAGCACCCATTCTATTCATAATGGTAGGTCTAGGAGGAAGAGAAGGAAAAACACGGGGCAGAAAAATATTTGAAGTAACAATGGCCAGAAACTTCCAAAACTAAATGAAGGACACGATTCCCCACATTCAAGAAGATCAACAAACTTGAAGCAGAATAAAACATAAAAAGATCCACACCTAGGCAAACTATGCTCAAGCTGTCAAGAGCCAAGACAATAAAAAAGACTTGTTATATGCAAGGGATCCTCAATATGATAAACAACTAATTTTTCATTATAAAACACAGAGGCCAGGGGCCCTTGGGATGCCATATTCAAAGTGCTTATAGAAAAACAACAAAAAAAGCATCAACCAAAAATTCTCTCTGTATAAAAATTCATGCAGGAATGTAAAATTCTTACCACATAACTCATTATTTAAAAAAGTGAACACCCTCAAGAAGCAATCTATTTAGTATTATGTGCTGCCCACGGATTTTTCCAATAACACCTAGTGCTGTTATTAAAAGAAGAAGAGCAAGAAGAATAGGAAGAGGAAGAGAAAGAAGAAAGAACAAGAGGAAGAGGAAGACGAAAGAAGAGGAAGAGAAAGAAGAACAGGAAGAGGAAGAGAAAGAAGAAAGAAGAGGAAGAGGAAGACGAAAGAAGAAGAGGAAGAGGAAGAGAAGAAAGAAGAACAGGAAGAGGAAGAGAAAGAAGAAAGAACAGGAAGAGGAAGAGAAAGAAGAAGAGGAGGAGGAGGAAGAAAAGGAAGAGGAGGAGGAGGAAGAAGAAGGAGTAGGAGGAGGAGGAGGAGGAGATAATTAAGCTATTACCATCTCAAATAAACAGAGGCCAAGAGAGATAATCACTGGTAGGCCTGCCCTCCAAGAAATTCTGGACCATGCTAGAGAGTCCTTTGGGCTGAACTGAATGGAAAGTATTATGAAGCCACATGAAGAAATAAAGATCATCAGTGAAGATAACTACATAGATAAACATAAAAGCCATATTTAATTTTGGTTTGTAACCCTTTTGTTCTTGGTAATTTAAAGAAAGCAAACATAATGTAATCATTGCAAATTGGTATAAAGGTATAATGATATACATTATCATTACTTGTGATATCAATATTTGTGACATTGTAATGTCACAAGTGGCATGTTATACATTGGTAATTGTGACATTACCCACATAGGGGGTGGCATACACAGGTGAGTAGAAGCCAGCTTTATATACTTTTGAGGCTATGTTCTACTAATCCAAGGTGGATCATTAGAAGTAATTCACTGCAACCCCAAGGTAACCACAAAGAAAATAATGAAAACCTCTAGAGATGAAATTTAGAAGAGAATAAAAATGGCACACTATAAAAAATCAATTATGCACCAAAGAAGGGAAGATGGAGGAAATGAGCAACCAAAATCCATAAGACATGTAGAACACAAACAGAAAAATGGCAGAAGCAAGGCCTTATTAGTAATTACTTAAAATGTAAATGGAATAAACTCAAATTAAAGGCAGAACTGGCAGAATGAATAAAAAGAAAACATTGTCTAACTGTATGCTAGCTACAAGAGATTCAGTTTAGATCAAAGCCACAAATATGTTGAAAGTAATAGGATGTAAAAAAATATTCCATGCAAAAAGCAACTAGAAGACATTTAGGAACCAGGCAAGGTAACTCATGCCCGTAATCCCAACACTTTGTGAGGCCAAGGTGGGAGCATCGCTTGAGGCCAGGAGTTTTGAGACCAGCCTGGGAAGCATAGTGAGACCACATCTATAAAAAAAATTAAAGTAAAGGAAATCTAGGGTAACTATACTAATAGGTGAAGCAAAATGGACTTTAATTCAAAGTTTGTTACCAGAGACAAAGAAGAACATTATACGTTCATGAAAGGACTAATTAATAAGAACTTATGACAATTATAAACATATATGACCCTAACAACAGAGGCATATATATAGGAAGCAAAAATTGAAGCATAAAATAGGCAGTTTTAACATAATCGTTGGAGTCTTTAACACTCCATTTCAATAACAAACAGAACAACCAGACAGAGGATCAACAAGGAAACAGAAGACTTGAGCAACATTTTAAACCGTTAGACCTAATAGACAACTACAGAACAGTCCAACCAACAGTAGAATACACACTTTCTCCAGCATACATGGTATATTCTTCAGTATAGACTACGTGTTAGGCCCCAAATAAGTCTCCATAAAATTTTAAAAAGATTGAGCTTATACAAATGATTTTCTCACACACTTGATCTTAGCCAAAAGGCCGAGAAGTGATAAATGATTTTCTCCAACCACGATTAAATGCAACTAGAAACACAAAACTGAGGGAAAACTGGAAATTCACAAATATGTAGCAATTAAACAAAATACTCTCAATTAGTGGCTCAAAGAAGAATCACAAGGTAAATTGCAAAATACTTTAATAGAAATGAAAACAAAGCATGCCAGAACTATGGGATGTGACAAACACAGTGCACAGAGTAAAATCTATAATTATAAATGTGTACATTAAAAACAGTAAGAATAAAACTCAAGCAAGTTAAGGAAGAACGATGTGTTATTCTGCTAGGGCTGCCATAACAACAACAACAACAGAAAACCAAAAAACAAATGTATTGTTTTCTCACAGTGTGGAGCCTAGATGTTGAAGATTAAGGTGCCATCAGGGTCACTTCTGGTGAGGCCTATTCTGTTTGAAGATGGCCATCTTCTCACTGTGTCTTAACATGGCCTTTTCTCTGTGTCCATGCAGAGAGAGGTCTCTGGTGTCTTCCTCATTTTATAGCATACTAGTCATATGAGATTAGGACTCCACCTTCTTTAACCTTGATTTCCCTTTCCAAAATACATACATACATACACACATACACATACATGCAGATAGATAGATAGATAGATAAAGATCTCCAGTCAATAACCTAACTTTACATCTAAGAAACTGGGAAAAAAGCAAATAAAACCCCAAAGCAGCAGAAAGAAAGAAATAATAAAGATTAAAGTGGAGATTAGTGAAATAGCGAATAGAAAAACAACAGAATCAATCAAGCCAAAAGTCGATGTTTTGAAGAGATGTATAAAACTGAGAAAACTTTAACTAGACTAGAAAAAAATCAGAGCAGACTCAAATTCCTAAAACGAGAAATGACTGTGGGGACAACACTATTCACCTCGCAGACTCCAAAAGATTCTAAGAGGACACATTGTGCAATTGTATGGAAATAAATTAGATAATCTGATGGAATAGCAAAGTCCTAAAAAGACAAAAACTGTCAAAATTGACCCAGGAATAAACAGAAAATATAAACAACTAAAACAAGAGATTGAATCAGTTATCAAAAATCTCCAACAAACGTTAAGTCAGAGACCAGATGGCTCCAATGATAAATTCTACCACATATTTTAAAAATAATTAACACCAATCCTTCAAATTCTTCTAAAAAATAGAAGAGGAAGAAACACTTCCTAACTCATTCTGAGGCTAGTATTATTCTGATTCCACAGCTAGATAAGGGTTTCATTAAAAAATCTATAGGCCAATATCCCTTATGAATAAGGATGCAAAAACATTTTCAACAAAATACCAGCAAAATAAATCCAACAGAATGTGAAAAGGATTATGTCTGATGACTGCTATGGCTTGGATAGGCTCTGTCCCCTCCAAATCTTATGTTAAAATTTTAATGCCTCGTATGGTGGTATTGGGAGGTGGGGCTTGCTGAGAGGGGTTTGGATTCAGGGGCAGATCCCTCATGAATGTCTTGGTGACCTTCTCCCTGTGATGATGAGTGAGTTCTCACTCTGGTGTGACAGGATTGGTTCTTGGGGGAATGGACTAGTTTCTGGGAGAATGGGTTATTATACAGTATTTACTATATTTACACTCAGTGCAAAGGTTCTCACCAGAAGTTGAGCAGCTGCCAGCACCATGCTTCTCACACAGTCTGCAGAGCCATGAGCTAAGTAGATCTCTTCTCTTTATAAATTACTCAGCCTCAGGCATTCTCTTTTAGTGACAGAAAATAGACTCAGACAATGACCAGGTGGGATTTATCCAAACACAAACTTGTGTAAACATGAAAATCAACCACATAAATAGACTAAAGCAATAAAACCCAATCATCTCAATCAATGCAATAAAAGCATTTGACAAAGTACAAATTCTTTAGTAATAAAAAATACTCAATAAATAAGAATATAAGGTAATTTTCTCAACATAAGTGAACATTCCACAGCTAACATTGTATTTAATAGTGAAAGACTGGACCTTTCTCCCCATGATCAAGAGCCAGACAAGATGCTTGCTTTTGCTATTTGTATTCAACATAGTATTGGAAGTTTTAAGCAGAGTAATTAGGAAAGAAAAATAAATAAAAGGCATCCAAATTGAAAAGAAAGAAGCAAAATTATATTTGTTGCAGATAACATGGTCATACATGAATACTAAAAGTTCCATGCACAAAAACACAGGTAAATACGTGAAATCAGCAAAGTTGCAGAATAGAAACTCATCACAGAAGAATCAGTTGCAATCCTACACATTATCAATGACCATTTCACAAGGAAAATTAAAAAAATTTCCATAAATACAAAAGCATCAAAATACAATATACTTAGGAATACATTTAACCAAGGAGGTGAAAGACTTGCACACTGAAAATGACAAAACAATGTTAAAAGAAAATTTAATAAGACAAAAGTAAATGAGAAGACGTTCTAGGTTCATGGATCAGATGAATATTGTTAAGATACCCATGCTATCCAAAGTAATCGCAGATTCCATGCAATCCGTATTAAATCCTAATGGCATACATTTTACAGAAATTAAAACAAATTCTAAAATGTATATGGAATCTCAGGGGACCCTGACTAGCAAAACAATTTTACAAAGGAACAAAGTTGGAGGCCTCACACTTCCTGACTTGAAAACTTACTACAATGCTACAGCAATCAAAACAAGGTGTCATGGGCACAAGTACAGAAATTTAGAAAAATAGAGTAGAATAGAGAACCCAGAAATAAACTCTTGCATACATGGTTAATTAATATTTGTCCAGGGTAGTAAGACCATTCAATGGGAAAACAATCATTTTTTCAACAAATTATGCTGAGGAAACTGGTTAGCCACAGGCAAAAGAATGAAGTTAGACCCTTACCTTATACCACATACAAAAATTTATTTGAAATTTATCAAAGATCCAAACATGAGTTAAAAATATAAAACTCTTAGAAGAAAAAGTAGGAGAATATCTTCATGGCATTGCATTAGGCAATTATGTGTTGGATATGATACCAAAAGCACAAACAACAACAAAAAATAGATAAATTGGACTTTAATGTGAAGAACTATCCTGCATCAAATGACACTATCAACAGAATAAAATGACAGCTCACAGGATGATTGAAAACATTTGCAAATCATATACCTGCTGAGGAATTAATATTCAGAACATATAAATAACTTCTACAACTCAACAACAAAAAACAAATAGCCCAATTCAAAAAAAAAAGAAAAATGAACCAAGGACTTGAACAGGTATTTCTCCAAAGAAAATATACAAATGGCTAAAAAGCACATGAAAAGATTCTCAGCATGACTTATCATTAGTCAAATGCAAATCAAGACTACATGAAAAGATACAACTTCACATCCATTTGGATGGCTCTTAAAAAATAAAAATAAAAAAGCAAGGAAAGAAAGTAACAAGTGTTGGTGGAGATGTGAAGAAATTAGAACCTTTGTGTATTGCTGGCAGGAATTTAAATTAACACGGCTGCTGTAGAAAAGTTTGGCAATTCTTCAAAAAAGTAAACAGTTACTATATCTAATCTTATGTATATACCCCGAAGAATTGAAATCGGGGTCTCAAACAGATACTTGTACACTAATATTCATTGCAGTGTTATTTATTATAGCCAAAGAACAACCTCAATGTTCATTGACAGATGAATAGATAAACGAAATACGGTCTATACATCCAATGAAATACTGTTGATCCTTAAACACAGTGTAATTCTGATAGTGCTCCAACATGGATGAAACATGAAAACATTATGCTAAGTCAAATAAGTCAGCACAAAGCACAAATATTGTATGATTCCACCTACGTAAGATGCCTAGAATAGTCAAATCCATAGAGATAGAAAGTAAAATAGAAATTACTAGGGACAGGGGGTGAGATGAGATATTGTTTAAAGTTATTAATTATTTTGGGGGTTGTTAAAAGACAAAGGTACAACAAATTTAGTTTAAAGGTGTAATTGGCTTTTATTTGCAAGTCTAGAATCAGGCAATACCACATTCTATAATATAGAATGACTGTTGGAATAAGCTAAGCAGAAGAGGTTGTCTTTACAGGCAGAAAAGAGCTGAAGAAAGCAGAAACAGAACAAAAAGCAATTTGGTAACCTCAAAGTCACTTTCCTTGTAAAGGTTAAAGCAGACTTGTTTATCATGCTGGCTATAACTTGCCTGTTTTGAAATTTGGCTATTATCTCTCTTTTTCTTGATTTCTAAGAAGGTCAGATAAACAATCTGGTTTCAGCCGGTTGGCTCGGAACTTCAGCCTGGGTGACTCAATTCTGGCTTAGTCTGTTGCACCTAGTGCAGGAGCTCAGTCCAAATCGGTGGCCTCCTAGAGATTTTATTTGACAAGGGTTATTGTTTAATGGGTACGGACTTTCTTTTTGGGATGATGAAAAAGTTCTGAGAATGAATAGTGGTGATGATCATATGATATTGTGAACATACTTAATGCTGCTAATTCATACACTAAAAATGGTTAAGATGGTAAATTTTATGTTTTGTAAATTTATCACAATAAAAGTAAACAGTGGAAGCATTCACAACAGGCAAGAACGAGATCGAGGAGAGAGTAATGCTGTGGGGGTGAAGAGAAAAGGGGAGTCAAATTTCCTGGACAACAGAGTCAACTGGTTCAAGCACTTCAGACATCCTGAGCGAAATACGTAAGCGTTGGAAATAGAAATAAACTCATAATGTTGATGCCCTATTTCAAGGAGAACAAGGCCTGTGGCTGTCAGTGCTGCTTTGGCCTGAGAAAATCCGGTGTGTGGGAAGAGACATTCTCTGGCGGAGAAGCGTAGAGGAGAGCACTGGCCATGCCATGGGAGATAAATGGATTTCAGAAGAGGACAGTAACTGAATGATGCTTTTGGTGAAGAGGATATGGGATTCATTCAGGGAGGTTTGTGGCTTGTTCATTTGTTCGTTTGGTTTTGTTTTCAAAGGATAGGATAAGTTTGAAAGCAAAGAGTAGAAGTGGGAGGGACATTGGCTGATGGAGGACTGGTAAAGGAGACAATGTGGATGCATGTGGCGATGAATGACTGAACAATCTACTTTTGGGGCACTGCTGGTTTTGGAGTAATCAGGGTTGTGATTTGATGTCTACTTTGTTCGTGGCTGAAAAGGAGCAGGTCAAACATTAGCTAGTAACACTTGCTTTAAATAGCATTTTTTTTTCCACATTTGGAGAGGTCAAATCACCAACAGCTCCTTATTTTCTATGTCTCTTATTTTATTTTTAAATGTTTCCTCTTTAGAAAAATAAATGAAATGGATAATAGCCCAGGTTCTGGGTTCGGACTGCTTAAGAATAAATCCTGATTCTCTTTTCATTAACTGATGGAAGCTGGTTCATTTTCTTTTTCTAGATTCGGTATCTCATTTGATGGGTTTGGTTGAAAATTCAATGAGATATTGTGAAGAAAGCACTTAGAACCTTGTCTGGGGCACAGGAAACACTTAATAAATGATGGCTCCTCTTCACCCTCCTCCTCCTCCTCACTCTTTTTTGTCCTCCTCCTCCTCCTCTTTTGGTCTCCTCCTGCTCTTCCTCCTCCTCCTCTTCCCCTCCCTCCTCTTTCTCCTTCTTCTCTTTCTTTAGGGGATTTCTTACCCACTGGAGGTAAGTTTAGGACATTCTCAAAACCAGACTTCTCAGTCTTCACTAGTCAATGTGAAGTTCCTGGATCAGCAGCCTCAGCAATTCCTGTGAACTTGCTAGAGATTCAGAAGACTGGGCTCCACCCAGAACTCCCTGGTCAGACCTCTCAACAGACTCACCAGGCGACTCCAGCCACAGTGCAGCTGAGAAGCCTTGCAGTGCTGTGGATTTCCGGCAGGCTGCTTTGGTCTGACACTGACTTCATTGATCTTCTGCTCCGAATCCATTCATTCCACTCCCACATGCAACAAATCAAAGAAAAATGGAAATGACAATGATAAAAATTGCCTCAGAAATGACTCTTTCATTAATGTTTCTTATGCTGAGAACAAAAAACATTTTTTATACATATTTCAAATTTTTTTATACATATTTCACTTGTTCCTCACATCAAGCTTGGAAAACAGAGAAAAGTGACTGTCCCACTTGCAAGTAAGACCAAATGCACTGGAAATTATGGTAAAAATGTGACCCACCCAGGCCAAATTTCTGTCCTTTCTGTGAATACAAAATGCTAGGGCAGAGAAATGTTTCTCCTTTGTTCAGAAAAATCATCTTGAAATCAATGTGAACTCAACAGGAGACAGGCAGGAATTCCACAGAGAACAAACACAGGCTGAGAACTTGACTGCTGGGACTGCAGCTGCAGCCAGCTGTGGTCAGTGCAGAGTGCCAGAGCCTCCAGGACACTGGGGTGGTAGCCCTGTCTGCTTTTGGCCCTCTTCTTTCCTCTTTTCCACTTGCAGAGCCCGGCCAAGATGTGACCAACTCCTTGACAAAGCTCCCTGGGTATGGAGACTAAGTAGGCATAGGAGAAATTGCTCCTCTGCTGATATAAGTCACCACCCAGGTGCAAGACAGCAGAGAGCTATGTCATCAATTCATCCCACTTAGCACCATGCTCCTCAACTCGCTGACACTTTAATGAGCATGTCCAGATTTGTGGCCTGACTCCAGGGAGAGAATAATTAGAGGCCCCTGACAAGGGAACAGAGAAATAACGTAAATGACCCAAGGGGTAGCAGGTTCAATTACAGTATAAAGCCCTCATTGGGGATTAACCAGTCCTTGGAAATGGCAGTGATTGATTGGCAGGTGCTGGGTGGAGAGCAGAGGGGAGGCTGGGCTCGGTTCTGTCGGATCTACAGAGGGAGGCCATGCTGTGCCAGCAGAGCCCCCTTCAAGGAGGCTTGGTTGGGAGACTCTGCTTGTCAAGAAGATGGCTCTGGCCTCCAGAATTTGTGTGATTGGTCACTCTACCTCCAACAGCCTGACCTATCCTGGAAGAGGAGGGAATGAAGGCTGGAGCCTCCTTCCCAATGATGAATCTTAGGGAAGGAAATTCCCTTGCCTTCCTGGATAATTCTAAGGGGCATTGAAGAACAGACATTCTTGCTAAATATCACGTTCCACTAAAAATACCTGTATTTGAGTTGGGTGAAAGATTATTGCCCCAATCCTTGGCATTGTGCACTTTTATGGAAGCCACTTTTGTTTCTCAGGGATAAATTTGCCAGAGAACAACAATAATCAATGACATCAAAATCAAGACTGAATATATCCAGCTGCTTTCTTTAGCATCTTCTTCAACATGCAATGGGCCCAGTTTCCGCACAGTACAAGAGCATGAGACAGCTTTGAACAGCAGAGTCTTTCATGGAAACCTGAAGTTAGGGGAGACAGGGTGGGCCAGTGAACCTGGCATCCCGACCTGTCCTAGCCTGGGCCCTGTGCATACCTGGACAGTTATGTGACTTCTCTGGACCCCAGTTTCCTTGACTGTACAATGGCAAGGGTGAATGAGACGACCCCCAGACTCTTCCAGTCTACTAGCCCATGATCCTAGTTTGCCAGTCTAGCCCACTTCTAGTTTTCAATGCTTCCTATGCCTCTTTTGTCTCCATTTTCCATCAGTATTAAAATCAGAGTATGAATTGAGGACAGAGAAGGGGAAGTCAATTCCCCGGCATGTGGCCCCATGAGAAGCCCTGGCTGGAGCTTAACGTGCGAAGGGCCCGGGGCTATAGCACACCACTGGGCCTGGGTTCATCAGGGAATGCTGACTGTTCTTCCCCCTCCATCTCTCAAAGACAGGTCCCAGTCTAGTCCTTACTCATCGTGAGAACTACTGGAATTATTTTAGGCTTTGAGAGTTTGCCAAGATCTTAAAATTAAGTGTAAGATTTATATTTTCTCTGAACAAATATGATGCGACTAAAGATTTGCTTCTCACCTTCTTCCCATCACTCCCCAAGGTTCGGAAAGAGCTCCTGCTGCCCTGAGGGGGACATGCCTGTGACAATTGTTGGCTGCAGCAGGCATGGGTTCAGGTGGCACCATCTTTTCCTTAGTCCTCTTTGCGACAAAGTGAAGCAGGTGTGTAGAGTAAACCGTATTGTCCGGAGGTGATGACTTAGGATATGTATATACTCTCCCTTCCAGGGCAGGACTGGAATACCCTGAAACTGGGGGAATAGTATCTTAAGTATCCGCCCCTCCAGCCGTGGGAACCACTAGTGTACCTTCTGAGCAGATTTCTTAACTTCTCTGTGCCATGGCTTCTTCTAGAGTTAAAAAACGTCTGCCTACTGTTGTGATGATTTAATGAGATAAAAAAAAATTAAGTGCTGAGACTAGAGCCTGGCATTTGGCAGAGGCCCCAGAAATTCCACTACTTTTAGCAAAAGGAATTATGCTTCCTCTATTTTATTAGGAGTAGGAATTTTGTTTAAGTTTATACATTTCCCTCACTTTGAGACTGAGGGAATTTCTGACTGACAAATTTTATTTTCTCAAGAGTTTAGAGGCAACAGTGTGAGCTGGTTCCAGGCCGGGACAACTGTGGTAAAACTGGGAATCGAAGTAGAAGGAAGGTCCCAGGACTGGGTGCCAAGAGGCGTGATAGAATGAGCTAAGCGAGACCTGCAGCAGGTTCCCAGACTATTTTAGGATAGTGATCGTGGATTGGGGTCTATTCCACAGGATTTTTCTCTTGGTCACACTGAGAGAAAGTTATGAAGAAGGTAGACAGTGGGGCTCTTCCAGGATCCAAAGTTTAGCAAAATAACTACAAAGGACATCGAGTGGGGCAAGGGTATTGATCTTAATTATGAGGAGGCAATGGTAATGCTTGATTTAATGAAGATAATGAAGAAAACAAACAGTAGATGGCCTGAACAAGTAGGATATAAGTTTTAGGTTTGGTGGGCTGAAAATTGTGATGAGGTGGAAGAATGGTTTCAGTCAGCTTCCATAAGTAGGTGGACACCTGCTTGTGGTTCAACTTGGCTATGGGACTTCATCTTGGGACCAAAGCTGTCCCTGGTGACAGAATAGGCCACGAGATGGGAGGGCAACCTCTACAGAGTGGGAGCCAAGGTGCCTGGAGATGGAGCTTCAGGCATGAGGGGCCAGGGAGCACGTGCATCCTGTAGATGGTGAAGGACCAAGAATGACAACTGGATCTGGGATGAAGAGGATGCAGTGAGCAGGTGCTGGGGCTTCACCATGTGGGGGTGGGGTAGGATGACAATGAATGACAACAGTGAGGATGGGGAAGGCAGGGCTTTGGAGGGTCTGTAGGCAGGAGCTTTAAGGGGCAGAGGTCTCCACAAGATAGAGAGAGAGGGGTGGCAGTTAACACAGACTTTTGACGTTTACATCTATTACATACATGAGTGGCCTTTAGAAACACACCTTTCCTCTTTCTCCCCAAAACCATATGACAAAACCAGCTTCATGGACAAGGCAGAGTCCTTTATTTCTGTCACTTTCTTACATATTCCCAACCTAGGTCAATCTCACCCAGCTCAGCCAGATGGCTTGCACCCACCCCAGCTGACTTCCAGCATTAGCAAGTAAGAGGGAAAACGGGTTGCTGAGGGGAGCTCAGCTATCCTCTCTCCCGCTGCTTCCCTCCTCTCTGCCTTCCTTGTGGGCCTCCGACAACATGTTTATCTTCTTCATATTTCAAGTTTGATGGTAATTTCAGGAAACACTTTTCATTCATAAAATGCAAATGTATTCAACATGCTCACTCACTAATATAATTTTCCCATTGATGTTTATACAGTCTGAAAATTCTTGCAAGTCTAAAAAAAACCTCCGGAACATTCATTTTAATTTTTCCTAAGCAATGCTAATGAAGTCCTTGAATAGAATGGAGCTTTATGACCTTTTTAATTGATTGTTTGGACATAAATTATTTCCAATTTCCAAAGGATCAGAGTTTTCTCAGCTCAAAATTCAACTTCAAGTAGAAGTGAGTGAGTGTGTGCTTTTTAAAGGGTTCTGAGTCCCTTTGATGCTAAAATGGGGCTTGAACTGCAAAGTATGGCTTACCAAGTCCACCAAAGACAGCCTTCACCACCGGGAAGGTTTTCAGAAGCCCAGAGTCCAGTCCTCACAGCTGCCATCATGTCACACTGAGGCTGGATGGTGTCACTATCGGGGGCTGGGGATGGGCACCCTGGCCAGGGTCAATAATATTCAGGCTGTCAATTAAGAGATGCTTTGTCAATTTCCTGACCTGAGTAAAGCCATGAACTGAAGGCTGCTGGCAGGAGGGAACAGTGTTGGTTTTCTGACCTTTGTGAGTTCTGTGTCTTGAACATGGTGATTGTAACGACTCCCACAACTCCGTGCGCATCTGTAATGTGTAGGCCACTGAGCAAGTATTTTCCAGCACTTCACATTTAACGCTGACATGACCTGCTAAGGTAGCTATTATCATTATGTCCATTTAAAAATACAGGTGTCAAGGTCCAGAGAGACCCCGGGACTTGGGCCTGGGCCTTCAGCCTTCAAACCACTTCGTTTGGTTATTATCATTGATGTTCTTGTCATTCAATCTGTGGGTGTGATCCCAAACAAAACTGACCGGTAGGGAGAGTTTGAGGAGAGGAAAGCCCTCTGCCCCATGCACCTGTGTCCTGGCGGGTCAGCTGGGTTTTTCCTTCTGAAGGGAGAGGCAGCCTCCTGGGGGCCGCGGTTCTCACTTTGTCACTCCCAGGGCAGGGCAGGCTGCACATCAGACAGCATGCCTGTGGTCGACCAGAAGTCTGTTAGTCACCTCCTTCGTTGGTGCTAGTCGGTTGATTCCTCCAAGGCTGAAATAAGTTCTTGAGACCAGCATTTGATAAAAATGTTCACTCTGGCACTTTCCACAGTATCAGCAGGACGCTGTGTTCGGCTCCACATCGGCTTAATGACGGGGCCTGCGGGTGCCTTGAGGAAAAGGTACCTCTTCCCAAAATGAGTTCACCCGAGTCCAGGGGCTCCCAAGGTGGACCAGATTGCTCACCGGAGTGGGTCCCTCAGGACCCCAGCATGTGCCCCCCTTCCTCCTGCATCTCAGACTGCCAGCCCTCTTCCTGTCAACTTTGAGAGGGTTCCTGGAGTCCAGCCTTAGTGGGAAAAAGGCTGCCATGCTGCAGGAAGGTGGCTTGCAGGTCTTCCCCCCACCTGTGCCTGGACAGATGGCACCTGCTTCCCACCCCCTACCCTGGTTCTTTCCCACTGTGCTCCTCCTCACAGCATGGACATCGTCAGGGGAGCCCTCTGCGTTTTTCTCCACCCATTTACGCCACTGCCTCACTGATCTTCAGATTATTCCTGAGATCCCAGCCTTTCCCATGCCTGTCTCCAGATCTGCAGCTTTCAGCTGCACCAAGGCTAAAGGACATGGCATACAGACCGTACTCAGGAGCAGCGGATGGCAGATTTTCAGCATAGTCACCAAACTCAGCTCCATTGGCCACAAACAGGCATTTGGTCTTCAACCTGAGAAGAAAAGTAAATATCTCCATGCGTTGGTTCTTGAATTCAACACTCACCTCTTCCAAAGTGATGTTCCTATTTTTCATGTCACACCTCTGAACAAAAATCCTCAGTTACGTTAAGAAATATATGAAGTAGCTACTATATCTGATGTAGCTCAGAGAGGGGACCACTGACGGGCAGGTGCTCTGACCAGCCAAGGGTTGCTGTCCAGCCAAAACTGGGGCCTCGAAAGGCTTGCAGAGGACCAGCAGCTCCCAGCATCACTAGCTCAGCAGATGCTCACAAAAGGAACAGATGGTCATCCTTCCTCTTGTGATTTTGATTAGGAGAAAAATATACAGACAGTCTCCTCCATGTAGTTTACTTAAGGAGCCTTGGGTTTGCTGGGTTTGCTGATGGGGAAGGTGGCATGTGTGTCGTAGACGTTGAGATAGTGGCATCGAAGGAAGGGACTATTCCAAGTGGCTTTGAGCCTCAGCATTTTTACCACATATGTCTCATGGAATACAACACAGGAAAAAAAGAACTGAAATCAGATTTTCACCTGTAGTCAAGAATCATATTTTTTCCTAATTCTGGTATTGTTATTTAAGGTTGCCGTGTGTGACTGTTTTGTGACTGATTGTGATAAGAAGAAAATGATCAATTAAAGTGGTGTCATTGAGAACCAGCATTCTCAGCATAAGATAAAGAAGAATCAGATGTAAGACTGATGAAGTGAGGTAAAAACCCTGTAATTTATAAATGCATATTATCTATCTCCATCTACTGGAAGCTAGAAACAATGGACAATTCAGTAGTGATGAAAACCTGTGACATCCAAATTGTGATCATTATAAATCATTTATCATCAAACGGACCCAGGGCTCCTTGGAAAAATGGCTGATTGTAGGTCTCAGGCAGGGAATGTACAATTTCAGCCTGAAACATTTTGTCCTACTAGAAAGCAAGGAAGAGATTACAGAATAATAAGATCGTGTCAGAAAGGCTCAGGAGGCAACATTAGAGGCTCCCACCAGCTGAAGATGGGACAATTTAAACATCATTAAATTTAATAACCATAATGAATGAAACCCAGCAAATATATTCGACTTCGTTATTTTGTAATGAAATGTTAAAAAGAATATTAGGAAAACTAATTGTTGCCAGTGGAGGATGTTTGTGAACAAACAAAATAATTTCATTATTTTGAAAACTAGCACTAACCAAGCATTTATTTTTTTTCTGTATAAACCATTGTATAAAATGGTTAAATATAATATATGATAGTTATGGCATAATTTAATGTAATAGATAATGAGGACTTTTAGAAACCTTCCTAACAGTGTTATTGTTGGTAGATTATGAAGGAATGATATATGTAGAATATTACTATTTTGCAACTTCCTAATAAATTAGTGGAACTAGGTAACAGCTGGTCAGATCCCAAATCAAGGACAGTCAGACATTTTGTGCTACATGACTGATGTACTTAGCATTGCCTGTAAAGTAGGGTTACTGAAAACTGAATCTTATTTTTCAAGCCTTGAGTTATATCTACTAATATCTTCAAAATACAGAGATGGAGAAATATATTTCAAAAACAGACCATCAGGAAACACTCAAGAAAATCTACACTTTGAGAAACTGCAGGACAAATTTGCAGGTTTCTTCTACAAATAAATTGAGGGGATTAGAGAGAGAATTTGAGAAGATTAAAGAGGTGGGCCAGGCGCAGTGGCTCATGCCTGTAATCCCAGCACTTTGGGAGGCCGAGGCGGGCAGATCTCGAGGTCAGGAGATCGAGACCATCCTGGCTAACACGGTGAAACCCTCTACTAAAAAAAAAAATACAAAAAATTAGCCAGGCGTGGTGGCGGGCGCCTGTAGTCCCAGCTACTCGGGAGGCTGAGGCAGGAGAATGGCGTCAACTCAGGAGGTGGAGCTTGCAGTGAGCAGAGATGGTGCCACTGCACTCCAGCCTGGGTGACAGAGCGAGACTCCGTCTCAAAAAAAAAAAAAAAAAAAAAAAAGAGGTTATGTGGAAAATATGAAACTGATGAGTTAATTGATGATTTCAATAAATTACTGTTAACAATTTCAGGTGTGGTAATGGTACTGTAGTTATGTTTGTAAGACAGGCTCTTGCTAACATTTTTGGAAAAATTGGGAAAGCGTGAATATGGATAGTAAGTAGACATCAGTGTTAAGCTTCTTAAATGGAACCACTGAAGTGTGAGTATGTATTGTAACACTTGTGTTTAGGAGACAGATGCTGGCACATTGAGGGCCAACTTGTCCTGATGTGTGTTCTTGATTTTCACATACTTTAGATACATGATTATATGCATGTGTATGTTTGTTTTTTTAATAATAATTGAAAGAAGATCTTTCTATCTTTTAGAGCTATATAACAAAAATACTTCCAAATAAAATGGTGTGATTTGCTTCAAAATGATCGATATATTGTAGAACATGATACTAATAAACTATATACTAAGTGGCTTTCAATTACAAGGAAGCAGGTCAAAGTGCAACCTGATGAATTTTTAATTACAACGATATTTCTGTCCAGAATTCTTGTTAGCCCTGGAAGAGTGGCCTCAAATCATGGCCGCAGGCAACTATGAGAGCTCGAAAGGACCACGGCACTGAGCCACCACTTCCCAAGCTGGACAATCAGTAGAGTGGGAGCGTGGTGAGCACCGGGCTTTTATCTCGCTCCCAGCCTAGGGCTGAGCATTGTGGATCACCACCTGGGAGGCAGGAGAGCGACGGAATCTTTAGGAGAGAGGCCACTCACCTGGCTCCAATCAGGGGACTGTCAAGGGCAGAAGTCCCCGATGCTCAGCCCTCCAGTGATGTGTGCAGGGTGCCTGCTCTGCAAGGTGCACTCATAACAGGATTTTTTCATTTTTTGAACTTTGTATGATGTAAGATTTTAAAAATACACACAAAAAGAGGGTGAACAGAACAGTGAATCTTCTTGTACTTATCACAGAGCTTCAACAGTTTATCCAAATTCTCCATATTTGCCAATTAAATTGTCAATTAAATTTGCCAAATTTAATTGACATCTCCACTTTTCTTTTTCTGCGGTATTTGAAAGCAAATCCCCAAACATTCTATCATTTGTTCTGTAAGTACATCACCAGGTATCTCTAACTAATCATAATATTTCCCCATAAACTCCTTTCCATTGTAACACTTCAATTTTTAATTATAAATTTATAATTATCAACTTTAATTCCTAAATGAACATTTTAATTATAAATATATAATCTGATACCAGCCCCTGTTCAAATTTCCCTGATTGTCTCAGAGGTGCCTTTCTGCAGTTGGTTTCTTAGCAGCGCCCAAAGCCCACCAACTGCATTTGACCATCTACCTCTTCAATCTCTCTCCCTCTGAGACGGTCCCTGACTCCTCTCTGTTTTTTTCTTTGTTGCTGCTTTATTGGAGAAATGCATCATTTTCCATGTAGAAGGTCTCACACTCTGGATTTGGTGGTTTGCTTTGCTGTGTAGTGTACCAACTCGTGTTTTCAGCCCTGCAGTTATTATAATCGGATCATTGGAGCTAGACCGGCTCTACTCAGTCTCCATTTTCGAGGGCAGGGATGCCATCGTGGTGGTGCTGGGACCTTCCTCTCTCATCACACAGTAAGCCAGCTGCTGTCTGCTTGTATCACTTTCAGTGACTCAAAGACTGATTCCTTTAAAAAAATAAAAAAAAAGATCAGTGTGCTCCGTGTTTCTCTGCTCTCTCCATTAAAAAATTCCATCGTTTTTTCCACTAGTGGTTTTAACATCCATCAATGGGTATTATTTTATTTGAAGTTTCAAAATGTTGATTTTCCAATTCTATACTTTACTTCTGTATTCATAGATTGTATTTCTTTAGAAAGAATAGCTTTGTATTGATACATAATAGTTGTACATATTTATGGGGTACATGTGATATTTTGATACACGCATACAATTTGCAGTGATCACACCAGGGTAAATGGGATCTCCATCATTTTAAACATTTATCCTTTCTTGTTGGAAACATCCCAAATATTCTCTTCTAGCTATTTTTGAAAAGTACAGTAAATTATTGTTAACCATAGTTGCCCTATTGTGCTGTGAAACACTAGAACCTAATCCTTCTATCTAGCTATAATTTTGTACTCATTAACCAACCTCTTTTCATCTCTCCCCCTTCCCCCACCACCCTTCCCGGTCTCTGGTACCCACTATTCTATTCTTCCACTCTCTACCTCCTTGAGATTGATGGGTTTAGTTCGTGGGTACAAGTGAGTACATGAAACATTTGTAAAAAGGAAAATTTTTCTTCAACTATGGCTAATTTGAAATACAAACTTGTAAAGTTTAAACTTGTAAAGCATAAATGTGTGTAATAAAGATTATTTTTAGTTTTCAAATTTTGTATTAATGTGTTCATTTTATAATGACTGGGTCCATCAAACACTTAAATAATTTATTAAGAATTCCTGGATTTGTATATTTGATAATTTGATGTGTTTCAATCTGTTGCAGGCATTATTCATCTTATGGTCAAATTGTTACATCTTAGGCCAGCGGTGCTTTCTTCAGCAAATGACTGTGTCTTTTTGTTTTCAAACATTTTATTTTGAGAAACGTTAAGCATATTTTGTGTCTTTTCTGACATGACACTAACAGGCTCATTCATCTTTATCCTTTCTGGCACAATAATAGCTTCCAGGCTTATCTTGTACATTCCTTGCTCAGACCTAGAAGCTGACATTTCCTGAAAGATTCCAGGTCCCTGTATAGTGGGAAGAAAAAGGCACAGGCCAGGTTCCAGATATGTGGAATGCATTATTCTATTTACTCTTTACAATAACCCTGAAATGTACCTATGATAATTATCTAACTTTCCTATAGATGAAAAATCTGAATTTCAATTTGACACAAATTGTTGTCAAGATCACATTGATATGTGACTATTCAAGGCAGTTTTACTCATCACAGCCAAACTTGGAAACAACCCAAATATCCATAAACTGGCAAATGGTGAAAAACGATATATTCGTACACCGATATACTGCTTGGTAATAAAAAAAGGAACACACCGATACACAAAATGACATGGATGAATCCCAAAAACAGTATGTTGGGATGTATGAACTAATCAATTCATACTGATTTGTTTGTGTAAAATTTTAGGGTTTGAAAAACTCATCTACAATTACCTGGAGCATGAATAGGAATAGGGAGAAATGGGCTGCAAAGGGCATGAGGAACTTTTCAGGGTGAGGAGAAGGCTCTGTACCGGGTGGTGGTCACACAGGTGTACGTTTATCAAACCACGTCACAGTGCATGGCTGTGCATAATCAGACGAAAGTTAGAACTAACTCAGGTTGATTTTAAAAAGCCAACCAAGGGTGTGCCCTAATGATAGCTGCAGTGGACCGTGGGGTCTTCTCTGTAGGGGCCTCTGAGACCCTTACAGTACGACGCCAGAGCTGTTTACCTGAAGGAGAGGAGAGGTGGGGATTTACACACCAGCTGCTGTCTCCCCCGGCTGAGGGTTGCCCCTGCAGGTGTCAGATTCCCTGTGCTTTTGAGCTGAATCTGCCTGGTTTACCATCAGGCCTGGCAAACCTGTGGTTTGGCCCTGAGCCTCTCCCAGCCTGTAACACAGCACACAGATGCAGCGAGTCATACTTAGTGATAACAACATCGATGACACGGGCAGTAGCAATGACTGATGGGGTTGGCTCCTCCTGCCCTCTGCAGAAGCTGCTCTTTCTGGGGACAGCATGATGGGGCGCTGTCGGGTGAGGTTAATATTTTCAAACCCATACACCAAGTTTTCATCTTTTCCTGTCTTCACGTGTGACTTAGGTGAATTGCCCAAGTCTTCTGAAACAGGGTTGTCAGATGAGAAATGATATTTAAACATATCTTAACAGCACTTGCTAAAAATTAGTATTGTTCTTGTTTCGAAATATCTGCATTAGGAAGATTTGAGAGGCAGCTTCTATCTCAAAATATAATTAAAGCTAATTTTGAATTGACTTGCTATTTGATTTCCCATTAATATTCTCAGAGTAACAAGTTCATAGACACCCAAGGTCCATTAACCTGCACCCATTACCGGCTGCTCACAGGCACCTCACCATTACCTGGAGGGTGTGGCTTGAATTTGCCCTGCTGGATCCCAGGGTCACTATGATTTCTTCCCTCAGGTTTCTTCATTGTGTTTTAAAAAAAGCCTATACTATGCATGTGCTATTTTGTTTCTGAATTGCTTTATGGGATTAGTTAACACTGCTTGTTTAGGAAGCAGCTTAGCTGGCTCTCCTGCCGAGTGTCACAAGGTATTAAGAAAGGTCATGTTCCCATTCTGCTGCAATGGTCCGTGTGTTACATCTGAATACTTATAAGCCTTACGGTATAACAGTGTGATTCTTGCTGTAAGCGTCACATGTACTTTAAAGAAATTAAGCAGAAAAATAATCCTTTTAAAAATCACATTTTACTATTGAAGGTGGGTGCCACCTTTTAAGAGAAATGTAAAAAACATAAAATATTTGGCTGAGAGTGACCAGGCTGTGGGATGTGAATGCCGTGTCAAAGCTGAGGCTGTGAGGGAAACGCCGACTGTAAAGACAGCTTAGAACTCCGAGGGTCACACCTGTGCTGGCTGGTCCGAGAGGCTTGGCTCCTGGGCTCAGGAGAATCTTGTCCCCACTGGCCGTGGCTTGAAGGATATCGGGACACTCTGGGATGAGGAATTGAGGCCCAGCAGCTGTAGCCAAACTTTCTGGGTCTAAATGCCAACCCCTTGCTTTCAGGCCTCCAGCCCTGCCTGGTTCCAGCCTCTGCATCCACTCTCCTTCCCAAGACTCTCAGAAGGACTCCAGGTGGGACTCCAGGGGACTTCAGATCCACCCTTCCCATGGTTCCTGGCCTGTTCCAGCCTAGTCTGAGGCAGAGAGGAGGGTTAATTTTATTGAAATAATTTGTTTACTTTTCTGTAACAATCTTGGCTCACTGCAACCTCTGCCTCTGGGTTCAAGCGATTCTCCTGCCTCAGTGTCCTGAATTGGAATTATAGGTGCCCAACACCAAGCCTGGCTAATTTTTGTATTTGTAGTAGAGACAGGGTTTCACTATGTTGGCCAGGTTGGTCTCAAACTCCTGACCTCAGGTGATCCTCCCGCCTTGGCCTCCCAAAGTGCTGGGATTACAGGAGTGAGCCACCGTGCCTGGCCAGCCAAGCTTTCTTACCTCCGAAGGTGCTTTATTCCTATCATAAACATGGAGAGTGGGGTCTTCAGAATCCAGGCCTCCCTTTCCCATCAGCTGCTACAGTAACTGGTAATTAGGCTCCTTACTCCCTAATCACTCTCTGCTCATCTGGGTTTCTGAGGTGCAGCTCAGGGTGGAATCAGCACGGCTTTGATGTTATGAATCTGGCCTGAAGTCATATCCTTGTCATTGTACTTTTTGGAGGAAAAGATAGTTCATTTCTCCAGGGCACACGTCAATTGCCTTTCCTGCCAGGTGAGACCTACTGCTTGAAGGTGGGAGCAGCTCTGTTTACCTGGAGGAGGCAGGGCTGGTGTGCTCAGTCCCTCTGAAGTGTCTCATGGGCCATTAGCACCATGCACTGCTCGCAGCCAACTCATCAGAATGAGTGGTTATTACAAAAGTGTTTTCATAATTAAGTAACACGATAACTCACTGAAAATGGTAGATGTTTGGAGAAGTGCTACATGGTGGCCCTATGGGGATGGGCAGCCCCTGCCAGTCTCCACTGCAAATGAGCCACGTGATCACCGGGGTTCAGGGCTATCCAGGGGGTGCCACTTGGCCCCCGTTGCCAGCAGCTCTGGCACAGGGGTCTAGGAAAGGCTCTGCCCAAGCCCAGCAGCACGGGTTCCTCTCTCCAAGGCTGTCCAGTAGAACTGTTGTTCGCCAGGCTGTCGTCAGCAGAGGCAGAGCCGCATCCTCAACAAGTAGACAGGATCTCTAGGAGGCTTCATCATAAACTGAGTCTGGAGAGCAGAGGGGAAAAATCCTAACCGGGGCAGGCATGATTCCAGATTCCTGCTGAAATAAACAGGAAGCCCAGCAATTCACACTCTCAGTGATGCTCCCTGGCCTCTCCTGTGTTGTCTTTCTGGGGACCCGAATTTGCTCTAGCTGATGTGTGACATTTGGGTCTCTCATTTATTTTCCCCCAGTGTAGAAGATAAAACAATGGGATATATTCATTGCAAAAATTATTATAATGTGGCATTGGTGATGTATATTATTTAGAAATTGTCATCATTGGATTTCATTTAAGTACAAACTAAAATCTGCTGCTTTGGGAAGCATAGCACTGATGGTGGGTTCCCCATCCTGGATCAGGGTAGGTGGGGCAGGGAAATGTCTCCAGCCCACAGACCCATCTGGCAGCTCAGATACAGGCATGGCGCTCTTCTGTCCACCCGTTCCTTTCTCTGACTGTTTCCTGGGCCCAGGAGGCTGACAGAGGGCACAGGTTGGGGTGGAGGACATGCCTTCCAGAGGAGAACTGACATGTACATATCCCCTTGAAGCCAGCAGCCATGCAGAGGGACGTGGTTGCTGCCATCGCCCCCTCTGAATGCAGAACTTGACTGACCCGGGTGCTGGGTGGAGGGGCCTGGTTGTCTGCCATCTGCCCCTGCAGAGACAGGGAATGCGTGGAGAGGCAGCCCTCCCCCTCTGCAGCTCCCAGGACAGATCCCGGGTGTGCCCTCACCCTCCTGCCCAGCCTGGTCTCCAGTTTAGAGATAGGAGTATCACAGCTGCCTCTTGTCCCCACGACTTTAACATCCTTCCCAGTGCCTGAGCACATTTACAGGAGGAGTATTATTATCTTCTAGAGGAGGAGTATTATCTTCTGGAGGAGGAGTATTATCTTGTAGAGGAGGAGTATTATCTTCTGGAGGAGGAGTATTATCATCTTGTAGAGGAGGAGTATTATCTTCTGGAGGAGGAGTATTATCTTCTGGAGGGGGAGTATTATCTTCTGGAGGAGGAGTATTATCTTCTGGAGGAGGAGTATTATCATCTTCTGGAGGAGGAGTATTATCTTCTGGAGGAGGAGTATTATCATCTTCTGGAGGAGGAGTATTATCTTCTGGAGGGGGAGTATTATCCTCTGGAGGGGGAGTATTATCTTCTGGAGGGGGAGTATTATCTTCTGGAGGGGGAGTATTATCTTCTGGAGGAGGAGAGGGGGAGTATTATCTTCTGGAGGGGGAGTATTATCTTCTGGAGGAGGAGTATTATCTTCCTTCTGGAGGGGGAGTATTATCTTCCGGAGGGGGAGTATTATCTTCTAGAGGGGGAGTATTATCTTCCGGAGGGGGAGTATTATCTTCTTTCTGGAGGAGGAGTATTGTCTTCTGGAGGGGGAGTATTGTCTTCTGGAGAGAAATGAAAGGCACAGGCTGTTTGTCTGAATATTACAGTCATCTGTCACTTATGATGTTTCCCTCAATGGTGGATGGGATACGTGAGGGTGGTCCTATAAGATTTAATACCATCTTTTTTTTTTAACAATACCTCTTCTATGTTTATTTTTTATTTTTATTTTTTATTTTTTTGGGAGACAGAGTCTTGGTCTGTCACCCAAGCTGGAGTGGAGTGGCGTGATATCAGCTCACTGCAACCTCTACCTCCCAGATTCAAGCAATTCTCCTGCATCAGCCTCCCAAGTAGCTGGGACTACAGGCGCCTGCCACCACACCCAGCTAATTTTTTTGTATTTTTAGTAGAAACAGGGTTTCACCATGTTGGCCAGGCTGGTCTTGAACTCCTGACCTCAAGAGATCCACCCACCATGGCCTCCCAAAGTGCTGGGATTACAGGCATGAGCCACCACACCCGGCCCCCGCTCTATGTTTAGATACACAAATACTTAGCATTGTGTTACAGCTGCCTGCAGTATTCAGCACAGTCATGTGCTGTGCAGGCCTGTAGCCTAGGAACTGTAGGCCACACTACGCAGCCTAGGTGTGGAGGCTATGCCATCCAGGTGTGTATATGTATACTTTACGGTGTTCTCACAACCATGAAGTCACCTGTCTCTGCATTCTGCAGAATGCACCCCCGTTGTAAAGCGACGCGTGAGTGAATTTGTCTTTTTGTTGTAAATTCCATCTGTGCTCCTGAAAGCTCTACCCTGGAAGCTCTGTCTCCTTCAGGTATCCATCAGGTTATCTTAGAACTTCCAGCTGGAGGGATCTGTGTTTGTCTCTCCCTGTCGGCATCAGGGGAGTGCAGGCTGAAGGATGCATAGGGCTGGGATCCTTTGTGAAGTCTCTCCACGGGGCTGTGGGGGAGGATCCAGTAACCTTGAAGACAGGCTGCATGCCTACAGAGGACCCCTCTGTTGATACCATCTCCACTGATACCATCCCGATGGTGTTTTGTACCAGAAATGTAGAAATATACAAATCCCTTGTTTTTACCTATTCTTCTTCCTCGTAAGTTCTCTAAAGAAAATATCTGCATGGGTTCACAGGAGCAAGAAAAAAAAGTAACATTTTATTCTTAGCTGGAGCCTTTCTTGCAAGCCTGAATTCAGAAGTATGGAATGGAATACATAGGGAATTTTTTTTCTCTACTGAGGGGACTTAGACTAGAGCCAGAGGCTATACAACTTTCCTTTCTCCATTTGAACACTGGAACCTCAGATCTTGCTATCAGACAGGCTCTCTAGTTATGTACTTATTTAGATTTTTTTCTTTTAAAAAAATTTGTCTTGATTGTACTCTCAGAATCAGAGAATCATAAGGTACTTTAGGATCTTTCAGAATGGAATGGTAATTAGGACATTAGCTTCATATTGCAAATACCTGGAGAGCTAAAATAAAACAAAAACCAGTGAGGCCCAATCCCATGCTTGGACATTCTGTTTAACTTGCCTGGAGTATAGTCTGCCCCCAGCCTCGGTGATGCCATTTTGAAGCCAAACGTGAGAAGCTTCTAGATTACCAAAGTATCTTAACCTTAGTGACATCAGAAACTCCCATGAAACTTTTCAACTCTCCTACCGCCCGGGACCGCTTCAGGTCCATCAAGCCCTGATTTCTGGTGGTGAGGCCAGGATACCTGTGTATTATCAATAATTTCACTGGTGAATTTGATGCAACCCCAGGTGAAGACCCATTGATTTAAGCCAAAAGTCTTTATTTAAGTGTAAACTGAACCAGGTAAAGTGTGTTGTGCAATATTTATTATGCGACAGCCGAATGGACCGGAATTTTCCAGCCACATGCCTCAGAGGTGCTGTGGCTGAAAGGGAACGGCCACATAACTGGGCAGCTGTGGAGAGGCGAGCGGGGGGCAGGCTGCTGTGTCAGTGCGGGGCCTCCGCGGCTGGGCTTAATCACTGTGTGGCCAGCTGACGCCCTCTGGCTTTTCTTTTTTTAATTAAATAGATAAATTCTGTGTTTCACTTAAGGCGTATTGTTTACCCTGCATGGGTCTAAAGAGCAGGGGCTAGAGAGGCCATGCGGTCTATTTAGCCAAGGCTCCAGCAAATGGTTCTCTGGAGCAACAATGGCAAACGGAGGGACTAGTCCACTGTGATGAGCAAGTTTCATGTGACAGTGTTGGAGAGTTAAACTTCAGAACGAGGACTTTCTCATGGCACAGGAAACTATAGTCAAAGGCCATAAGGATGGTGTTGGATGGGGGTGTGGACCACGTGGATGGAGGAACGCTGTGGTCTGTACGAACAAACTCTTTTTTTTTAGACAGAGTCTCACTCTGTTGCCCAGGCTGGAGTGCAATGGCACAGTCTCAGCTCACTGCAACCTCCACCTCCTGGGTTCAAGCAATTCTCCCGCCTCAGCCTCCCTAGTAGCATGGACTACAGGCACGTGCCACCAAACCTGGCTAATTTTTTTGTATTTTTAGTAGAGGCGGGGTTTCACCATGTTAGCCAGGATGGTCTCGATCTCCTGACCTCGTGATCTGCCCGCCTTGGCCTCCCAAAATTCTGGGGTTGCAGGTGTGAGCCATTGCGCCCGGCCATGAACAAACTCTTAGGGGAGAGGAACAGAGGGGGAGCGAAGGAGGGAGGATGGAACCTGCCTGCCCTGGCCGGCCAGCTCCTGGAGGCTGCACGGAGGAGCCCAGCAGGAGCTGGAGACTGATGTGAAGACTGCAAGCCTGGTAGAAATGCCAAGCCTAAGCTGTATCCATAAATAATAATGACTTTATTTTCCCCCATTGCTAATTAGAAACAATAATATACAAGGAAACAGAAGTTACTTAATGTATAATTATTCAGTCAGCAATTTTCAAATCATAAATATGGATTGCTGTGAGTTATTGCGTTGGAGTCTTCTGAAATAGAGCACAATATGCAAATGTGATTAACACAGCCATGCGCCCAGTCACTCTAAAAGTTGCTTTTCCTTTCCTTAATAAACTGATTGTTGCAGCCAGGTGTAGGTCGTTAGCATTGATAAGCAGAGGTCCCTTTCCACCCTGTTTCCTGCCTCTTTCCTCTCCTGCAGATGGAAAGAGTGAGATGGGCCAGCAGGTTCCTATAGGATGAGCCCTCGAGACCTGAGACCAATGCTGATCTGATAAATAATTGGCATTCTGTTTCAGGAGGCGGAGGGCTAATAAGCTTTTCCAAGGTAAAGTGTGGAGCTCTGCAGAGCATTCTGGGAGGACAGCACAGGTTCACATCCCACCCTCACTTCTCCTGGGTGATCCCAGCCCCCTGCTCATATCCCACCCCCGCCTCTCCTGGGTGATCCCAGCCCCTGCCCACCCACGTGGCAGCCTCACCCCAGCCCAGACCCATCTTCTGAGCTGCGGGCTCTTTATGTGACAGCCTCACCAGAATAACTCACTGCCATTCCAAACGTAAAGCACACAAATGCAAGCCTTGATCCACGTCCTCCTTCCCTCATCGATCTGTTCCTACTTCAGCCTTCATTATCTCCAAAAATCACACCAAGCCAGAAATGTAAGAACTGAAGCCAGAAATTGCTCATCAGAAATGTAAGAGTCACTTTGACGCCTCCTTTTCCTTTCTCCTCACTTCTAATCCATAAGCAATTTCTGTCATTTCCACCTCCAAAATAGACTCCCTTCCCTCTGTGCCTTCACAGCCACCGTCAGGACCTGAGCCACAGTCATCCTTCACGGCAGACCACAGCTCCCGCTGTGAGGCCTAGCCAAATCTAAGCATAGTTCCTTCACTGCTCCTCCTGATTCCAACCTTATCTTCCTCTAACTCATTCACCATAGAAAATCCAGTGTGATCTTTCAAAGTATACGTTAACTCGGGAGGCTGAGACAGGACGATCACTTGAGCCCCAGGAGGTCAACGCTGCAGTGAGCCATGATCCTGCCACTGCATTACAGCCTGGGTGATAGAAGGAGGCTTTGTCTCTCTCTCTCTATCTCTCTCTCTATATATATATAAATTTATATTTATATAAATATATATGTATGTATATATATTATGTGTGTATAATACACATATATACATACATATATATACGTATATTTTACACACAGATAGATAGATAGATACATAGATACCATTTACTTCTTTGCTGAAGACTCGTCAGTCTCTTCTTATCAACACGCTAAGCCCGGAGCCCCAACCCGGTCAACGTGGCCGTGTGGCGCGGCTGCCCCCCGCTGCTCTCTGCCAGCTGCTCTCTGCTGACCTCCCTCAGCCACCGTGGCCTGCTCTTGGTCTCTTGGATTGCAGTGCTTTCCTGCCTCAGGACTGAAACGTGCTGTCCACCCTGCTGGACACAGCCTGGGTCCCCACCTCCCGCTGGCTTTCCCGTCTCCTCTTTCAGAGCCCAGGTGCCTGTCACCTCGAGGGAGGCCACAGCGCAGGTCTCTGTGCCCTCTCCCACGGCGTCTAGACCTGGATTTTCCTGTCACCTCACAAATCACAACCATGGATTTCTCTTGTTTTCACTCATCATGTTTGTGAGTGAGCAGCTTTGCTGTGGAGTTGGGGAAAGAAGCTCTGACCAGGATGCAGGGCCGGGGTTGCTTCCCATGGAGCCGCCGCCTCTCCTTCCACCTCTGGGAAAGCCTCTGTGCCTCTTCTGACCCGGCACCCTTCCCTTATATGAGAGAATTGAGACAGGCAGCCTTCACGGGTCTGAATTCAGAATAATAAGAGATGTTTTCACTCCCAGCATCACTGTGTGGGCACCTGCTGTGTGTACAAAGGGCCCCATGGTGCCTCAGCAGTTACCTTGTAAAATGGGGACTTCGTGGGTGAAAATTTTAATCAAGAGGCCTATCCAAGTCTAAGTTTCTCTGCAGGGTCCAAGGGGCTGTCTGAAATTGCCCTCTGTGTCTGTGAGCATTTGGCTGACAGCAGCGAGTGGGAGGGAAGACAGCGCTGCGTGCACCAGCTGTCGGAAGCTGAAGCCCTGGGGAATGGTTGGATTCACTGAGTGGGCAGTGGGCGCTTGGAGACTGACATTTTTCAGGAGCTCAGTATGGAGTGCCTGCGTGATTTTCATGAGAATGGGCAGTACTAACTTCAGAGCAATTGGGGAGCCCAGTGTCACGGATTCCTCCCTCACAGACAGCTGCGGGCGAGAGGGACGCTGGCCCCTTATCCAGGGTGGCCCCAAGTGTCTGCACCAGGTCTGCGGTGGAAGCAGCTGCAGCAGGAATGAGAGAAACAGAAGACTTAGATGTGAGCCCTGAAATGTTAACTTTATTTCCTAAATGAGGTGATGCAAATAAGTGAGGGAGACAAAATGACCGACTGGAAGCAGCGAGCGACACCAGCAGCACTGCCTCCCCGCCGATGCTGGCAGGAGGCTGTGTCCAGATCACACTCTCTTTGGCCACTTCAGATGCAATTCAGTTACCAGTTCTCACAGTAATGAACCTGCCAGGCTGGAGAACCAGTCTAAATGCCCGTGTGCTTTTCAAGCTTCCTGGTTCTCCTCTTTGGCTTGAGGTACACGATTATAAAATAAGAGATATGGGAGCAACAAGACCATGTTTCCTACAGGTCCAGAATGGGAGAAGGCTGAGGCAGTGAGGACTCGAGAACATGGGCCAGTCAGCAAGTCAGGGCAGAGAAAGGGAAGGAAACAGGGCAGGAGGAAGGGAGGGAGGGGAAGAGAGGGATGCGGGTGGGGTGGGGGAAGGGGTTGGACAGGAAGCAAAAAAAAGAGGATGAGCTCAAGAGACGGGAGAAAGAAAAGGAGAGGGAGAGGAGAGAGACGTGGTGGAGGACATGTGAGAGGTGGGGTGGCTAAGAGGAGAAGGAGACGAGCTTTTGTCTGGGGCATGTGATTTGCATACCCTCAAATAAAAGTGGACCCAGGCAGATAAAATCAATTACAGCATATATGATACTGAGAAATTCACAATCTGTACACAAACACAGCAGCAATGCCATGAGCTCATTAGCAACCTGCAAATACAAAGAGAAATGCATGTTTGCGGCCGTCTATCCTCATTGTTTCATCCCCTGGCCCCCAGCTCCTACGGACCAAAGAATGTCATTTCCTTCTGATGAAAAGTTTTTCTCTGACCCTAGTGCTCTTCTCTATTTTCAATTTGAACAGAGTCTCCATTGCTGTACCTTACTGGGTTATACAATACCCTGTGAATGAAGCCTTTCAATCAACCTGCATGTCAGCGCATTGCATAGCTCCTCAGCCCCACAGGCTCCAGCCTGCTTGCTGCTGTGCGGTGACACAGCCTCCTCCAGCTCTGGCAGTTGTGCTGTGTCACATTCCTCTGAAGACCCGTGGCTAGTGTGCAGCAGACTTCTCTTTTGTCTGGAATCTCCTGCTCCTCACTAGAGGATGCTGGAAGGGCACTGGTGCCTGCAGGCTGTTGTCTGTTACTTGCTTAGAATGTCATTCCACCAGCCTTTGTTAAGGGAGTGAAGTCCGTGGAGGTACACGAAGACGAGGGAGGCTCATTCTTTGTGCTGATGTTGATCTCCACCTGACTCACGAAATAAGTGATTCACAGAAGACTATTTTTAATCTTTAACAAAATTTGAAATATTATAGATTCACAGGAAGTGGCAAAAATACAATCCAGAGAGTTTCCCTGTATTATTCAAAAGTTGGATTTTATACAACTACACACCATATAAAAAGCAAGAAATTAACATTGGAATGCTGTGCGTATAGTTCTCTGTTCATTTATCATATGTGTAGATTTGTGTAATTGCCACTGAATCAAGATGTAGACTCATTGCATCATCACTCTTTGTGATCTCTCTAGTCTTATTCATTTACGGTCATATTCAGCCTCCTGCCCCCCACAATCCCGAATCCTCATCAACATTAATTTTTTCTCCATATCTACACTTTTATAACTTCAAGAATGTTATAGAATCTCTATGTGACCCTTAAAGATTGGCTTTTATTCACTCAGAATTGTGCCCCTGAGAGGCATCCAACTGGTTGTATGTATCAAAACTTTCTTTTATTTGTAATTCTCAGTAATGGTACGGATGTACCACAATTTGTTTAACCATTATCTTATTGTAGGGTATTTTGATAGTTTTCAGTGTTTGACTATTGCAAATTAATATAATATAAGCACTTACATTCTGTGTTTTGTGTGAACATAGGTTTTCAATTCTCTCTCCAGGTGTGCAATTGCTGGATTATATGGTAAGTATATGTTAGTTTTTTTTAATTTCCAAACTGTACTCCACAGTACCATGTTATAACCCCACCAGCAATGTATGAGAAATCACATCCTCAGCAGCAAGTGTTATTGTAGCTAATTTTTGTTCTTTTGGTGGGTATTTAGTGATAGCTCATTATGGTCTGAATTTGCATTTCTCTGATGGCTAGTTATACTGAACATCTTTTCATGTACTTATTTTTGATTTGTACCTCTTCTTCAGTGAAATATCTATGTTTTCGCTAACTAGTTAATTGAGCTGTTTCTATTTTTATGGTGAGTTTAGAGAGTTCCTTATATACTCTGGATAGTAGTCCACTGTCATGTATGTGTTTTACACATGTTTTCTCACAACCTGTAGGTTGTATTTTATTTCTTTTGACACGGTCACTTGTAGATTAAAAGTTTTAAATATTGATAAAGTCCAATTTATTGATTTTTTTTAACAGATCAGGGTCCTGGTGCCATATCTAAGAATTCTTTACCAAGCTCTTGGTTTTAAAAATTTTCTTTGTTTTCTCCTAAAGTTTTTATAGTTTTTCAATTTACAATTCTATTCATGATCCATTTTCAGGTAATTTTTGTGTAAAGAGTGTGGTTTAGGTTGAGGTTCATTTTTCCCCGATGCTGTTTATTGGTCAAGCATCACTGGCTGGAAAGACCCTCCTCCCTCCAGTAGCTGCTTTTGCAACTTAGTAAAAACTCAAATGAGCATATCTGCATGGTTCCATTTCTGTTTCATTGATCTGTCTTTTGTCCAGTATCACCCTTTCTTGATTACTACAGACGAAGATGCTCCTCAGTTGTTGATGCGGTTTTCTCCCAATAACTCTAATATAAATTAAAAATATCGTAAGTTGACACCTAACCTATCAAACATCAGAGCTTAGCCTCGCCTACCTTAAACATACTCTGAAGACTTATGTTTGGGCAATATTATCTAACACAAAGCCTATTTCATAATAAAGTATTGAATATGTTATGCAATTTATTGAAAACCGTACTGAAAGGAAAAGCAAGATGGTTGCATGGGTTCTCACCATCAACATACACAGCTGGAAGCGTGCTGGGCCTGAAGAACGTTCAAAGCCCTGAACTAAAATTAACTGCTGGACGATGGTTGTGCTGCAGGGTCACCAACCTCTCTCTTTTCTGATATGGCTTGGGAATTGCTGCTGGAAGGCTCTAGGGCACCTACACTTATTGGTGGTTTAGCAGGAATCGTGTTCCTCAGGAAGATGTCACGAATCAGTATCGGTTGCTTACCCTCGTGATCTCGAGGCTGACTGGAGCTGAGGCTCCCTGCTGCTGCCCAGCCCTGTATCACAGGGCATATCACTAGCACAGGAAAAGATAGAAATTCAAAATTTGAAGTGCTGTTTCTACTGAATGCATATTGGTTTTGCACCATTGTAAAGCTGAAACATCCTAGGTCAAGCCATCATAAGTCGGGGATCATCTGTATATTGTAGGTGTTAACTTCAGATAGAATGACTCCTCCCACTGTTTTTCAAAAGTGTTTTAGCTATTCTAGTATTTTTTCATTTTCATATACATTTTATAACAATCTTTTCTATATCCACAAAATAGCTTGCTGAGAATTAGAATTTGTTGGCAATGACATTAAACTTGTATACCAATTTGAGGAGAATTGACATCTTTATTATGCTGAGTATTCCAATCCAGGAACACAGCATGTCTCCATGTGTTTAAACGTGTTTTAAATTTTTCATCAGTATGCTGTAGTTATCGTCATATGATTTGCATGTATGATTTATTAGATTTACATCTAGGTGTTTCATGTCTTTGGTGATTATAAGTGGTTTTGTATTTTAAATTTTTCTTTCCATGTGTGCATTGCTAGTATATAGAAATGCAATTGATTTTTGTATGGCTAACCTTGTAACCATGCTGAAATTACTTACTCGTTCTTGGGGGTTTGTTTTGTTTCGGGGTTTTAAATTCCTTGGGATTTTCTATTGAGGTGATCATGTGATTTGCAAGTAGAGAGAGTTTTATTTCCTCCTTTCTGATCTGTATGCCACTTATGGCTAGAAGTTCCAGTAGCAAGTGGAATGAGAATGGTGAGAGCAAACACCCTAACCTCGCTCTTGATGGGAGTGGGATGCATTCAGCATTCACTATTCAGTGTCCTGTCAGCTGTGGAATTTTGGAGATGATCTTTATCAAGTGATAGGAGTTGCCTTCTAGTTCCAGCTTTCTGAGTTTTTTTTTTTTTTACGAATTTAATTGGTACTGATTTTTGTCCAGTGTTTGACATAGTCATGTAATTGTGAGTTTTTTTTTTTTACGAATTTAATTGGTACTGATTTTTGTCCAGTGTTTGACATAGTCATGTAATTGCTCTTTAGTCTTGCATCCCATGGTTATTGTGTATAAATGAATAAGCAAACAAATAAATGGATTCTATTTTCTATTGTTTTGTTAAGGATTTTTACATCTTTATTTATGAGCTATTTTGTATTGTTTTATTTGATTTGGAGATCTGAGGCTTCAGAAAAGGAAATTAGGAATTAGGAAGAAGTGTTCCTTCACTTCTACTTTCTGGAGAAGACTACATGTAAGTGGTATTAATTCTTCTTTAAATGTTTGGTGAAATTCTTAAGTGAAGCCATTTGGGTCTGGAGATTTTGAGTTTTAAATTATGAACCCAGTTTCCTAAGTAATTTACGCACTTTCAAATATCTATTTCATGTTAGGGAAGCTTGCGCTTTATGAGGATTGATTCATTTGATCTAATTTTTCAATTTCTGTGTCTAGAGCTGTTCATGGTATTTCCTTATTCTCCTAATGCTCGCATGATCTACAGTGATATTCTCACAGGTAATTATTTTAATACATTACCGAACTGCCCCAAATCATAATAACACAAAAGCATTTGTCACGTCTTTCCCTTCTCTCCATGCTGACCCAGGCTCCTGACCAGAAGTAAATAATGGGAACCGCTGAGTGACCTGTGTGAGAGTCACAGGTGTCAGGAGCCCTCCCTGGTGCTGCCCTCTTCCCACGCTCCCAGTGACTGGGAAAGGATACAGGGGTGATGGCCAACACACAGAGCTGGATCTCCCTGTCAGGACTCAGTTGAGCTTCCAGGCTCCCACCCCAGAAAGTGCCTCCTCTTGTAAAGTCAGAGAAACTTGGTCCTGGCTGAATGAACTTCAGCCCTACATAGCCCTACATATCCCTACATGTATCAAAGCAGCTGTAGCAGCAAGCGCTCAAGGAGCTTAAGGAGAAGAAGCAAAGGACCAAGCAATGGAAATGGTAGAGAGAAGGAAAGGAGGGGGGTGAAGGCCTTGGAGGCTGACCTACAGGGATGTTGGATGCCATGGCATGATCAGCGACTGAGATCCTTCCTCCCATCCTGCCACACGGACGTGCCCTGGGGAACGGTGGGTGTGAGCAGCGAGGAGATGCTGTTGATGGAGGCACAGCTGTTCCACTCCTCCCTTCTCAACTTGCTACCTGTAAAGAGCATCTCCGAGTGGATGGATAGCTTTTGAATCCTCTTACAGTTTTTCTTACTGAATTTTCATTAATAGCCTCCTCATCTCCAGAAATGTCAACTTTTTCTTCTTTCTTGAGAATCTGGAACCTTCAGGATAGAGGCCTCCTCTCAGTGGCTGCTCAGGATAATGAATATTTTCTTGGATTGAGGAGGACAACCCAGCTGCTCTCTGGGAAGGTGGTTCTGAGAATCCTCAGGTGCAATGTTTATGATTAGGGGACTGGAGTAGCTGTGAGGGCCAAAATTAGGAAGACAGAGTGTGGACTTCAAAAACTTCTTGGCTGTAACTGGAGTGCTATTCTATTACCAGGTCAAGTCATTGTTCTCAAAATGTCAGATAGTAATTCCTTTTATGGCTGAATGGTATTCCATTGTTTGAATATACATTTGTTTATCCATGCGTTGTTGATGGACATTCAGGTCATTATAAATACAGCTTTTGTAATAGGCTGAAAAAGAGATGTTCATGTCTTAATCCCTGTGAATTAATCTGTGAATGCTATTTTATAATATATGGCAAAAGGGACACTGCAGGTGTGATAAATTCAAGAACTTTGAGATGTAGAGATTATTCTAGATTATACAAGTGTGCCCAGATAATCACAACAGTCCTTTCAAGAGGAAGACAGGAGGCACTGGAGATAGAGAGGAGGAGGTGATCTGATCGTGTTCTGTATGAATTCCATGTCCTTAATTTTCCTCCAGCTCTGAAATGTAGCTGTAGTCACAGCTCTGATTTCTGGTAGAGAATCCCATCAAACTGGAGATGGCCTCTCATTTAGGCAAAGGGAATGGCCCAGGAAGGACATTCTGATTGTCACTTTTCTCCAGTGACCTCTGCCAGCAGCTAGTTTGCCCCTAATTTACTTTTCAGATTGCATTCACTCTGGGATCCTTTCTCTAAGTTTGTTTAACTTGAGGTAAAATAGTTTTCACAATTCTAGTTAAAATTACTGTGGCTGTTTATAAAATGCATTATCCTTGCTTCACAAAGAACCTTGGCAATTTCTGCAAATCAGTGTCTTGTCTGATGCCATTAAGAAGAGTTCTGGGAAAAGCAATAAGAGGAAGATTGGATGACCTTATGTATTTCTATCCACCTACATCAGATGCCACAACATTTAGAGAAATTGAGCCTAGGGCTTTGCATAAATTACTAATGATATTTAATTAGCATATTTAATATGTGTATGTACCACACACCCAAATGTTTAACAGCATCTTAAAGAAATGAAAACAAAGCAGATAATAACTGATTATAATATGATTGATAAATAGAATCAGAGATAACTCGAGGAGTGAGTGTTACTAAGCACATCCACTGATGAGCATGTCACTGCTGTCACTGAGCATCAACTAGGTCTCCAGATTTGCTAATTAGAACCAAGGATGACTGGGCTCCATAAGGATAGCCATCTGTGGGGAGCTCACAACCAAGTGGAGGGAGCAGCTCTGGGCATTTCCACATGGAGCACCTGCGCTCCTCATCCACGACTAAGCAAGCAACAGATAAAAAAGAGCTTGGTTAGAATAGACCCTACACAAGCAGAATCAGATCAAGAACTTAAGGAGCCCAAAGTATATTAGGCACGAGAGTTCCTGAGGAAAACTTGAGAGATCATTAGTCCTGACAATAGCTTTGAATTAGCAATAAATAACTCATCAGGCTGGACAGCAAGATGGGGAAATGCTCTTCTACTGAGCACTCCCTCTGGAATCATGGCAAGGTGCAAACCCTTTCAGAAGTTAATAGCTTTTATTTATTAGATCAGTTCTAGGCATACGGAAAAATTGAGTGGGAAGTTTAGGGTTTCCATATACCTCCTTCACTATGCAAGATGGTTCAACCTTCCCTGACTATCTTGTATTAATGTGGTACATTTGTTACAAGCAATGAGCCAATGGTGACACGTTATTAACAAAAGCCCATGGTTTACACTAGGGGTCACTTTGTGTTATGCATTCTATGGGTTTTGACAAATACATAATGACATGTATCTGCTATTACATGGTCTTGGTACCTGTGAGGATCGGTTCCAAGTCCTCCCACTGATACCCAAACCATGTACACTCAAGCCTGCAGCTGGCCCCGGGAAACCGAGGGGTCTAGAAAGCCGGCCTTTCTTATGGGCAGGTGTTTCTGCCTGAGAACACTGTAAATTCAATCAGCATCTGGCTGTGGATGTGGAGCCCACAAATACAGAGGCCCACTATATTTGTTTTTAAAAAAATCCATGTATAAGGGGATCCACACAGGTCAAATCCACATGGTTCAAGGGTCAACGGATCATACAGAATAATCTCACTGCCCCCAAATCTCGTGTGCTCCACCTGGTCATCCCTCCTTCCTTCACCTCAAGCCCATGCAAAAACATTTTTAAACTACTGAAGGAAAATAATCCGTCAGCTAAGAATTCCATACCCTTGAAAACCAGCTTTCAAAAACAAAGATATTTCCTGATATATAAAAGCTAAAAGAATTCAATTCTAGGAGAACTTCATTGCAAGAAATATTAAAGTAAATTCTTCTGACAGAAGTAAAATGATAACAGCTGGAAATCTGGATCAACACAAGGGACTGAAGATTACAGGGAACTGTAAATATGTGGTTAAATACAAAACATCGTCAACTCACTTTAAAGGTTAGAGAGAAGAATATTGTCATATGGCTTTTATACTATTACTGAAGTAATATATTAATTGAGGGAAGACTGGGATTGGCTGAAAATGTATACTCTGGACCCTAAAGAAACCCTTGTTTCTAAGGATAAATCTGATGTGATTCCTATATATGTATGTACGTATTCCCTGTAAGCATTATGTCTTTCCCCCACCTCTGGCTACTTTTTTTTTTTTTTTTTTTTTTTTTTTTTGAGAAAGAGTCTTGCTCTCTCCGTCACCCAGGCTGGAGTGCAGTGGCACAATTTATTTACTGCAACATCCACCTCCTGGGTTCAAGCAATCCTCCCACCTCAGCCTCCTGAATAGCTGGGCTTACAAGTGTATGCCACCATGCCTGGATAATTTTTGTATTTTTAGTAGAGATGGGGCTTCACCATGTTGGCCAGGCTGGTCTCGAACTCTCGGCCTCAAGTGATCTGCCCGCCTCGGCCTCCCGAAATGCTGGGATTATAGGCATGAGCCACCATGCCTGGCTGCCATTATTTCTTTACAAGTATAGACCTCAGTGGGAGGCCACTGGAACTGCACCCAGCTGAAGGAGGCAGGAGGCCTCACTGTTCCATCCAGGCCTCCTTCGTACCCTCTGCAGGTGAATGTATTGGGCTTGGTCCACTTTTTGTGAATATGAGAAATAGGACTAATTCCTCAAAGCTCTAGATGACGTTTGACCTAATCTAAAATCCTCCAAGTCATATTAATGGGATAGATAATTCCGCATGTTCATTGTCCTTTGAGACCACTGCCAACAGATATATAAAAAGCATGAGAATTATATATATATTTGTCTTTTCTTCATTAATGGAGCAAGACATCCCTTAGCCTCAGAAATGTCTAAATCTACTACAGTACTGAAAAATGCTTATTTGTTGAATGTTTAAAATATATTACAGAACTAAATTGAAACATGACATGTTCTAGGGATTGTTTTGTTCACTATGTCTCTATGGGTCTCTTCCCCAGGCTTCATGGCTGTGGCTACAGACTTATGTCTCTTGAATGAAAGTGAATTGCTGAAGATGAGGTTGTTGACCTTCTTCTTAGAATAAGAATAAATAAATTTGATTTCTAGTATAAAGTTAACATGACATCCCTGATCTGTTTGGTCTGCTCAATGGGATTATTTGCTTTTAGAATTCTTGGCTTATTATTGAGTTTCTGACTCCCAGCATCGAGGGCCTCTTACTAAGCAAAACTTTTCTTCTCTAAAAAATTGAAAGTGACTGAGTTGCTCTTTAGAGAAAGGTCACTCTTCCATCCACTGGAACTCTTAGCACTGATTTTACCTCATAGAGACTGTACTTCATATGAGGAGGAGTTCAGCTGGGCCATGGACCTGCTGTCAGACAGCAGAACATCTCTCCACTGCAGACCTCGCTTTGGAGACTTGTGGATTCACATTATACCATGTATGGCCTTGCATACGAGATGGGGTAAACTGAGTCATTAGTAGAGCCATAAGCATGTCATCATGGGTTATATGTTAAGCTCCATTCAGAAGGTTTCTATATATGGGAAACACTTATTGAGCACTTACTATGTGGCACAGCCTGCTAAGGGGTTTTTATATGTTCGTTCGGTTGTGCCTCATAACAAGCCTATGGTATAATAGTATAATGAGCCTCATATTAAAAGTGCAGAGAGTTTACATACTATTTTCCAGGTAACAAATGGCAGAGTCGAAATTTGAGCTGTTATAGTCTTATTCTAGAGCCTGAACTCTTAATCAGAATACTATACTGGCTTTCACCATATGAATTACAGCTTCTCCAAATATATACTCAGGGTAGAAGTTGTTATGCAGGGGGCACTGGATGTGCTGGATGTGCCAACGAGTAGGTACATGCACAGTTTTAAGTGTATGTGTTTGTGGGTATATGCTTGCACATGTAAGATGTATGTGCATACATTTATTGATTAACATGTTTATTTGCAGTAATATGTTTGTGTTTATGTAAGTACATGTATGTATACAAATATGCACATATATATCCTGTGACCAGCAAAAGGTTTACATAAATGCATTGAATAAACAGACAATAGAGGGGCAAGCTTGGGGGAGAGGGAGGGTGTATGCCTTATTTTCAGAAATAGTCCTTGTCAGAAGTTCTCTAGGTAATTTAAACTAAAGCTAATTTTCTTTTTACTTCCCTTGGCATATGAAGGCCTTGTCAAGGAGATAAAGCAAATGAGAGTGAATTGGAGGAGGAGGGATGTGGGAGATGAGGGTGGCAGGAGCGGACTGCATGGGGTGGAGCTGAGGGGTCAGAGACTGAGCTCTCCACCTGAAGACAGGAAGACCAGGGCATTCATTGGTCGTGAGTTTCCAATATCATCAGGTTAAGATGAAACTGCAGAGACCTGGCTTCCTTCTACCAAAGCCAACCACATGACAATCACGAGCGTTCCAAACAGGCAAAGCGATGTCTTAGGGCCAGAGCTTAGTCACCCTTCATAGAAACGCCTCCACACAGCCAGCCTTGGTGCCATGCTCCTTGACTCTGTCAATGATTTGTCAATACACGCAACGGTTACGTGAAGACTGTCCCCATCTTTCTGAAAAATGCAGCTGGGAACACTGCCAATAGAATGGTGAATGTCCTCTTACTCGATGGCCTTAGGGGTATTCTTAGAGGTTAGTCGTTTCTCCAGACCAAATGGTAAGTTGAGTTTTAATAATGCACACATACTTTAGAAAATCCGATAATTCTTAAAGGATAATGAAGAAAATAAGCCCCGCATAATCTTGCCAAGAGAGGACGATGCTTAGTGGCTGGGTGCATGTACATCAAGTTTTTATCATAAAGAACATGTACTGGCCGGTGAGGTGGCTCACGCCTGTCCTCCTAGCAATTGGGAGGCCAAGGTGGGCGGACTGCCAGAGCTCGGGAGCCTGAGACCAGCCTGGGCAACACGGTGAAACTCCGTCTAACTAAAATACAAACAATTAGCTGGCTGTGGCGGCATGTGCCTGTAGTCCCAGATACTTGGGAGGCTGAGGCAGAGAATTGCTTGAACCCAGGAGGTGGAGGCTGCAGAACCCAAGATCATGCCACTGCACTCCAGCCTGGGCAACAGAGCAAGACTCTGTCTCCAAAAAACAAAAACAAAAACAAAAAGCAAAAACATGTACTTCAGGCTGGGCATGGTGACTCATGCCAGTAATCCCAGCACTTTGGGAGGCCAAGGCAAGAGAATTGCTTGAGTCCAGGAGTTTTAAGACCAGCCTGGGCAACATAGGGAGACCTTATCTCTACAAATAATTTAAAAAATTATTTGGGCATGGTGGTGTGCGCCTATGGTCCCAGCTACTTGAGAAGCTGAGATGGGAGAAATCCTTGAGCCCAGGGAGGTCAAGGCTGCGGTGAGCCATGATTGCACCACTGCACTCCAGCCTGGGCAACAGGGTAAGACCCTGTCTCAAGAAAAACATACTAACAAACAAAAATAAACATGCATTTGGTAGTTGAGATCACTCTGTATCTATAGTTTTGTATCCTGTTCATTGGACGTAATATTAATTATAGTTATTTTTTCTGTTATTAAACATTTGCAGAAATTACCATTTCAAATAGTTTGTGGTTTCACTGTAATTTATGTAAACATTTCCCTTTAGCCTCTTCTTTATGCCATTTAATTCTATTTAACCCCACTTTAAATATATTCTGAAACATCTCTAATAATTTCTGAGTGCAATAATATGATAATTGTGGGTAAAAATATAAATGTTTTTATGGTTCTTGACATAAATGCCTAGTTGTTTTCAGAAAGGTTATAAAAATTTATGATACTCTCACCAATAGTTTTTGGGTGTGCTTGTCTCAGAGGACTGTCTCTGGCATTAAGTTGATAGCTATATATATATATGTGTGTGTGTGTGTATAATATTTTATATATATCCATTACATGATATATGTGTGTGTATATGTATACTATTTTATATATATCTACTATATTATATAGGTGTGTGTGTGTATATATATATATATAGAGAGAGAGAGAGAGAGAGAGAAAGAGACAGAGAGGGAAAGGGCTGGAAATTTGCTTCCTTTTGTTATATTGCTCTCTTTGCATGTGTTCAGGGTTCGTTTTTGCCTACATCCTAGGATCTATATTGATATGAAATGCTGACCTAAATTTTTATAACTGTAATAATTATGTTCACTTGAGTTTTCTGCTATATGTTTGCTCACAGTGACATTTCTTGCACTGCCAAGCTAAGTTGACCCTTTGGAAGCCGAGACCCACCAATTCTCTGAAATGGTGAATATCCTATTAGTATCACCAGTGCCTTGGGCCTTGAAAAGCATGCCTTTGTGTTCAACCTTTATGACCCCACATTTATACTCTGTGGAGTACACACAGCTTGATGGCAGTTTTTTGAAGTTCTTGTAGAAACCTAAACATAGGATCTGGAAGGCAAGTCCTCAAGAATCTCTTCTCTCCTTATCTTTTCATCTCCAGATGCCTTTCATGGGTCTTTTGTTTTGCAGGGGTTTTCCAAGACTAGATAGGTGTATATATAGTGCTGCTTTATTGGGGCAGATTGGAGCAGGAAGGAGAAATAATGAGAATGTCATAATAAAGGGTCCTGACCTGGACAGAGGCAGCCCCATCTGGTTCCCCGTCTCTCCTGCATTCCACATATTGGGACCAAGAGCACATGACTTTTCTGCTCCACTGATAATAATGAGTAGACATCTGGACCCAGAGCTTTCATGCAACAATTTGCTCAGGGGTAAGGTGTGCAAGGTCTATGTGCACAGGGACTTGGGGAAGGAAACAGAAACCCCCAAAAGTCAGTGAGACAGCAGAATTTGAAAAGATGGCTCAGCCCTTCACAGCTAAGGCTGAAGCATGGGAGAAAAATTCAGGAAGATGTTTAAATTATCAGAGTATCACTCATGGGCAAGATGAGGACCAGTGTATGCAGGGACACTGTGCTGCAACCTGCTAGGAAAGAATTAGGAGGATTCTAACTGCAGTGTCTGATTGTTGGGAGATGCTAGGACTGGTTAATGTTGGCTAAATGTTGAAACCAAATAAGCACAGAAAACAAAAACAGAGAAAAACAGCTGAAGTTAGGAGGACTGAGTCTCCCCAGCTGCTCTGAGCCCTCAATGAAGAAAGACTTTAGCAGTTCCACAGGCCAGAGAGGGGACAAGGGCTGGGAGTAGATGGTCATATACCCTCCATGGCCCACTTCTGGAAGGAACAGATCAACAGCAGCCTGCCAACCCTTTGCCCTAATGGTACTACCAGTCTGGCAGCTCCTCCTGATTTCCAGCTGGGGTGGGGTCCTGTCAACAGCTAATTAGCATCCTGGAGATCTCTGCCATCATAAGTAGCCACTTCTGGGTTTCTGAGTCTTCTGAAACAGAGGTTGGCCCTGGAAGCCTCTGCCTTCATGACTTGGACTTCCATGTTGCTCTGGGTCTTTGAGGCACTCCTGAATCAGGCTGGGCAGAAGTTCCCAGAATCTTTCATCAACATAAAAAGTCTTTTAGCAAATGACTTCTATGAGCCTTCATTTCAAACTTCTTTAAGCTAACCAATATTAATGGAGCATCTCCGCAGTCTAAGAAGTAACTCCAAGCTTGGGGAACTGACATCATCACATGAAGGTCCTGGACTAGCGCAGGGACTCAGATGAGCTCAATACAGGAAGGTCAGCGGTGCCCCTCTGCAAAAGCATGCATGCTGCAGCGTACACTGGAGTCAGAGAGATATGAGGGGAAATTAACTCCTGAACTGTTTTGCAAGAGGGCTGTAGGCAATGTGCACAACTGAGAGGTCCTGGTGCGGTTCTGATGGAAGCTGGGAAGGCTAGAAGGAAGAGCTGAGGCATTGTAATTTACACATAATGTGACATGAACAGTGCCAACATTACGTTTCTTGCCTCAGAGTCAATCTTCACACTTTCTAAGGAAGAGGCCCTTCCAGGGCATTGGAAGTGAGAGCTGCTCCCTTCAAATGAAAGAGGGAGACCCTTTCTCCCACCTCAACCCCTACCATAAGTGAAGAAGTACCCTGGTTAGGCTCAGAAACAGAATTGAGGACTTGAGGGGAGTGGTTCTTATTGCTGTGTGGTGGCTGACACTCAGTGGCAGGTAGAAGGGGACCTCTCAGTGTTTCATCCAGACCGCTCTTACTCACTGGTGGCAATGGTGAGTAATAAATAAACAACAGTTTTGAGGGGGTGTAGGTGAATCAGTCAAGAATCCTTTCAGCGGCTTGTAGGTTTATCTTTCTCCAGAATAAGAAGTCTGGAAATAGGTAGCTGCTGAATCAATGATTTAGGAGCAGCTACCTAAAAGTCTCTTGTCCCTTCTCTCTTGGTCATGCATGGTTGCCACAGTACACATCACTAAGTCCACAATTAATGCAGAAAAAGGAGGTGGAGGAATAATGCTTTATGTTTCGTTTCTTTTCTTTTTCTTTTTTTCTTTTTTTTTTTTTTTTGAGATGGAGTCTTGCTCTGTTGCCCAGGCTGGAGTGCAGTGGTGTGATCTAGACTCACTGCAACCTCCACCTCCCAGGTTCATGAGATTCTCCTGCCTCAGCCTCCCATGTAGCTGGGATTACAGGTGCCCACCACCACGCCTGGCTAATTTTTTGTGTTTTCAGTAGAGATGGGGTTTCACTGTGTTAGCAAGGATGGTCTTGAACTCCTGACCTCGTGCTCTGCCTTCCTCAGCCTCCCAAAGTGTTGGGATTACAGGCGTGAGCAACCGCACCCAGCCTATGTTCAGTTTCTTACTCCTACCAAAAATATAGGTTGCCCTAGAAACTCAAATGATTTTTTTTAACCTCTAATTATACAGAGTCCGGTCAAAAGTATTCCTGAGTACAAGAAAAGCTGGAAAAGGCAGTATCTGACTCATTAGTCTCTATAGTTTAAGCTAGTAATAGAGATGTGGGTTAGAGTATGGGCTTTGAAAATGGGTTGATCAACCAACCTCATATGTTATATGTCCTTGAGATTGCCTAGATATTTCAGGACAATGTCAAGTTAGAAGGATTTTGCAAGGACCAATATCAATATTTGTATTAGATATAAATGGACTAAACACTCAAATTAAAAATGTTTTGTTATACTGCGTTAAAGAGTCAAGCCTGAGTATATATTGATTAAAAAAGATGGATTTTAAATATAAATACTGATGTGCTAAAAGGAAAAGGAAAAAGAAAAGCTATACCATACAAGCACTAATTGTAAAAATTCTGGAAAAGCTATATTAATATCTGTAAAAGTATTCCTTTCAGGCAATGTATTATGTAGAGATAGAGATTAGACCTCTCCTAAAGATAAGAGGTTAACTCATGAAAACAAAAAATTCTAAATGTATGTTCAACTGACAAAGTTTCAAAGTAGATGAAGAAAATCTGACACAAGAAAAGGCAGACAGAAAAATTTACAATTACAACTTGAGATTTTAATTTTCATTCTCAGTAATTAATGGAACTATTGTACTAAAAATGAGTAGTGATGTATACATTCTGAAGAGTATTATGAAATCACATTCAGTAGTTAAAACTTAGAAAACATGACACTCAGTAGCCACAAAATGGACATTTTAATTGAGAGTACATAGACACAATGTTGTGACAATATTGACCATATATTGAGCCACAAAGTCAATAAATTTCATGGGGTTCACATGACAGAGAGGCTATTCAGGACCACAATGAAATAAAATTAGAAAATCAACAAGAAAAATATATCCAGGTATTTCTCAAATATTCAAAATTTAAGCCAGACATTTCTAAAGAACTCACTAGTCAGAAAATAAATTATAATGAAAATGAGAACACACTTGAACTAAATTATAAACCACATATATCCACATTTGTGGAAGACAGCTAAAACAATACTTTAAAGTATATAACTTTAAAAGTTTACAGTAAAAATAGGACATATTAAAATCAGCAATCTAAGTTTTCACCTAATTAGGTTAACAAGAAAAAATCCACATTAAACAAAGTAGAAAAAAAAAAAAGAGAGAAGCCAAAATCAATGAAACAGATATCAAACAAATGTTAGAGAAAAATTTTTAAAAACTTACTCTTTTGAAAAGATTCAATAAAATTGATAAACTTTCTGTCTGATATAATCAAGAAAAAGGGAAGGAACAGATTATTTATATAGTCATTGAAAAAGGGAGCTATGACTACAGACCTTACAGGTATTAAATGACAAACAGGAGAATGTTATGAACAAATGTATGCCACATTATTTTTTTGCAACATAGAGGAAGGGACACTTTTAAAAACGGTATTTACTAAAACACATAGAAAAGAGTAATAGGGAATTTGACTAGATTTATGTTAGTTAAACAAATTAAATTCCTAATTAAAAATCTTCCCAAAAGAAAGCCCCAGGCTCAGAGGGCTTCACTAGTAAAATCTATCAGGCATTTAAGAAAATAAAATACCAATCCTGCAAAAATTACGTAAAAATAAAGGAAAAGGTACCCTTCCTAACTTAGGAGGTCAGCATAACTCTGATATCGAAACTAGGTAATAACATCATGTAAGGCTGAGGATAAATTTCCCATTCCAAGGAAAACTGGGCTTAGGATGAGTTACTTAACTTTTTTAAAGTTTTGGCTTTTTAACATCAAAATCAGAATGAAACGACTTTCCTTGCAATGTCACTTGATGAATAGAGAATGGTGTGTGTGTGTGAGCTTGTGTGCATATTTCTTGCCCATAGCAGATGCACCATAAATGGGAAATAGTATTAAACTATCTTAACATCATCTTCACATTATTGAAATGACCATATACCTTCCAGTGTGTCCACTCTGAAGGATGGCATGCACTTGGCTATGGCATGGATCAATTGATTAGCTGATTCAATGAATATTTTTTGAGCACCAAGTATGTCCTGGACACTTCATTAAGTATTGAATATAATAGAAAGCCATGCACAAAACAAATTCCCTACCCACTTAGAACTTACATTCTATTGGAGAAGAGACAATCAACCAGTAAATATCAAACACAGAGAATATAGTGACAGATAATGACAAGTGCTGCAAAGACAAAGCAGGAGTGGGGGGCAGAGCGAGTGGTGAGGACAGAGGTGCTGTTGTACACAGTGTATTCAGGGAGGCCCTCCAAGGAGGTAAAGTTTGAGCAGATAGTGGAATAACTAGAAAGGCTGACACAGGGAGACATCTAGGAGAAGTTTCAAAAAAAAAAAAACCAGCAGTGAGAACAAAGGTCAGGAATGTGTCTTGCCTCAGGGCCTGTGACTGCCCGGGATAGGAATGGGCAGATAGGGCGACCTGCACAGGAAAGGCTGAGACGGAGGTGTAGACCTCTGCTGTGCACAGGCTGTTGAGGAGGAAGCAAACCGTTTGGGATCCTGGAGTTTAGTGCTTGCTGTGCTCCTCCCTGATATCCACTGAGGGACAGAAGTTACCAACACAAAGGCCCAACCTGTTCTCAGATGTGGGGGCTACAAGTCCCCCAAAGGACTTTTCCACGTCAAAACCCTGGAACCTGTGAACGTGACCTTGTTTTGTTTAGTGAAAGAGTCATGGCAGACGTAACTAAATTTTAAAAATTGAGATGAGATCATCCTGGATTATCCAAGTGAAACCTAAATCCAGTGAAAAGTGCTCTTATAAGAGAAAGGCAGAGGATTTAAGACTCAGATGAGACGTCCACGTGAACACAGATGCAGAGGCTGGAATGATGCAGCCACACTTCAAGAGACCCTTGGAGCCAGCAGAAGCTGTCGGAAGCAAGGAAAGCTTCTCCCGTAGAGCCTGCAGAGGGAGCACTGGCCTTGGCCTGCTGACATCTTGATCTGGGGTTTCTGGCGTCCAGAACTGTGAAAGAATGAATTTTTATTGTTTTAATACACCCGGTGTGTGCCAATTTTTATGGCAGCCATGGGAAATGAATTCATGTGCCCTTGGAGAGCCAAGATGCAGACGTGGAAGGAGTCTCTCTCCCACCCTAGCCTTGAGAGAAAGCTGGAAAGCCTGTACGTAAAACCAAAACTTGTGTTAAATCCATCAGAAAGCTGAGGGTGTGAGGCAACAAGCTCATCTGGAATGCAAAGGAGGAGAATCTCCTTGGCCCCAAAAAGAGGTGAACAGGAAGGTGCAACCTGGGAGGAAGGGGTGGCAGCCAAGAGGAAAGGGTGAGAAATCAGCGATGGTGTTAATAAACCTATAAAGGCTGAGTGTGAGCATCGAGGCCCTGGGAACCCACACAGGCGCAGGCTCTTTCTCATGAATCTCGCCTTTCAGGAGAAAGATGGGGGTTGGTGGAGGCACAGAGAGAGCCTCCTGCAGTGGTGCAGGTGTGGAAGAAGTGTCAACTTGGCTGTGGGGAGTCTGGAAGCCTGGACCCCCTGCGCAGACCCCTCTCTCAAATCTTGTCACCCTCAAGGTACTGGTAAAGACTCATTGTTGAGAGAGACAGAGCGAGAGAGAGAGAGAGAGAGAAATCCTCTACCCTGAGAGGAAGGGGAGAAAACAGTTCTGAGCTCCGAATCTTCTATCAGTACCATGCTATCTTCAGCTACAAGAGGAGGGACAGATGAAAAATCATTGCTGCAGGCAAGATCCACCAATGAATGCTAAATTTAGTGGGCAAAAGTCTAAGATACAACTGGTGTTTACATGGCTTAAAGCTATCTCCCCCGGAACATTTAGCAACTTAAAAAGAAAAAAATAACACCTTTACAGCATGGAACCCTACCAGACATTGTCTTAACCAAGCAATCAAGGTCGACATCATTAGTAAGGACATACTGACTTTAGGTATCCCTGATACCATTGCTCTGAGAAAGACTGCACACCACATTATTTAATCACAGGAAAACTCCAGACAAACTCAAACGGAGGGATGTCTGTAAAATAACTAACCAGTACTCTTCAAAAGTGTCAAGGTTATGAAGTAAAGGGAGATTGAGAAAACATCACAGATTGGAGGACACTTACAGACATAACAACTGTGAAATGTGTGATCCTGGATCCTGAAATGGAAAAAACTGACAACAGTGCAAACTGAAAAGCTGATAAAATCTAAATATGTTCGTTAGTTTAAACAATAGTGTTAGGTAAAGGTTAATTTTCTAGGTTTGATATTTCTCCTGTTGCTATGTAAATTGATGACATAAGACGAAGCTGGGTGATAAGTGTATGGGAATTCTGTCTACTGTTTTCACAACTCTTATGAAAGTCTAAAATTATCTCAAAATAAGAAGGCTTAAAAAAATCATGGGCCTGACACTGCATGTACTTCCTGAGCATCTACAGTGCTGAAGTACATTGTCGCCTCATCTTCAAGGTGAAAGTCAAGTTAGATCATTTTGCATGACCTACTACTAAAATAATAATAATAATAATAAATACATAAATGGGCACACTGGGCGCAGTGGCTCACGCCTGTATTCCCAGCACTTTGGGAGGCCAAGGCAGGTGGATCACTTGAGGCCAGGAGCTCAAGACCAGCCTGGCTAAAATGGTGAAACCCCATTTCCATTAAAAATACAAAAATTAGCAGGGCATGGTGGCATGCGGGTAATCCCAGCTACTCAGAAGGCTGAGGCAGGAGAATTATTTGAAACTGGGAGTTCAAGGAGGTTACAGTGAGCCAAGATCGTGCCACTGTACTCCAGCCTGGGTGACAGAGCGAGACTTCATCTCAAAACAAACAAACAAACACACAAAAAACCATAAAGAGACCAGTACACATGGCAGACTGCTCTTGGTAATATTTTTGCATTTTGGAAGCAACATATACCTCATTTGAGTGGTGTGTGTGTTTGTGTGTACATAATGTATTTATTTACAAATTTCTCATCCTCTCCTGTTTCTTCCCTAATTATTTTAAAAAAGCATTTGGGTTACAAGTTTTTATTTTTTTCATAATTTAGTCTATAGATTAAATGATATTCAGATTATTTTGACTAAATTTGAGAATAACTAACATCACTCAGAGATGGATACCTGAGCTGTCATCAAATGTGAAGACGATGATTATTTTGCATTTTAAGTCCCATTTTGAGGTGAGAATCAGTGCATCTTCATTTTATGAAGGGATATTGCATCTTGCCTGGAGAATGCCTCAGGGTGTTACTGTTGCTCACTGAACTTCCTAGTGGTCATTTGATTTGCCTGGCCGCTATGCAGCCGAGGTGGGACTGCAGTTGCTAAGCTCTCAACTGGCAGCTTTAAACCAACCTTGCTCCAGGCCACTTTGTGATGTCATGCTGGGGACAGAGCTCTGCCAATAACCTTCTTCCTTTGCTAGCTTGCTTTTGGTCCTTCCTTTTCAGCTGCCGCCCTGCCAGCTCTGCCCAGAGTTAATTCTTCCCTCCAGGAGTTGCAGGTGGTCCCTCAGCAGTGGCTGCCTGCAGTAGCCACGGGTCCTGGTCTCCTGCTCCTACCAGCTCTCCCAGGGCCAGTCTCTTCACTCTTCTTCAGAGGGACAAGCATACCCTCCCCAGAGGTGGGTTTCAACCCTCATGGTCCCTCCTCTGAGCCCCAGAGGTGCGGCACAGCCTCAGCCTCAGAAGGCAGAGCCCAGCCAGCTCTGCTAGGTGCCTCCTTCACCCTTCTAGGTTCTAGTCACCCCAGCTTATCTCTATGCTATTCTCTGCCCTGGAGATTGAAGCTACTTTCTGCAATTCTTATCTCTGTGTCTCTGCACTAGGTCATTGTGTCTTTTTGTTGATCTTCTTGAGAGAGTTTCTTCATTTATAACAGAGTTGATAATACCGGATCTCAAAATGTTGCTGAGAGGATTAGCACACAACCTGGCACAGTGTAGGTGGTAGATTACTACTGTCCCTTTCAATTCCAGCATCGTGTGACGCCATCAATATACCAGGAAGGAAGTGCTAGGATCCTGCACCCATGATGACTTGGGGACCATAAGCTACTAGAGGGAGGGGCTGGCAGGAATTTCTGTCTTCAGGACCATGACGATAACAACAACAGTGACAACAGCAAATATGTACAAATCACTGAGCATGAACCAGGTACCACATATATTATGCACTTATCCTTATCAAATATTTATACTAGTAATGTTTATTTGCATTAAAACCAAGGCACAGAGAAATAAAGAGATCATTTAAGACTACACAGCCCACCAGCAGTACACCTAGGATTCAAACTCATTTGATACTCAGTATTTGTTGCAGAATTTGCAGTTTACTCAGCTCTACATTCTCTCAATTGATCCTGAGTAATTCTGCAATGCAAAGGGGACAGAAATGGCCATCCTCACTTTATAGATGAGGAAAGGAAGAATCAGGGAATTTCACACCTCCAGTGAGTTGCTGAGGTAGGGCTTGAACTCATTTTGTTTCTGACAATTGACACCAAGCCTGAGCTCCTTCTTCTAAGTCTGACCTTACAGGGGCCTCCCTAGGTACACAGCTCCCAGCTGTGGGCCTTTTTGGATCTCTGTGCTTTGATTGTGTTTGATTTATTTAAAAGCGACCCTATCTTACATCAATCCGGGGTTAACTGGTGTGAGTGGTGAGCACTTCGACTTCCCAAAGAGCTCCCTGCCTGGGGAGGGCCCTGATGAGTGGAGAAGAGGAACCAGACGGTTCCTTGTCTGGCTTTGGCAAATGGCTTTATGCTGATTCCTTTCAAAGCATCTTTTACTGACAGAGCAATTTCTCAGCACCAGAGCGGAGGAGCTCGCAGGACATGCAAATGAGGCAGAGGTGCCACTGGCATGGAAAGAATGGAAGCAGCATCCTAATGGCTCTGGAACGAAATACAGTCGTGGGGGGAAATTTACTCTGAAATTTCATTAGCTTTGCTGAGAAGCCTCTCCCCTACCCACCCATGCCACAGCATTCAGGCAGCCCCTCTCCCCAGGGACAAGGGGGCAGAGGGTTTCCTCAATGTCCATTTCAGGACACTGCAGCCATCTCCAGCCCTTGGTCAGCAGCACTGGAGCTACAGATGCTGCCCTGGGAGGCTCTTTTTCCATGGGGAAGTCTGCCCTGCCACCGGCAAGCTTGCCAACCACTTAGGGACTTTGGGACACGTGCTTCCCTCCTGGTCTTGGTGGCATCAGCCACGAGCATCTTCCTTTGAGGTTGAGCCCACAGTGATCTGGAAGAAGCTGAAGGATGACTCAGGCTAGAGAGCAAATCCCTGCTTTCAGGGCTGAGGCCACTTCAGGTGAACCTGGTGGCTGAAAAATGAAAGTCAAAAACATTTTAAATGAGTCATTCGGCCTCTTCATACTTGAGGATGTTTCCAGTTTTATCTTGGACCACTTGGAACCCCAGCTGTAATGAGAGCCTCCTGCCCCCCAACCAGGCCCCTCGTCTGTCCAGGCTGCCCTTTTCTCCTCTGCTGCCCCAGGAACTCACATGGAGCATCCCCTTCCCTCTGTTCTTCCTGGACCTCTCCCACCCTCTATGTAATGATCCCCTTCTCCATGCTGCCTTCATTACCCGGAACTTCCTGCACGGCATGAGTGGTGTCTCCTGTACTTGAACTGAGGGATCCCTTGATCAAGGAATGACTTTTTTCGCTCTCTGCTCACAGATCCTCACAAAGAAATCGGCTAAATGCACACTTCGGAGCTACACCTGGGCCTGTTCTGCACATTCATCTTGTTTGCTGACCATTTCTGACCTAACCTGAGCTCTGCAAGGTCCAGGCATGGCATGAGTGGCTGCTCACCACCAGGGATGTGCACACATCCACACACACACAGGCCATTCCTTCCCACCTTGTTGAATCCTCAGCTGAGCTCTGCATACTCCAGCCCTTCTGCAGTTGAGGGGATTATGGTCTCTGAATCTTCCCCTTTGCATTCTACTCAGAGCACGGAGGCTTCTCCCAGACAGAGGTTTCTGAGTGTAGGTAGTGCACAGGTAGAGTAGGGAGTGGAAGACACACAGAGAGACTCCTGAGTGGCTGGCATGTGTGAGAACTATTCCAGTGGATTTCCTAATTAAACTCCATGCTCTAATCTTCACTCTCTCGCTAGTTGGTAACAGCCATTCCCCAGTAACTGGGAGACTGCAGAGATGAAGGATCCCCTCCTACTTCTAGCAACAAGTCAACTGTAGACATGATCCAGTGGCCAGGTGCCCCTGCTTCAGCCTCAGACTTTCCTGCCCCTCTCCTCTGATGCTCCAGGGCTGCTGGGTGCTCACTAATGAGAGGCATCATCATTTCCACCAATTAACCACACCAAATGAGGCCATAAGTGACTATTCCAGCTGCCTCTGAGGTAGAAACACACACACCTCCCAGAAGGGAGGTAACGAGCAGGAAGCATGGAGTGAGCGGGAGGCCGTGACCTGGAGGAGTTAATGATCAGAACGAAGTAGCCCAGAAGAGGTGAGGAATACCCTTGGGAGTCTTCAGATCTTTGCTCGTCCCAAAACTCTCCCTGAAAAAACATCTATTCCTGCAGCTGTGAAGTGGGAAGTAGCCCAGGAGGCATCTGGATTTAGGACATATCCCCTTACACCTGCTCCCTAGGGGCCTGCTTACTACACAGTGTGTGTTCCACAAATGCAGGTTGTATTAGGGTCCTCTGGCAGGACAGACCTAATGGAATATTATATATATTATATATACTATATATATATTCCACATATATATATATATATATATATATATATATATATATATATATATATGAGTTTATTAAGTATTAACTCACACAATCACAAGGTCCCACAATAGGCCATCTGCAGGCTGAGGAGCACGGAGAGCCAGTCCAAGTCCCAAAACTGAAGAACTTGGAGTCCGATGTTCGAGGACAGGAAGCATCCAACAGAGGAGAAAGATGTAGGTGGGAAGTCTAGGCCAGGATCTTTTCACATTTTTCTGCCTGTTTATATTCTAGCCGCACTGGCCGCTGATTAGATTGTTCTCAACCAGATGAAGGGTGGGCCTGCCTCTCCCGGCCCACTGACTTGAATGTTAAACTCGTTTGGCAACACCCTCACAGACACACCCAGGATCAATACTCGTTTGGTAACACCCTCCCAGACACACCCAGGATCAATACTCGTTTGGTAACACCCTCACAGACACACCCAGGATCAATACTCGTTTGGCAACACCCTCACAGACACACCCAAGATCAATACTTTGTATCCTTCAATCTAATCAAGTTGACACTCAGTATTAACCACCACAGGTGCAATAAATGAGCTGACAATCTACTGGTCTATGATATGATTTCTGAGGTTCTGGATTGGAAAACAGTCTAGCTTCCCCTAGGAATTAGGAGGGATCATCTCTTTGCTGAAGCAAAGTCCTATCTTAATGCCACTGCCCACCCCACGCCTCTTTGGGGAGGATGTGCAAAACATCTGGCACTGAGGGAGTTAGGACAGTCAGGTCAGCCAGTGTTGCTCAGTCCATAGTACGTGCCCCATAAATACTTTGCAATAAATTCATCAATTATGCAGTAGGGCTGGCACTTACAATTCACTGGTCCTGGGTCTCATTGCTGTGGCGTGATTTCTGGAATCTAGTGCAATTATGGAAAGGGAGGGTAGGGGCACAGAGTGGACTCACATCCTGACACCACTTAGTGATGTGATCTTGTGGAAGGGAGAAAAACTTAGCATGCAATTAAACTCTCAGAACAATCCTCAAAATAGGGAGAACAGTATCCCCATTTTATGCAGACCGAAACTGAGTCTCACAGAAGTGAGTGGAACTTAGGCTGGTCAAGCTAGTGAGTGTGAGAGCTGGGTTTTGAATCCAGGTTTCTTTGACTTCAAAGCCTGCTGTTTTTAACCAGATTATATACTGCTTTGGTGCTCTCATTTGTAACTTAGGGAAATGAATATCCAACTCATGGGTTGCTGTGTGGATTAAGCAGAATAATGAGAAAAACAGCAAGCACAGTTCCTTGATTATAGAACTTAATAAGTCAAAATTCTTTGTCTGTCTTTCACTGTAGACAGATCCACAAGGTAGTATTGTGGCAACCTTGTAAAATGAGGTCAAAATCCATTATTAGTCTTATAATTTATCCACTAGCCTGTCTGCCTCATTTATGTACTTGTTTATAGCCTGACTTATTCGTGAAACAATTTAAGGCAGCCAATAAACATGCACATAGTTCAACGAGTTAAATTAAAATTTAAATTATTGGGATAAAAAAGATGTACACAGAGAAAATAAGGGTAGGAAACCTAAGGGAAGGGTAGGAGGGAAATTAGGTGTGGAATACAAAGCCTGTGGAGCTCGTATCTGGATACTCCTGTGTATTTCCTGTGTGTTGGCCCACCTTTGGCTCCAAGATTTCTAGAAGCTACAGCAAAGATGGGAATCTGAATATTTTTCATGGTGTCCACAAGATTATTTATTTTTCCTGAGAGAAGCACAGCCTCTTCTAATATGGAGATCAAGAATATTTCTCAACAGAGAGGATACTATTTTCCCACACACTCTACCACACAAGCAAAGCTGCTTCTGCAGAGAACACACATGTGCCCCTTTAGGATCCTGATAGTCCAGATTGCATCTGAGTGTAATTACCCAGAGTGGGCCCTTTCACTCTCAGTTTTTAGAGTGCATTATGTGGTCACCCTACTTATCACCTCCCATCCCCTTGCCTGCAAATTTCCCTTCTCTGTGCACTCAGAAACTATCTTCAAGTCCTGCCAAAATGGCTACTCTCCTCAAATTAAGTGAATTTTTCTTTTTTCCTGAACTCCTACAGTTGTGTTTTTTTTTTGTGTGTGAATAAAGTGATTTTTCTTTTTTTCTGAACTCCCACAGTTGTGTTTGTATGTGTTGGGGAGAGGAGTGAGTATAGATTTGAGTCTATGGACTTGAGTCTCCTGAATAATATATATTTATAATATATAGAAGCATATATTTTAAAATATTTACATAATATATATGTATATATGTGTGTGTGTATATATATGTATGTGTCTGTGTATATATATGTGTGTGTATATATATGTATGTGTGTGTATATATGTATGTGTGTATATATATGTATGTGTGTATATATGTGTGTGTATATATATGTATGTGTGTGTATATATATGTGTGTATATATGTACGTGTGTGTATATATGTATGTGTGTATATATGTGTGTATATATATGTGTGTATATATGTATGTGTGTGCGTATATATGTATGTGTGTATATATGTGTGTATATATATGTATGTGTGTGTATATATGTATGTGTGTGTATATATATGTGTGTGTATATATGTATGTGTGTGTATATATGTGTGTGTATATATGTATGTGTATATATATGTATGTGTGTGTATATATGTGTGTGTATATATATGTGTGTGTGTATATATGTGTGTATATATGTATGTGTGTGTATATATGTGTGTGTATATATATGTATGTGTGTGTATATATGTGTGTGTATATATATGTGTGTGTGTATATATGTGTGTGTATATATGTATGTGTGTGTACATATGTATGTGTGTATATATGTATGTGTGTATATATGTATGTGTATGTATATATGTATGTGTGTATATATATGTGTGTGTATATATGTATGTGTGTATATATGTATGTGTGTATATATATGTATGTGTGTATATATGTATGTGTGTGTATATATGTATGTGTGTGTGTATATATGTATGTGTGTGTATATATATGTATGTGTGTGTATATATATATGTATGTGTGTATATATATGTGTGTGTGTGTGTGTGTGTGTGTGTGTGTGTATCTGTTTTTAGGAGTGAATGTGCAATTTCTGGTTTAAGGCTCCATAGTTTACATCAGAAAAGGAACTTGTCACCACAGAATTCTGTTCTAGAACCTGCTCAAAGGCCTCTGGGCAAACGTTGCCAACCCTGTGGCTTTTGTGTGGAGCTTCTCAAGATGCCTTGGATTTGCCAAGGGAGAGAGGTGAGCAGCCTTTCTGGGGTCATGCTGAAGATCAGTAGTTGGGACGAAATGAAGACCCAGGTCTGTGGACCCCTGGTACAGGCCTCTGGATTCTCTACTCCTGAAATTCTCAAAAAGTAGCATATAGGGACCAAAGAAATAAGCAGAATTAATGGAGTCACTTCAGACATCAAAATAAACTTCTCACATTTACCTCTTCAGGACTGGAGGAGGTAAAGACACCATAATATTCTAGTCACAGAGTATGGCATTATCCTTTTGTTCTCTGACACATTCTCCCTATTTTGGAAATATCCCCTGTGTTAAAGTCATTTGAATTACCTCCACTGAGTGTGCAATCTCCCTCTCACCAGACTTGATTGACAAAGACACCAATTTCTGTAACACATGTATGTACAGGAGCCAAATGAGATGATGACTAAAAACATGTAGAACTCAAAGACTCATATGAAGGTGGCCACCCTTCTGCCCTTGAATCACGTGTAACAATTCCAAACATGACATATGACCCACGTGAATAACATGATCCTAATGAATTAATCGGAGGTTACAGGAAGGCAGGAATATGTGTTTTTCTCCTTTCTTCTCTTATTTAAAAAACAATTGTGGCCACGTGTGGTGGCTCACACCTGTAATCCCAGCACTTTGGGAGGCCAGTGTGGGTGGATTGCTTTAGGTCAGGAGTTTGAGACCAGCCTGGCCAACATGGTAAAACCCCATCTCTACTGAAAATTCAAAAATTAGCCAGGCATGGTGGTGTGAGCCTGTAATCTTAGTTACTTGGGAGGCTGATACAAGAGAATCACTTGAACCCAGGAGGTGGGGGTTGCAGTGTGTCAAGATCATTCCACTGCACTCCAGCCTGGGCAACAGCATGAGACTCCATCTAAAAAATTAAAAAATAAAAAATGAATAATAAAAAGCAATTATATTAAATAGTGTGCATATAATGTATCATTGTGCCTATAACATAAAGAAGTATAATATATATGTAATATGTTTGCCTATGACAGCATAAAAGAGGTAGGTGAAAGCAAACTGTATTAAGCTGAGAAAATGGTAAAATCAAAATTAAAATCAGCTTATCAAAATTTGTAAGCTATAAAAATAGTGCTTAGAAGAAAGTCGTAGCATTGAACACATATATTAGAAAAGAAGAATGAACTAAAATCAATCACCCAAACTTCCACCTTAAGAAAAAAAGCAAAGTTATTTAAAGCAAGGAAAAGAAACTAAATAATAAAAAGTTTAGAGAAATCAATGAAATTAAAAACAGGAAATTAGCACAGAAAATCAATGAATCCAGAAGCTTTTTTTTTTCCAAAAATATCAACAAAATCAATAAGCTACTAGCCAGGCTAAGAAAAAAATGAGAAGACACAAATTACTAATATCAGAAATGAAAGAGAGGACATCACTACAGATCCCATAGACTTCAAAAGGATAATCAGGAAATACTATGAACAACTTGATGCCTACAACTGTGATAACCTGGATGAAATGGACCAATTCCTTAAAAAAAATACCACCTGCCAAAACTGACAGAAGAAGAAACAGACAATCTAAATAGGCCTATATGTATTAAATATATGGAACCAACAATGAAAAACCAAAAACAGTAAGCACTAAACCCAGATGGGTGAATTCTACCTCACACTTAATAAATAATTATACCAATTCTCTATAATCTTTTTTAGAACACAGGAGAGGGAATACTTCTTAACTCATTCTGTGAGGCCATTATCACCCTAATACTTAAACCAGACAAAGACATTGCAACAAACGAAAATACAGAGCAATATCTTTCATGAACATAGATGCAAAAATCCCCAACAAAATATTAGCAAATTAAATTCGAAAACATATAAAAATAATTATACAACATGATCAAGTAGGATTTATTCCAGATATGCAAGACTGGTTCAACAGTTGCAAATCAATAATGTCATTCATCACATCAACAGGTTAAAGAAAAATCACATGATTATATCAATAGATACAGAGAAAACATTTGACAAAATTTCATACCTACTCATAACAAAAATTCTCAGCCAGCTAGGAATAGAGAGGAACTTCCTCAACTTGATAAAGAACATCAACAAAAATCCTACAACTAACATCATACTTAATGGTCAGAAACAATGCAAGGATGTCCCCTCTCACCATTGCTTTTCCCTTCCTTTCTCCTTCCCTTCCCCTTTCCTTCCCTTTCTATTCCTCTTCTCTTCTCCTTCCCTTCCCCTTTTCTTCCCCTTCCTTTCCCCTTTCCTTCTTCTCTTCTCCCCTCCTCTCCTTTTCCTTTCCTTTCCTTTTTCCTCCTTCATTCTTTTCCTTTTTTTTGAGACAGAGTCTTTCTCTGTCACCAAGGCTCCAGTGCAGTGGCACTATCATAGCTAACTGTAACTCTGAACTCCTGGACTCAAGCAATCCTCTCACCTCAGCCTTCTGAGTAGCTAAGACTAAAGGCATGCATCACCACACCTGGCTAAGTTTTTTAAAAAAATTTTAGAGACAAGCTCTTGTTATGTTACCCAGGCTGGTCTTGAATTCCTGGCTTCAAGTACTCCTTCTGCCTCACCCTCCCAAAGAGCTGGGATTACAGGCATGAACCACCACACCCAACTTCACCACTGCTTTTCAACATTATGCTAGAAGTCCTAGCTAATGCAATAAGACAAGGAAAAGAAATAAAATATATACAAATCAGGAAGGCAGAAATAAAACTCCCTTTTTGTCTAGGTAGACGATCTAAAAGAATTAACACTACCAACAACAACATTCCTGGAACTAATAAACAATTACAGCAGGTTGAAGAATACAAGGGTAAGATTCAAAAGTCAATCATTTTCCTACACACCAGCAATGAACAAATGAAATTTGAAATTACAAACACAATACCATTTACACTAGCATCCAAAATAATGAAATACTTAGGTATAAATCTAACTAAATATACAGAAGAGCTACATGAGGAAAATTATGAAACCCTTTGAAAGAAATCAAAAAAGGACTAAATAAATGGAGGGATATTTCATATTTGTGGATATGAAGGCTCAATATTGTAAAGATACAAGTTCTTCTCAATGTGATCTATAGATTCACACAATACCAATAAATATCTTAGCAATGTATTTTGTGGCTGTTGACAAATTGATTTTAAAGTTTGTATAGACAGGCAAAAGACCCCGACTAGCCAGCACAATATTGAAGGGGAATAACAAAGTTGGAGGGCTAACAGTATCTGATTTGGAGAATTGCTATAAAGCTACAGTCATCAAGACAGTGTGATATTGGCAAAAGAATAGACAGTTGATCAATGGAATAGAATAGAGAGTCCAGAAATAGACCAATATACATTTAATCAACAGATCATTGATAAAGGAGCAAAGACAATACAGTGTAGTGAAGACAGTCTTTTCATCAAATGGCACTGGAACAACTGGACATCCACATACAAAACTATATACACACACACACACACACACACACACACACACACACACAGAGCTAACATCCTTTGCAAAAAATAACTTCACATGATCACAGACCTAAGTGTAAAATGCAAAACTATGAAACTCCTAGAAGATAAAATAGGAGACAAACTAGATGATTTTGGCTTTGGTGATGACTTTTTAATGAAATACCAAAGAAGCAGTACATGAAAGAAACAATTGATAAGCTAGGCTTTGTTAAAATAAAAATTTCTGACCTGCAAAAGACACTGTCAAAAGAATGAAAAGACAAGCCACAGACTGGGAGAAAATATGTGCAAAAGTCATGTTAGTTTAAAAACTGTTATCTAAAATATAAAAAGAATTCTTAAACTCAAAAATAACAGCAAAATCAACCCAATTAAAAAATGGCCCAGAGACTCTAACAGATACCTCACCAGAAAATTATCAAAATGTCAAAGAAACAGATGAAAAAATGCACCACATCATAGAAATGCAAATGAAAACAGCAATGCAATAAACCTATTAGAATGGCTACAATTCAGAACACTGACAGCAACAAATGCTGGCAAGAATATGGAGCAACTGGAACCTCATTCACTCATTGCTGGTGGGAATGCAAAATAGTACAGCCACCTTGGAAAACAGTTCAGTGATTTCTTAAAAACCAGACATACTGTTAACATATGGTCCAGCAATCATGCTCTTTTGTATTTTCCTAAAGGAGGTAAAAACTTACGTTCACACAAAACCTGCACATGGCTGTTTATAATAGCTGTATTCATAGTTGCCAAAACTTAGAAGTAACCAAGATGTCTTTCAGTAGATGAAAGGATAAATACACTGTGGTGTAACCAGACAATGGAACGTTATTCAGAGCTAAAAATAAATGAATGATAAAGCCATGAAATAACATGAAGGAAAATTTAATGTATATTACCAAGTCAAAGAAGGTTATCTGAAAAAGCTACACAGTGTATGATTCCAACTATATTGCATTCTGGAAAAGGTAAAACTATGTATTGAGTAAAATGATCATGGTTGCCAGGGATTCGGGGGCAAGAGGGTTGAGTAGGAAGAGCACACAGGATTTTTAGGGCAGTGAAACTACTCTGTGATGATACTATAATGGTGAATACGTTTGTCCAAACTATGGAATGAACAGCACTAAGAGTGAACCCTAACGTAAACTATGAGCCTGGGTGATAATAATTTGTCAATGTAGGTTAATCAACTGTAACAAATGGACCGCTCTAGTCGGGGATGTAGATATTAGGGAGGCCATGCATGTGCTGAGGAAGAGCGTGTGTAGGAAATCTTTCGATCTCCTGCTGACTTTTACTGTGAACCTAAAACTGCTCTAAAAAATAAAGTTTATTTTAAAAATTAGACCTGATAAACAAGTTCATCAAGGTTGCAGAGCACAGGAACAATACATAAAAATCAATTAAGTTTCTATATAATTGCAATGAACAATCCAAAAATAAAGAAAACATCTATTTACAGTATTATTAAAATATTACAGTATTGTAAACAAATTTAACAAAAGGAAGGGAAATACAAACTCTGAAAACCATAAAACATTTTTAAAAGATATTAAAGAAGGACTAAATAGTTGGTAAACCATCCCATGATTATGGACCGGAAGACTTAAAATTGCTAAGACGGCAATACTCCCCAAAGTGATCTACAGATTCAACACAATCGCCATCAGTACCTCAACTGACTTTATTATACAAACTGACAAGCTGATTCTAAAATCCACATGGAATGGCAAGAATAGCCAAAACAACTTTGAAAGAGAAAAACAAAGTATGAGTAATCACACTTTCTAATTTTGAAACTTACCACAAAGCAACTTTATACAAGACTGTGTGGTACTGACAAAACAATGGGCACACAGACCAAAGGAAGAGAATTGATGCTCCTGAAGCAAACCTAAACATCTACCATCAGATAACTTTTGACGAAGCTCCAAGACCATCCAATGGAGACAAAATTGTCTTTTTAATAAACGGTGCTGGAAAAACTGGAGAACTACATTCCAGAGAATGAAGGTGGAGCATGACTTCACACCTATACAAAGATTATATCAAAATGGATCAAAAACTTACATGTAAGGACTAAGACTACCAAACCCTTAGAAGAAAACAGAGGAGTAAAGTTTCAGAAACTTAAATTTGGCAAAGTATTCCCACATATTACATCAAAAGCATGAGCAAGAACAACAAAATTAGACTTCATTAAAATGAAAAAAAAAAAACTTTTATGGTTCAAAGGACACCACTGAGAAAATAAAAAGAATGCACAGAATGGGAGAAAATGTTTACAATCATATAACTGACAGGGGACCTGTAACCAGAATTTATAGAGAACTTTTACAGTTGTATGATAAAGACAACCTAATTAAAAATGGGCAAAGTAACTGAATAGACATTTCTCCAAGGATCATATATAAATGGCCAAAAAGCACATGAAAAGATGCTCAACATCATCAGTCATCAGGAAAATGCTAACCAAAACCACAATAAGATACCACTTCAGACTCACTAGGATGATTAGAATTAAAAAGACAGAATATGGAGAAACTGCAATCCACACACAGAGCTGCTGGGAAGGTAAAGTGGAGCAGCGACTTTGAAAAATAGTCTTGCAGCTCTTCAAATGATTAAACATACAGTTACCATAAGATCCAGAAATTCCACTCCTAGGTTCATCCCCAAGAAAAATAAAAATACATGTTTACACAAAAAGTTGCACACAAATGTTTATAGCAGCATTATTCATAGTACCCAAGAGGAAAACAACCCAAATGTTCACCAACTGATGAGTGGTCGCACAAATTGTGATCTATTATTGCAATGGAATTTGTTTGGCCATACAAGGAGTGAAGTACTGACAGAGGTTACAACAGAGGTGAACCCTGAGAACCGTATGCTAAGATGCCAGCCAGTAAAGGCCACATACAGAGATAGAAGGCAGATTAAAGGTTGCTCAGGGCTGGTGGTGGAGTAGGGAATAGAGGAGCAGTGGGTGATGGCTAAAGGTATGGAGTTTCTGTTTGAGGGTGGTAAAATGTTCTAAAATAGACTGAAATGATGGTTGCACATATCTGTGAATATACTACAAAACATTGAGTGATACACTATTTTTTTTTTTTTTTTTGAGACAGGGTCTCACTCTCCTGCCCAGGCTGGAGTGCAGTGGCATGATTGGAGCTCATCATAGCCTCAACTTCTTGGACTCAAGCGATCCCCCCTCCTCAGCCCCCAACATGGCTGGGACTACAGGTGCGTGCCACCACACTCAGCCAATTTTTTTGGATTTTAGTAGAGCTGAGGTCTTACTATGTTGCCCAGCTGGTCTCAAACTCCCAAGCTCAAGTGATCCTCCCAACTCAGCCTTTCAAAGTGCTGGGATTTACAGGCGTGAGCCACCATGCCTGGCCAAATTACACACTTTATGGGAAATTGGGGCTGCCCCACCTAAGTCCCTTTATGAAAACTCTTGGTGCTGGGCCCTCAGGGCCTCTGGCTTTCCCTTTCCCACCTTCACCCCAGCTCCCCATCTTCTTCTGTTTCCTTTCACTGGCTGCAGTCACCACTCACCTCAGCCTCCGGTGCTCTGTGATTGGTGAAGTCTCTAGTTTCATTTTTCTGTCTACATTGGGCTTCAGTTTGTTTACATGGGAACTCACAGTGCTGCAGCCATCCCAGTCTAAAGGCCTCCCAGTTGAAACAGCATTTTAACAGGGCAATAAAGAACCACGAGGATCAGCAATGGGTACAATGAGCCCAACTCCTCCTGAAGGTGCCCTTGCAGGGAGAAAAACTAAGCCCCAAAGGAGGAGGATGGAGACCAGATCTAGAGCTCTGACCTCTAGCTCCCCACCCGGCACAGACCTGGACCCTGACCTGCCCTCTGGCCGCATGGCCACCCACAGTTCCATCCGAGGTCCCCTTTGTCCATGGCATCTCCTGACTGCTCAAGTCCCACACACTGATCTCCTCACATACATCAAGAATGCTCAGAGAGGTGAAGGCCTTGTTGGCTCACACAAGGTGGCCAGTATTTAGGTTTGTCGGTTTGTTTTTGTGGTTTTGTGGTAACGAGGAGTGGGAAGTGAGCAGGGGGCTGAAGACCAGAGCCCTAGGGGCTAGAAGCTTCATTTGATGGTTTGGAGGCTCAGCACACTTCAAGAAGGCCACACAAGCTCAGGTGGGCTATGTCTGTCAAGGTAGGCTTCCAAAATCACTCCACAGTTTCATGTGGCTGGGGCAAACCCAGGTGACCCCTTTCCATGGGGCTCAGACTGGAGCTGCAGATGAAGGCCTGGATGAAAACCAGCAGCCAGCACAATCACATTATAGCATGCACATTGCTACCAAGTCGCCTCCATTTCCCATTTTGCCAATAGTAATGGACTTAAGTCTCCTTTTATTTTTATTTCAAAAATTTCTGTTTTACAAGATTTCAACTTCTGGTAATGTGCTCATAAAACACAATTCCAGTGCAAAGTGGCAATGATTAAATTAAAACTTAATGAAGCTTGAAGAGCCGGGGCAGTTCCTACTTGGGGAAAACAGAATCCCGTATGGTCTTTTTGATCAATCAGCCAGCCCATCACGAAAGCAAGTTTCTTCATCAGCAACTCCCATTGCAAACATTTCCAACTGAAGAACCAAGTTAATCGGGAGGGGTTTGCATTGGGAGAAAAGAAAGCTAGTGAGCTTAGAACTCATGTCCTCCTTCCTAATACATAACCATCACAAGACCTCTGCTTAGTGTAGCTGGTACATGCACCCACATGATTTCCTTGGTGCTCACAGCAGCCCTTTGGGTTAGAAGCTATATTTGGTCCCCAGGGCGGTACAATGAGTTGTGGGCACCTGGACAGGCTTGTTCCTGGCTCCACCTGCTCCATGACTAGCTGGGAGACCTTGGCAGGTTCTGGGAATATTCCTCATGAGAAAAGTGCTGCTATAGGATTAAATGAGAAAACGGATGGAAAACAGCAGTCGTCTCTCAGTACACGGCAGCTGCAGCTGCTGCAATTGTTTTAATCACTACACAGAGCCCACTGCTGCCTAGGGCATCATCTGCCTTAGCCTGCACAATTGCCTACCAGGGTGGGCTGTTGAACCCAGGTCCTGGGTGAGGCAGGACTGAAGGCCCATTGAGAAATCCCCATTCTCAATCATCAGATTAAGAAGAGTCAAAAGCCTGTGTTTCTAACTGCGGCTGGAGCCCTGGAGTCCGAGAGCACTAAAATCAACTCCAGCAGCAAAGGGCAACTCAAGGAAGATTCTCAGTGGACTTGGTGTTTTCAGGAATAGCCTCAGGTTTCTAGCAGAGCCTTTTGTCCATTTCTTTCTCCGATCCTACCCTTCTCTCCCTTGCCCTTTTCACCCCCTTTAGAATTTGATATAAAGCTGTTGCTCACTACAGTGGCTCTGCCTGGACCTTTTCAGACCTTTTGAGGGAAATGGCAATTTCCCTCAGAATGTTTCCCATAGTACAAGTCCTTGGGGGCACACGAGGGGCTGAAGTAGGAACGTCAAGACTCAGGGGCTGGGCCCAGTGCAGACACACTGGGGGAAAGAGCTTCAAAGCGAAGGTGCCCACCTCCCTCCCAGCCCCGATCCTCTGCTAGGGGCACTGTGGTGGTGGGGAGTGGGAAGATGCTGTAGCTCAGAAGTGAGGCATGTGAGTCAACTGAAGGGCTGCTAACGACTGCCCTTGTCATCTTTGGCAAACTTTCTTCTCTGGGCCTCAGTGTCCTCCTCTGGGAAGTGGATGCCCCAGTCAGTGCTGGTGAGGGTCAGAGGAGGTTAAAGTACTGCTTCCTCACACCTTAACTCCTCTGCCCCATGATATCACCCCTAGAGTCTGGGTCTTCCCTGGCTGTGGGGAGGAAACCTGAGGTGGGGCCGAAGCAGTGGTGGTGGGAAAAGTGGGTTAGTTGGCTTCTCTGCAACTCTGTGTGGAAGCTGCACCCCAGAGGCCTGAATCCCCAGTTACTGAGACAGAGAGGAGGAGAAACTCCTTCAGCCCCTCCTCCTCCAAGCACGGGAGCTGGGAGGTTTGTGTCCCTGCAACAGTGGAAGCCAGGGTTATGCCTCCTGCCAGGGGCTTCATGGCCTGAGGTCTTGGAGGTGGCTCACATGCCCCAAACCTCACCCTCTCTGTCCTCCCTCTTCAGTGGGTCCAATCAGAGCCTGGCACCAAGGTCAGCACCACCCAGGAACTTGCCATGAAGTCCCCACGCCCAACCACCCGTGTTCACAGTCCCACTGAGCAGGGGCTGCAAAACAGAGAGGGCTTCACGTGGACCAGTGGGGAGCTGCCTGGGCATCAAAGACTTGGGCAGAAGCCACGCTCCCTTGGCAGCGACCTCTCAGTTCCCAGCAGCAAACTCTTGTGAAGAGGCTCACGCACACTCAGGCTCCTGAGCCCTTCACAGAGGGGCATGAAGCTGCAGCTCTCGGGCCTCCAGGGATATGTCCCCAGGCATAAGAGCCCCCTCAGAGCAGAAAGGAGGAGTCAAGCATGGGTCAGGGCTCCTGACACCCACAGGGGAGGGCCCCAAGCAAGACCAGGAGGCCTTCTCCCTGTGTCACTAGAAATCCTCCAAGACGTACAAACCGGTAATAAACCATCTTTTTTCAAATTATCACAGGCCACGCAAGTATGCAATGGTCTAAATATGTCTGTTTAAAAGACAATAATTTGCCACCTCACCAATAAAACTAAAATACTGCCCCGCCACCCACCCCACAAAAAAAAAATGCCCAACCATCTGAAAGCAGGTTCTCCTTCCTCAGAGCCTTTGCTGATGACCCTGCCTGCTTTGTTGTTTTAAACATGAGATGCCCTCTTGGGACACGTGTCCCCCTGTGTTTGCTGGAGCATTTTGAGGAAAGATTCTTAAGCTCTCTCCTGTTTTTTCAGAATTCTATACATTTTGTCAATTTTGTCAGGGGTAACGAGCCCAGGCATGTGGTGATGCCTTTCAGACTTTCCACAAAATCCCAGGAAGCCTATGGAACGCCTCTGTGTGGAGATGCCCAGCCTGCACACCCGGAAGTGGATGCTCGTTTTCATACTTCGAGCTGAGGTTGGTGAATCCACTACGAAATGCTTGATTTTATCGCATGGGCCAAGGCAGTGACCTGAGTGGCGGCTGCCAGCTGAACAAGGAGCATTTTCTGGCCTACTCTCTAATCCCAGGATGTGAGGAGGACTTTTAACATTAATGTGAACTCATATGGACTTTTCGACTTAATTTGCTGAATCAATTATATCGGAGCCTCCTTTGAAAGGGTACTTTTCAAGAAATGAGTTAAAGAAAACAATACACAACTCTCAGAGCAATATCTAGCACACCTCTGTTTGTACTCTAACTTTGTTAAATTTTACAGTGTTTGATTGATATAAAGGATGCATATATTCAGTGCATACAGTGTGATGATTTCATCTGTGTATGCATTGTGTAATGATTGTGTAGTGATTACCACAATCACAGTAACTAAAGCATCCATCACCACCCAGCTGTACTTTAGAGCCCCAGGACCCATTCATCTTACCACTGAAACTTTGAACATTTTGACCAGCATCTCCCCGTTTCCCCCAAGCCCAGCCCCCGGCAGCCACATTCTCCTCTCTATGACCAGCATCTCCCCGTTTCCCCCAAGCCCAGCCCCCGGCAGCCACATTCTCCTCTCTATGACCAGCATCTCCCCGTTTCCCCCAAGCCCAGCCCCCGGCAGCCACATTCTCCTCTCTATGACCAGCATCTCCCCGTTTCCCCCAAGCCCAGCCCCCGGCAGCCACATTCTCCTCTCTATGACCAGCATCTCCCCGTTTCCCCCAAGCCCAGCCCCCGGCAGCCACATTCTCCTCTCTATGACCAGCATCTCCCCGTTTCCCCCAAGCCCAGCCCCCGGCAGCCACATTCTCCTCTCTATGACCAGCATCTCCCCGTTTCCCCCAAGCCCAGCCCCTGGCAGCCACATTCTCCTCTCTATGACCAGCATCTCCCCGTTTCCCCCAAGCCCAGCCCCTGGCAGCCACATTCTCCTCTCTATGACCAGCATCTCCCCGTTTCCCCCAAGCCCAGCCCCTGGCAGCCACATTCTCCTCTCTATGACCAGCATCTCCCCGTTTCCCCCAAGCCAGCCCCTGGCAGCCACATTCTCCTCTCTATGACCAGCATCTCCCCGTTTCCCCCAAGCCAGGCCCAGCCCCTGGCAAGCCACATTCTCCTCTCTATGACCAGCATCTCCCCGTTTCCCCCAAGCCCAGCCCCTGGCAGCCACATTCTCCTCTCTATGACCAGCATCTCCCCGTTTCCCCCAAGCCCAGCCCCCGGCAGCCACATTCTCCTCTCTATGACCAGCATCTCCCCGTTTCCCCCAAGCCCAGCCCCCGGCAGCCACATTCTCCTCTCTATGACCAGCATCTCCCCGTTTCCCCCAAGCCCAGCCCCTGGCAGCCACATTCTCCTCTCTATGACCAGCATCTCCTCATTTCCCCCAAGCCCAGCCCCTGGCAGCCACATTCTCCTCTCTGCTTCCATGAGCTGGACTTTTTAGGTTCTACATGTAAGTGAGATCAGGTGGCATTTGTCTTTCTGTGCCTGCCTTATTTCACTTGGCACAATGTTCTCCAGATTCATCCGTGTTGTCTTAAATGGCAAGATCTCTCTTATCACTGAGTAATATTCCAGTGTGTGTGTGTGTGTGTGTGTGTGTGTGTGTGTACCACAGTGAGATATTTCCTCACACCTGTTAGAATGGCTAGCACAAAAAAGACAAGAGGCAGAAAGTGCCAGTAACGATGTGGAGAAAAGGGAACCCTGCTGGGGAGAATGTGAATTGGTATGGCCATTATGGAAAATAGTACAAAGGTACCTCAAAAACCTAAGAATAGAACTAGAACTACCATATGATCCAGAAATACCACTTATGGGTACATATCCAAAGGACTTGAAATCGGTATCATTGCAGCCCCATTCACAATAGCCAAGATATGGAAAAAGCCTAAGTGTCCATCAACAATGTGAATGAATGAAGCAGTTGTGTGTGTACTCCACCGTCTCCACACTCTCCAGCCTCTCTGTTCATGGCCCAGCAAGCCACCTTCGAGATACCCTTTTCATCCCCTTCATACCGTCCTCCAAGCTCCCTCCTCTCAGTCCTACACCTGTTGGCTAGAAGGACCCCACTGATTCCGAGGAGAGCTCCACAGCACCAGAGCTGAGCAGGCTGATATCAAGGAGACATGATGTCAGGATTCTTGAGTTGAGCTCCATTTCTCCAAGGACGGAACGAGTGTCATGGCATGGCATTACAGAAGACGGATGTAGATGAGATCACTGACTCTCAGCCTTAGCTGTGCTTCAGGGTCAGCCGTGGAGATTTACACAATTATATTATTAAGCTCCATCTTGGGAAATTCTGATTCAGAAGGTCAGGGGTGTAATTCAGAGGCCTGTTTAGAAAATCCATAGTTGATTTTGCTGCAACCAAGCGTGAAAACCACTGGACTAGATCATTGGAAAATTGTATTGAAATTAAAATTGTGTGTCAGTTGAAGGTGGGCCAACATTTGGAGTGGCCTCATTGAATGGTTTTAAAATCACAGGGCATTTGGCTGTGTTTTTGTTTTTTCCTAGATGCGGGGAAGGTGCTAGCTGACACTGGAGGCATTTTCTAGTCAGGATTTCCCTTGTATGTATCCCACGGTGCATGTCTGAGGGCAGGATGTGGGCATGCAGATGAAGCATTTGGGCATGCTGATGGAGCAGCAGGTGAAATGCTTGCTCCAACACGTGCCCCTTCAGCTAAAGTCTCGTGCAGTTGTAGAATCTCAAGGGCACAGGAAATCCTAAAAGTCACTTTGGGTAGCTCCCTCCCACTTACCGCCTGAGGACTGTCTACAGCATCTTTCTCCATTTGTTTTCCACTTGACATGTTTACTTGCCTGAATTAAACTATGTATTTGATTTTCAGTGATGTGTGGCCCTCTTATAAACCAAACATAGACTCTTTAGTAGAATCTGAAACCCTCGACCTTGGCCATGTGATTCAAAATCTTTTACATTGGTGGACGATTCCAGCCTTCATCCTTACAGCCTGCTGGCTGCTGTCCCTGCCAGCCCAACACCTTCAGGAAGGATCTTAACCTATGGTTGCCCAATTTGAGTAAAGCCTGTCCTGCACTTCTCCCAGCACTCTGGTGCAGCAGACAGAGTGAGCCATGCCAGGCTAAGCAGCACTTTTTCTGGTTTAGAGTGAGCACAGTAGCCAGGGAAATGATTCACAGAGATCCCCTGCACCTGGGGCAGGGCTCTGAGGTGTAGAAACTTTCCCTCCTTGGCTCCCAAGCCACTGGGGAATCTGCCACAGAGCCTGCAGTGTCCACAGGAACATGTCAGGAAAGCTGAACATGAGTTTCCATGTTTCCGCTGCTGATGACGGGACAATCAGCAGGAGGGAGGCAGGTCACCCGTGTGACAGACAGTTCATCTCCCCACTGTGCAGTAACAGCTCGCCCTGCTGCTCAGCCTCAATGGCCTACAGCCGGGCTGTTCTTCTTGCCTGCTAGTCCCTTAACACAAGGAGTCCAAGAGGATTCTTGTTATGTCCCCTGGGAAAAGCCTGCTCATTTTAGGGACCAGGACTCTTAAACCCATAAATCCCACAGCTTCAGAAAGCAGGAGGGTCCCGAATAGGGTCCTGGGAGTGTAAGCATATCTCCTCTGAGTCTACCCTTCATTTCTAACTCACTGTGCTTCCTGGGGTCACAGTACCACTTAAAGGTACCAGAGGATGATGCCCTGTCCTCTTATATGATAGACGCTGACTCTGAGTTGACACAGTAGTGTGCCCTCAGCAGCCATTTCCATTCCATTCCTGTGGTAGCTTCTGGCAGGCATGGTCAGGGGATGTGTGCTGAACTCCACAGTCATACGTCTGCTCCCACACCTCCTTACTGGAAATTAACTCTCTTGGTATGAGGATCTGATGCCAGTGAATTTGGCATCCCATACCTACCCAGGCAATGTTGCTCTCTAGTTCCTACAGGCAGGAGAGGCAAACCTGTAGCTAGAATGTGTGTCTGTTCTACCTGAATGAATTGCTGGCCTGTCTAGGATGAAAGGGGTCTAGTGTTGCTACCAGTTGGCCAACTGGTCACACTCAGTGCTGGTCTTGGCTGTTAGCACTATAGGCATTTGGCAGTAGGACTGGCTGTATCAGCCTTGGTGTGTGGGGTCCCATAGTGCCGAACCCCAAATTGCCCCCATATCCCTGCTACCATGACGGCTGTTCCAGGTGGCCAGCAGCAGAGGCTGAGTGACATCACGGGGCACAGTCCTGCATCACCTGGTTGCTTATCACCTGTTCTCAGATGGGCATTCACGTGGGATACGGAGGCTCTCCCACATGTCTGCCCACGTGCCCCTCTCCTGGACTCATGTGCCCCGGGTCATCCAGCCTTTCTCCCTCCCAGTTCCTGGACAGCTGGCCACATCATTTGCCCCTGCCTTTAAGTTCATGTCTGTTCTGTCCTGAGGCCATTTCTCTTCTGGTACAGAGCGGAGGACCAGGTGCACTGCCTGAAGCTCTCTCTTTGGGAAGGTTTTTGGCCACCACCCTCCTTCAAGGCCACCCCGAGTGGCTGTCATGCAGTTGCAGCTGAGGCAGTCCCCAGAGGGCCGGGAACTAAAGCCTGCCAGCCGCATCCTCCCAGGAGGGAGGATGGTCAGGCAGCCTCTTTACTGGCTGCCAAAGTGTGCCCAGGCCTTCCTTGCCCCGGGTTAACCCAGTCATGAAAGGCATGCAGGTGGCGAGCAATGGAAATGAAGTCCGGTGTCCCAGTGCTGCAGGGCTGAGGGGCCTGGGGACCACAGCCGCTCTGGCATCCCGGGTCTAATTAGCACATTTTCTTTTGGAAGCTTTCCCAGGACACCTTTCTCTGTTCAGAAACAGGGCTACTCTGCAAGAACCCGACACAAGATGATGACGGTGTCACATCGTTACAGACAGAATGCCTCAGCGTGCTTCATACTCCTCCATATCTGGTCCCCACCCAAAATATTCTCTGTCCCCTTCGGCCGGCTGCCTGGGCACTGAGTGATCCTGATTGCAACCTGGGTAGGCAGCTGGTTCCCCCAGCAAGGAGTCTGTCATCTGATCCAAACAGCCCCCTTCAGCTCCCATGACACTTGTGAATGTGGCCTCTATGCAAGCCAGAGGCGGTATCCGTGCAACAGTCACTCTCATTTCCCTCTCCCCGCTCCTTGCTACTTCCTACCCTCCTTCCCCATTTCTCCCCAGAAGCAGCAGAAAGCTTCCATGAGATGAACAACTTTGTTCCCCAAATGCCTTCTGGTCCCCAAACAAGAAGGCCTCCAGGGGGACAGGAGCTCCCTTTCAATTTCAAAGGGTTCCTCACCCCAGACCAGGGCTGTGGGCACAGACTGGCTCCTCCTACCCAGCTGGGAAGGGGCTCCCCAGGCAGGGTTCAGATCCCAGGTTTGTGAGAAGATGCTCTGAGCTCCTACCTGGTCCTCCAGCTTCTAGAGAAGGCAGGGTTTGCTGTGGAATCGAGGGATCAGATTCCCACATCAGCTCTGGCGAGATGTTCCTCTCACCGAGGGATTGCAGTAAGGTCACTGCCGGCGGTGCACTGAGACTCCAGGGCCCAAAGGAGTCACACTGTGGTGGGAAGAGAGAGGGGAAAGGTGGTGACAGGCTGGAATCAATCACAGCGGCCTTCTAAAGAGGTTAGAAAAAGGAACCCCTTAAATGTGGCCCCCACACAGACACACACGGGCGGGGAATCACAGGAAGTGGCATCCTCACTAGTCCCCATTCCTGGTGTATAAAATCTGTACCCAAGTCCCCGTGTTCTCTGTCACGGCGCTCCCAGTATAGATGTCAAGGAAGTCACCATGGTTGTAAGTAGGAATTTGGGAGCCGGAAGGCTGGTGTGTGGAGCAGACCTGCACACAATGGCCCCACAATGGACCAGATTTTCACTCAAAGCCATTGAGAGGGAAAAATAAGTTCCTTATGTGAAGTTCTGGGTTTGCCAAGAGGCATTTGATAAAAGCCAGGGAAACACAGTAGTAGGTCTGTCACCACAGGACTCCCCTATCTGGCCCCACTCTGCTGATCTCAGAATGCCCAGCTGCCTCGCAGGTGTAACGGAGACCAAACGGCAAGTCCTGTGGCCTGAACACACCCAGTGCAGAGAGCTCCGGCCTCTAGCCACGCCTGGAACCTGCACTTCTTCCCTGCAGAACCAAGAAGCCCAGACACGACCTGACTGTGCGAACCCTTCCAGAGGCAAGGGGTCTGCTGGCTAGGAGAATCTGTGCTGAAATCCCCCTCATCTTTCCTTACAATCATGGGTCAGATTTGAAGCCCCGATCAGTCCCCACAAGCCAACATTCCTAAATCCTTTCCCTCACTCTCCAGCCCATTAAAACTCACCCCAGACCCCAGATCTGGGAGATCAGATTTGAGCTGCCTCTCTTATCTCCCTGATGGTCAACCTCGCAGTAAAGCCCTTTCTTTCCTCAGAAACCCGTACCATGGTATTGGCTTCTATGCACGTAGAGCATGAGCCCCTTGCTCAGTAACATAGATATTTTTCATTCAAAGCTCCCATCAGAGCGGCTGGTCCCAGTAAAGCCCAGGCCCTGAGTGCAATCCTGTCTGTGAAAGGCTCCAGGAGGGTCTAGATGGCTCCACCCCACATGCGTACACTGCATGACTGCAGCTGTGTCTGCCTGGCATTACTGGCACACGCTGCTCCCCGCTGCTCACAGGTTTTCTGCTTAGGGCCTAGGCTCCTCCTGTCCACCCGCTCCCCCCACGGCTCTCCAGGTTGCGGCCACCCTAGCTCTGAGAGGAGAGGGAGACAGTGAGACGGACCATTTCTGTGAAGACTCTGCTGCAGGTTCCTCCTGGGCAAAGAGCACAGCCATTTCTGCTTTTTCCCCACCTTTTGAGCTCGATGGACTTGCAGAGCTGAGGCTGCCTCAGGGCAAAGCCATTCTGCCTCTTGTCAGAGCTCATTCTCACCTTTCCCTGTCACCTCTCTGATTCTCTCACAAGCAGCAGCCTCTTCATAAAACTTCTCCCCTGCCCCAATCTCCCAGCACTGCCCCTCCCCATCTGTACCTGGAGCCCAGGAGAAGAGGCCTGGGCTGAGCCTGCATCTATAGGGAGGAATTCCAGTCCCAGGAGCCACCTCCTTCCAGGCCCTTGGTCCCTGTAGTCCCAGCTCCCGACTGGCCCAGAACCCAAGGTGCCTACCGTGGGGGCTGCTGCTGTCCCCTGAGTGGTCTGCGCTGCAGAGCAGGACAGGAGATGCCGGGGCTCTCTTTGCAGCCTCCTCTCTTGGGGGCCAGAGGTGCAGCAGGCTGGGGAGGGAGGGCAGAACTCAGGCGTGCATGGCTGGGGGTCCTGGTGGGCTGGAACCTTCCTGCAGGGGTGGGATTGAGCTCACCCAGCTCCACATGCCTATCCCACTCTCCTGACTCCTATCACTCCTGGGAGTTGCCTGTCCAGCGCATTCAGGATTATTAGACAAAGCAGGACCGGAGCCCCTTCCAGAGTTAGGCGAGCCTGCTTGGCTTCATGCATGGGCCTTAATTAGAAAATTCATCTTAGCCACACAACAAAATGAGATTGAGGCTTCAGCGACAGCTAATCCTTTGTAGGAAATGAAAGATGCCCTTACAATGAAGATTTATTTTATGTTAGCTTTTCCCCAAGCACTCTTAACTGACTGAGTAATGTAGTAATGATTACTCTGATATTTCCACATGCGCTTTTAAGAATTTATAAAGTCATCTGTCTTCTGAGGAGCCTGGGGAGCTACTTGAGTGGTACAGTGAAAATGGAAGAGGGGAGAGGCTCCTACCCTTCTGAGACTTCAGAAGAATCAATTGCAAAACATCTCTTGGAGTTTGGAGACTCGGGGAGCAGGTGTGAGGATAAACTTCCCACAGAAGCAACCCTGGGATGGTGACTAAATATCCATCAAGTCAATGACAGGTGGCTTGGATGGGGGTGGGGAGACAGTGAGACCAGAGCAACAGGCCTCTGAAAAGGGAATTGGATGCAACGTCAGGGAAAAGTCGACTTGGATGCAACCTCAGGAAAAAGTCGCCATCCCAGGGCTTAGAGGGGAGGGTGTGGCCCAGTCACGGGAGGCTCCTGACCACTGCTGAGGGGACGACACAGAGGGCCTGCCCAGGGTAAAGCATGCACTAAGTGGTCCCAGCAGCCCCTGCGTGTGTAAGTGTGCATGTGGTCATGTACACACATGTGCATGTGTGTGGGCATACCTATGTGAGTGCATGTGTGTTTGTGCACATAAGTGTGTGTGCACGTGTGTGTAGGGCATGGAGGGTGTGGGATAAAAACGGAGGCACTGGCCCCTGAAGGCCTTTCAGATATGGATCCCATAAGCACTGGGAAGCCAGGGAGGGCAGACGTGGAAGGCTGCAGAATCAGAAACGCAGCCTCCTGGGGAAGGGCCCTGGGACCCCATGAGCCAAGCTGTGGGTTGCTCATGGCACACTGCTGACTTCCTGCCGGCTTCCTCTGGAAAGCTCGTTGAGATCCTTCCCTCCAGTTCTTCCCTGGCCCACGCCCTTCCTGCACACATACTACAGTCTCCTCTCTGCTCTGCGAGAGCCAGCTCATCTCCACTGCCGCTGGAGACAGGCAGCCTGGGGAGCAGTCTAACAAAACGGTCTCCAGAGGCGCAATCCCACAATGTGTGAGGGGAGGGGTCCCGGCCTGCGGTGGGGTGGAGGGGTTAATTACTGGGGCCTGGCAGGTGTCCACACAGGGCCGTGTCGACTTCTAGATCTCCAAAGAAGGCCTGGAGCTGCTGTCTCTCCGGAGCCAGGCCTCACTGCTGCAGGCCTGCAGTAGAACCCTATGGGCCTTCCTAAGGTTTCAAGTGGGGCTTTTCCTAGATTGGGTGTTCACTGGTTGCTGTAGACCTTGGACTGTTTTCCAGAGCTCCTAGAAGGTTCGTTCAGCCACTTCTGGTTGTTCCTGATGTTGGAAGTCAGGGGACGGGGGTTTGCAGTCTTCCAGTTCACCATGTGGACAATGTCTCTCCCTTAAACCTTTTACTACGTAGGCCCTCAGATCTTTCCTTTATCACATTTGTAACCATTTGGCACAGCAATATTTCTCTTTTTATGTTTTTTAACTTCTGACGAGTCAATTTGCGTTTCAGTTTGCTTTCCACAGAACTTTAATCTGAAGGATTTGATGTTGTGTAGTCATAGGACTAAAGCTAGCTGTAATGACACTCACATAAAGAAGAAAGCTGTGTGAGTGCATAGCTGCATTTGTAGACAGTTCTCTTTGCCATTTAGAGGAAGTGCAGGGAATCGTCCAGAGCAAATATCCCCCTTGGGGCCACATCGCCGAACACATTTTGGATAGTTGTTCTTCTGTTTATTGGGCAAAGTGAGACTTCTTTTTTCCCTTCAAGAGTCTTCTGCCTGTGAATCTGTGAAGCATGTTTGTCTGTCCGTGCTCCTATTCAAGAACACAGGCCTTTCCGGTCATTTATTGAGAGAGCCATGAGTGCTACTCTAGTTTGTTTACTTTGAAAACTACCTGGAAATGTCTAGCTATATTCTGTTTATTTTTATTTAAATAATCTAATTACTATTTGAGCCTGTTTATAAAAAGAGAGCACGACTCTTCATCACAGAATACGGTGCAATAGTCGTTTGAGTCATGCCTTCTACCTATGTTTAGTTTATATGTTGGGATCTGCGTTTAGTCCACACTCAAAAAAAGAAAAGTCTTCTCAAATTGTCTAGTGTGGTTATATTTACCTTTATCTCTGTTGTAACAAACTGCCAGAAACACAGCGGCTTAAAACTAAACGAATTTATTATCTTACAGTTCTGAAATTCGAAAGGTAAAAGGTGCCTCACCAGGCTAAAACCGAAGGCGTCAGCAGGGCTGTTTCCTTCTGGAGTCTCAGGAGAAGCTGTGGCCTTGCCTTTCCAGCTTCTAGGGCATCCGCATTCCTTGGCTGGTGGCCCTTCCACATCTTCAAAGCCAGCAATCTTGGGTTGACTCTTCCTCAAACTGAATCACATCAACATGGACTCTTTTGCCTTCCTCTTCCAATGTAAGGCCCCTGTGATTATACTGATCCCACCTAGATAATCCAGGATAATCCCCCTTTTTAAAAATCAGCCGATTTAGCTACCTTAATTCCATCCCAATCTTAACTTCCCTTTGCCATGCAACTTAACTTATTTGCATGTTCTGGGATTAGGATGAGGACACCCTTGGGGCAGACAGTATTTAATTTTGTTTATCACAGTCGTGTTTTTCTACTTTTATTGTTTAAATCATTTGTATTACTTTTAAAATTTTACACATATGGTTGATTTAATCTTGTGTCTTTTGTCTTTCCAAGTAATTCAACTGTTGTCTAGCATATAAATATTCTAGGCCAGGTGTGGTGGCTCACGCCTGTAATCACGACACTTTGCGAGGCCGAGGTGGGCTGATCACCTGAGATAAGGAGTTCGAGACCACCCTGACCAACATGAAGAAACCCCATCTCTACTAAAAATAAAAAATTAGCCGGGCATGGTGGTGCATGCCTGTAATCCCAGCTACTCAGGAGGCTGAGGCAGGAGAATAGTTTGAACCCAGGAGGCAGAGGTTGCGGTGAGCCAAGATAGCACCATTGCACTCCAGCCTAGGAGACAGAGTGAGATTCCATCTCAGAAAGAAAGAAAGAAAAAGATTCTAACAAAATCCTGAATTCTATAGAAAGAGAGATACAGGGAGGGTATGTTTCAGAGGCCATGGAATCTTTGAGACGCACAATCTTTGAGTTAGAATGTTGAGACCCCAGCCTACCAATGACAAAGCTGACTTTTGGATATTTGGTGTTTTGACTCTTGATAATGTTGGAATTTCTTGTAAGATAAAAATTCATTCATTTTGACATTTCAAAGCATTCCCATAATAGCCATTGTTACAGTAAGTCTTTTAATTTTTATTGTCATTTATCAATATAGTACAAGAGCAAAGATTATAGTGCAACTTTATAAAGGAAGCAGAAGTGTTTCCAGGAGGGGTTAGGAAAATTGCTGCCGGAGCTCAGTGAGTTACTGCCCTCAGGCCACGTCCCACCTGCCACCTGCGTTTGTAAATAAAGTTTTATTGGAACACAGCAAGACCATTTGTTTATGTAGTGTCTATACCTGCTTTTGTGCTACAAAGGTGGAGTTGAAGAGTTGCCCCAGAGATGGTGTAGCCCACAAAACCTACACTGCTTACTATCTGTTCCTTTACAGAGAAGTTAGCTGAAACCTGATAACAAATTCATGACAAACAAGAAAAAGACACCATGGTGTCACTAATGTGGGCTGTGAATGGTGTTTTGGGCTTTCAAACCAGAGGAGAGGAGGGAGCCATGCAATTAATTCCTTGATAATTGCTGACTCCAAGATATGAACTTTTAGTAATTTTCTCTCACAAATTGACAAAATGAGGCGTGCCCGCGGGAAGATCTTCTGGGGAACCCAAAGCAAAGTTTGAGCAATTCTTAGTAACAAGCATGTTGCAGGTCTAATTTCTGCCCTATGTTCCTAGGACAAGCTTGGAATTGATTGATTACTTTTATAGTCTACCCTCCATCCATTCCCCATGGAACACTTTCTTAAACATTCAAAAGAAAAAGGACAATTCAAGACAAAACAAAACCACATGAAACAAGATTTTATCACATAGATAAGCAAAAGCAAAGCAAACAGCAGGAAATAATCTGGTTAATAAAAAATATTTTCTAAATACTATGTTTCCAAAACAAAACAGCTAATAACCTTATATCAGCAGTTCACAAGTGGGGCAATTTTACACCTCAGGGAGCGTTTTGCAGTGCCCTGAGACGGTGTTGTTGGCTACATATGAGGAAGTAGTGTGTAGTGAGTGAGTAATTTTATGCTGCTTTTGCATCCATTTTTAAATATAGCTTTAATTTTTTTATACCTCTGTGAAGCAGGGCTCAGTCACTCTTGACACAGTTTCCCATACTATAACCACCCAAATGGCAGTAGCTGGTGGACAGAGATAAACAGCAGAGGCATCTCTCCTGCCTGGCAGGCTGGGCTCCACTTTCCTGCCTTGCCTTTAAAAGGGCCATTCAGACATTTGCCTGAAACTCAAAGGGACCACCTCTCAGTCACAGCGTGACCTCCTGGAACTCATGCCGGTTGGCTTTAAACCCACCAATTAAAGCTCCCACAGGACATCTCTTGGGAGTGGGTCCCTTCTCTTGTTGTGTCCTTGAAGCTGTGCCCAGAATCAGACCCCTGAAGGGCAGCAGCTCTTTTGTCTGGGCCTCCCAGCTGCTGGGAATAGCAGTTACCAGCTAAACTGATATAGCTTCATTCAAAACAGGTTGCTGGTTGAATCTAGTGGGTAGAGACCAGAAGTGCTTTTAAACAACCTACAGTGCACAAGACCACAGCAGAGATTTACCAGTCCAAAACGGTGGTAGTGCTGACATTGAGAAACCCGGCTTTATTCAAAAACTTAGGTCTAATTACTGAATGGTGTACTTCTAAATCAAAGTTCTAATTACTGAATACAAAGGCCTATGGCTAAGTACCCTTTACAAAGACTTAATTCTGTCACCCTTATATGAAGACCTGCTTGGTTACAAATTCTGGGACTTCAAAATAATCTGGTAGAATGTTCGAGAACTGTCAAAGGTTGATGAGGGCAACATTTACTATCTGAAATAAAAGGGCAAGGTTGAGTTAACTGCTTACTATAGTAAAAGAGAGCTATGGGAGTCAGGTACAGTCTCTGAGCAGCGTAAGGGGTGATCTCACAAAGGTTTACTACAGTAATGGAGAGCTATGTGAGTCAGGCACCATCTCTCTGAGCGGCGTAAGGGGTGATCTCACAAACGTTTACTATAGTAAAGGAGAGCTATGTGAGTCAGGCACCATCTCTCTGAGCGGCGTAAGGGGTGATCTCACAAACGTTTACTATAGTAAAGGAGAGCTATGTGAGTCAGGCACCGCCTCTCTGAGCGGCGTAAGGGGTGATCTCACAAAGGTTTACTACAGTAAAGGAGAGCTATGTGAGTCAGGCACCGCCTCTCTGAGCGGCGTAAGGGGTGATCTCACAAAGGTTTACTATAGTAAAGGAGAGCTATGTGAGTCAGGCACCATCTCTCTGAGCGGCGTAAGGGGTGATCTCACAAACGTTTACTATAGTAAAGGAGAGCTATGCGAGTCAGGCACCGTCTCTCTGAGCGGCGTAAGGGGTGACCTCACAAAGGTTTTCAGTGGATGAAAGAGCACTGCTCTCATCTGCAGACGCAGGGTTATTGCTGTCATTGGCTGGCACTGGGAGGCATGTTTATTGGAGGCTTTCCAGGCCTAACTTTCTGGGTGGAGGGCCTGACCCCAGTCGGCTTGCAGAGATGTGTTCACTGAAGATTGCGGTCTTGACCGCTTGAGCAAATTTAAAATTAGTTCTGTGGGCAACTTGTAACCATGGCTAGGCAACAGTCTTTCCTAAAGTTGTAGGATTACAAAAAAATTATCAGATGCCTTCACTCTCAACTGCATTTCAACTGACTTGGTCATAGAATCAAAATTTTTGCCATGGTCTACAAGGACCTCTGCAGTCTGGCCTTGGTCCCTCTCCCGTCACCCTCTCTGTCCTTTTCACTTATGAAGCTCCAGCGTCTCAGAACAAGCCAAACCCTTCCCACCCTCAGGACCTGTGCACCTGCACATCTCTCTTTCAAGAATGCCAGTCCCTCACTTCATGTGGCTGGCAACTTCTCATTGCTGGATCTCAGCTCAGAGATGTTAGCATTAGAGAACCTTTTCTTGGCCACCTGGGATTTAGAAGACTCAAGTCACCCAAACCCAGACACTTTCTTTCCTGACACTGTGCACTCCTTGCTATCTAAAGTTATTGTATTTGGGTCTCTGTCAACTCATCTCCCATCACTCGAGACCACTGCTTCCAGATTGTTAGCCCGATGAGGGCAGGGCCTTTCCTGTCTTATTAATGCCTGCATCCCCAGCACCAAGAAACAGCCACGTAGAAAGTTCTCAATAAATATTTACCATGTCACAGTTCAATTAGAGAATGAATGTATGAATACATAGCTGGGTCACAGCTTCTTAACCTGAGAAATTAAGGTCTCCATATAACTCATCTCTGAGGTCTCTCACAGTGCAAAGAGGGAACAAGGTTATGCCTCATACAACACCAAGAGAAACACACCGAGGTCCTGCCCTGCAGGGTCTGCCTGCGCGGTGGAGAGGGCTGCAGTAGGGGGAGGAACAAAGAGCGGTAGGAATGGAGACGAGGGGTTTTGTGTAGCTTGCAGGGTGTTAAGAGGGTGCTGGGGAGAGCTTCAGGCCAGGGCCGTCATTCCTTCTAGTTGGTCTTAAAAAATGTGTTGAACTTGTCCAGGTGTGGTGGCTCATGCCTGTAATCCCAGCACTTTGGGAGGTCGAGGCAGGTGGATCACCTGAGGTCGGGAGTTTGAGACCAGCCTGACCAACATGGAGAAACCCCGTCTCTATCAAAAATACAAATTAGCCAGGTGTGGTGGTGCATGCCTCTAATTCCAACTACTTGGGAGCCTGAGGCAGGAGAATCACTTGAACCCAGGAGACGGAGGTTGTGGTGAGCCGAGATCGCACCATTGCACTTCAGCCTGGGCAACGAGAGCAAAACTCCATCTAAAAAAAAAATGTGTTGAACTTGACTGGGTGAATGATGAAGCCAGGCTACTCAAGGGAAAGGAGGGACATGAAGATAGGACTTGGAAGTGAATGCCACCTGAAGAGAGGAAACAGACTGGTAACAGTGGGAGCAGGGGCGGGTGAAGGGTCTGCAGAAGGAGCAAGAACCATGTGTCGGTCTGAACTCGTAACGCTCCCTTTCTCTGCTGAGAAGATGCATCCAGAAGGCTTGGATTCTGCAGGCAATTTGGAGCCACAAAGGCTTTTATTAGAGGGGGACTTGAATTTTGGGGAAGGATGGTCGGTATTGTGTGAAGGATGGTGTGAATGGGGTGAGCCTAGCAGCTGGGGACCCCCTGTGAATAGCCCACAGAAATGACAAAGGCCTCAAATTTGCAGAGGCAGTAGGAATAGAGAGGGAGACAGGTTTCAAAAAATTAATAGAGAAACTTGACAAAATATGGTTATTTAATACACCTTTCACTCAATTGATTCTAAAATCTAAACTCAGTCTCTGAGATCAAACACTGTCAACGTGCCTGGCACAGCGCCTGGCTCCTGGGTCTGCACAGGTTGGTTGGACCTGAGCACGAATCAGTCCAAATGTGAACCTTTGGTTTGCTTCTTTTCAGAGCCAGGGAAAGCTGGCAAGGGACAATTGGAACCAAAAACAGCATATGTTCGAAGGAAGGTATTAAATTGGCTCAGATTTCTCATCTCTGGGCCAACATGAACTTTTACAGGCAAAAATTCTTGAATTTATGTAGAATTGCGTCTTGCCTGAGAAAGGTACATTTCTAACACCTTGAACCACAGAAAAGAGGAGGTGGCTGGACCCCTGATCACACTCAAGCTTCATCTAATGCCAAACAGAACAGGTTGGCCTCACCTTCAATCTTAGCTCTGTCTGACACTTACAGAGTCATCAAATGCCTTGGCTGTCTCGCCGTCTGGTGCTGTTAGGGATTATCTAAACAGGGAGAATCTCAGGAGCGGGAGGGGAGCTGAAACACATCTCCATGTGCAGAATGTGCAGGGACAGCCCCAGGCAGGTGGGCGTTTCTCTCGAGGGAAGTGAGAATCCAAGAAATGGAGAGATTAGGCAGCCATCTCAGGATTGCAAATCTAGTGTGTAGTAGGAGTGAGCTGGGGCTGGGAGTGGAGAACTGGACAGGCCTGAGTTATTACATACGCAGTTCCTAAAACCCTGCCGGACCTGTTCAGTACTGAAGGGTGCTTGGCTCACTCCTGGCCCCTCAGTGGGTCTCCCTCCCAGTGGTGAGCATTTCCTCTTGGAAGGTTTGCTCTTGTACTACTTTATCAAGGGAACTTTGATAAAGCTATGATGATGGGGCATCTTACTAATTTTCATCTTGACAGATTTCTTATGGAGTTTATTTAGTGACCCAGCTTGGAAAGGTATTCTGGGAGCCAGTGCCAATTCAAGGGGCAGGTGCTTGTATGTGTGTGTGTGTGTGCAGGTGCTGTGTGAGCACACAAGAGCACGCAAGGTGGGGTGGGGGGATGTTGGTGAGAGTTTGTCGCTGTGTATCCTGGCCATTTGCACATTATACAAGCATAGACAACATTAAGACTGGGCCTGTATGCTTGGGCGTTACTGTCCCCAGGGTCCCAGCCACCTGTGCTTTGCTCAACCCCTTGGAAGCCTGGGAGGATCAATAACTGGGTACCCGGCCCCCATCCTCAGGAAAGGCACACAGCCTGGCATAGAGAAAGCCCCATGTCAGGTTCTGCACCCTCCCTAAAGGTGAGCAGCAATGCTTTAGGGTAGAGAGGCGACCAGAAGCCTCAATAGAAACAAACCATGTTTGTTAATGATGATGGGGTCCCAGGAAAACATTTCTGCCTTTAAAATAATGATGAAAATTTTAAATGGATTTCTTTTGGTAAAAAGGGTACAGGACTCAGAGTCAGAAGGCCCAAGTGTGGGTATGTCCTATGAAAGGGAAATTATCTTGGGCTCCCAAAATCACTAAAGAAAACTTAAACTGGAAACTGCTTAGGGCAAACCTGCCTCCCATTCTATTCAAAGTCACTCCTCTGCTCACTGAGATGGATGCACATCCGATTTGCCTCCTTTGGAGAGGCTAATCAGAAACTCAGAAGAATGTAACCATTTGTGTCTCACCTATCTGTGACCTGGAAGCTCCCTCCCTGCTTCCAGCCTCCCCGCCTTTCCAGACCGAACAATGTACTTCTTACATGTTGACTGATGTCTCATGTGACCCTAAATGTGTAAAACCAAGCTGTGCCCCGACCACCTTGGGCATGTGTCGTCAGGACTTCCTGAGGCTGTCGCGGGCACGTCCTCAACCTTGGAAAATAAACTTTCTAAATTAACTGAGACCTGTCTCAGACTTTCTGGGTTCACAGTCCTATAGAGTTGACTATTTGTCTCTTGATCTTTGTGTGCTGTGTGCCTCAGTTTCCTCTCTCCCATCTACTAGTCACTCAACAAACACTTCCCGGGCATCTTTTATCTGTGGGGCACTGTGCTGGGCCTTAGGAGGAAACAGTTTCCTACAGGATAATATGGAAGGGGCAAAGAAGAGTCAAAGATAATCCCTACACATGGGTGGTTTACAATCTTATGGGGAGCTAATAAGTATACACAGATGGTAGTGACACACTGCCAGAAAAGATAAATCCATAGAAATGTTGTAAACAAAGTACAGTGGAGCCAAGAGGAAGAAACAATTACTTCAGAATGAGAGAACACATGTCTGGAAGGATCCACGGAGGAGACAGTATTTCAATTGACCTGGGAGGAGGAGGAGAAGAATTTCAATCAGGGAAAAGGAATTTGCAGTGAAGGGAACCTGCTGTCGTGCAGGGGCTGAGGCCACAGAATGGGCAGCTTCCCTGGCAGAGAAATCCCAGTGGAAAGCCAAGGGCATCAGGGTGCTCCAGGCCCAGCAAGGCACAGGGAGTTTGGAAAATGCTTCCTGGCAGTGGTGCAGGCTGGGTCTGTGCCTGCAAGGTGGCTGGTGACAGCCCTGCAAAGCAGGGAGCCCTCCTACTGGTGGCGGTGAGCTCGATGACTCAGTGCTCCATCCAGTCCTCCTGCTGCCCGAGGTGGTCAGTGCACGTAGAATGTGGCTGGGACCTCGGTCCTCCATCCAGTCCTCCTGCTGCCCGAGGTGGTCAGTGCAGGCAGAGCGTGGCTGGGACCTCAGTGCTCCATAGGGGCAGCCCTTCTGAGGAGGGTTCTTGGACGGCGTCTGCTCCTGGCACCTGAGTGTGCCTGGCTGCCACCTGAATGAGGCCTCCGTAAACACAGAGTCTACTGTGTGCAGGGCCTGGCCCGTGCCTCTACCTCAATGATATGCAGCCCCCACCCACCCTTCACTAACATGTCATGAAGTTGCCTTCTTTTCCTGCCTGGCCCAAGGCAGTCACCATTTGGGCCATTCATCTGAACAGACAACATCCAGATGCTGTCTCTTGGACCTGGTTTGGAAAACTGGGCAGAGGAGGTCTGTGTTCCCCGGGCCTTTTCCACATTGTCTTATTTCCCACTAATGGCTAACTCTCTCCAGGGATCCAGGAATCCAAGCCTGGAGAAGACCCCCTTGTCCTCCCTCTGCACCTGCTCAAGGCCAACCTGGCCAGAAAGCAGGAGGAGGGAGGGCTTCCGGAGCAGCATGAGAGGTGAGCTCCCTGGCAGCTCTGAGAAAGGATAGAGGGAGGCCAATGCATGACCAATGGCGACCAGCACTTACAAAGCCTCTGAAGGCACGAAGGACTTGCCATCTCAAATATGCTGGATTGGGGTACTGATTATTTCCAGTGGAAAACATTGAAGAAATTGTAGTTTCAGAAAGTGTGAACTGACCTGTCTCTTTCTACACGTGGCAAGCCATACAGCTTCCTCTGGGAGGGGTACCCTGTCCACACCAGGGCGAGAAAATAGCCCCCATTACCAGAGGCCGTGCACTGGGGCTGCAATGGACTGGCTGAGGTAACCTTCACCTTCCGCTAGTCGTCCACCCCCATACATGTCTCCTCGTGACTCTCCTGGAAATGTGCTGCCCCTAGCCAGATCCCCTGTGTCCTGTCATTTCGTCTCAAACACATCATTTTTGCCTAAAAAGTATATAAGCATCTTGCTTTGGCCACTTCTTTGGATCCGTTGTGAAGATCCCCACGCACATGTAAAGTCTACTTAGTGTCAATTTGGTTTCTAGATCCAGCCGAAGAGCCCACATCACAGCTAAGGGAGGATGGGGAGGGGGTCTCTGACTCCCCTACACCTCTGAAGGCTGCACTGAAGCCCACTCCCCATTACATGGCAACCTGGAGAGCCCAGCCCTGTCCCTAAACAGACAGAAACTGGGGGAAAGCAGTACAATTCATGTGTGTCAGAGAGATCCCCATCTGGTGCAGAATGACACCAAATTGTTCCTGTACCAGTTTCTCCAGGGCTCCTGCTGAACCCGCGCGATGGCAAGTCTTTAATGATGAGTGCCACCTTCCATGGGAATGCATGCCTGGCTCATTCTTAGTCTATCAGATTGACTTTATTGAGTGTGATAAAGGAAGTGTAGGGACCGGGAAGTTGTATATGTTCTCTTCACTGACGGCAGCCTGGGACAGGTGAAAACACCCAAACTTAAGCCAGCCAGACCTGAGCTCCAACACTGCAATGTCATAGAAATGCTACCTGTGCCACAAGAAGTTTGAGAGAACTCAACATTCTACATATATATGTATATAATGTATGTGGCACCTGCTCTGAGCCAGACACGCCTGACCTCAAGTGATCCACCCTCCTTGGCCTCCCAAAGCGTTGGGATTATAGGTGTGAGCCACCGCACCCGGCCCTTTTACTTATTTTAGGTTGGTGCAGTAAAGCTCCAGATAAATATATGGAACAATGATAGTGCTTAGTGAGAAGGAAGGAAAGATTGTGTCTCAAAAAATGCAATTTCATCTCTCTGGATAGCAGTGAATTACCTCAATTCACCTATGTGGAAACTCTGTGATACTGAATAAAAACACCTTCTTCTCAGCCCACACTGGTCCTAAGTGCCTGAGGGGATGTGAGTTGAGGAGAAAATGACAATGAGGTTTTGACTCTTCTGCACAACTCCCCAGGGCCGCTTATCACTTCCCTGGTCTTAATGTCACTTCCTTGAATAATCACCAGATTCCTCCATTGATAGAAACTTGCAAACATGGCAATAGGGGAGCATTTAAGTATTTATGCTGTGACACTTCACCCTGAAAAGGAAGTGGTTGTCATTAGAATCACTCGTGACATGGGCATGCAGATGGAGGAGAATCGTGGGCAGGAGGGCGCCTACCACTCATCCAGGCCTGGAAGGAGAATAACGTCTGTGTGTGTGTGAGCCCCAAGGCTCCTGCTCATTGCAGAGGGAACGCAGTGGTCATGCCTGGCCCCCGCTGGGCTCAAGACAACAATTCTGCCTGGGAGTCTGGAGTCAGCTCTGGAAGCTGTGTGGAAGTCACAGAGGAGGGACTCCACGTGCCATCATCCAGGTTGGTCTTGGTGAGCCCTGCAGTTCCAAATGCTCAACTAACACTATAATATCCCTGACTGACCATGAGGATTCCCCTGAAATGCACCATGCCCTGGATTCCTAATGCACAGCTGAGGTCCTTCTTCCTTTCACATATCCTCCTGCCTTGAGAAGAGTTCGATTCAGTCCTCCCCACCCCCATGGATGGGCACCCAGCCAGGAGACAGAACCCCAGACCAGTCCACTGCAGGGAGTCTCCATTTATCTGTCTCCCACCACAATGCTTACCATTTCAGGGAGTGCTTGAGGAAGCTGCTAGGGGCCTCCCCAGAGAAAGCTTGACAGCTGACTCCTCTGAGGGATAGGCTGTGTTCTGGGTTGCTTATTCTGATCTGGACCACCACATCCCTGCCTTCTGGGCAGATAATTACAGAGAGTCAGTGTCCAGCTCAGGGCAGTGGTGGGGAAGGGTGCAGGCCACAACCAGCCTTACATCTGGGCCCTGGCAGGAGGTTCTTCTAGAGGAGGAGCAGAGAGCAGAGGTTGCAGGTGGCAGACAGTGGTCCTCAGAAAGGAGCCCAAGATGCCTGTGGTCACTGTGCTTTGAGGGTGGGAGCTCTCCACTGCTTCAGTGTTCCAGGGTAGTCCCAGCCTACTGCAACCCTGGGCGGCAGGGTACCCTGCCCTGGGGTAAGGCTGAGAAACTGGCTAGTACAACACCAAATGTGACCTTGTAGGGTAATGTGAGAGCCAGGGATTTTAAATGCAGGTGCAAGCTTATGGCCTAGCTGTGTTTCTCTCCCTCTCCCCATGATTTCTAAGGACTCTTTACCATAGTAGGATAAGATGAGAATATCAATATTTAATTCTCATATTTGTTTCCAATATTCTGTTGGTCTGTTTCCCTTTTACCATCATTTATGTTATTTGTGAAGCACAGAAGTTAAAAAATATTGCATTCAAATAAACGGATTGCAAATATTTTCTCCTTTTCTGTGAGTCGTGTCTTCACTCTATTGATTATTTTCTTTAGTGTGCAGAAACCTTTTGATTTGATGTAATCTCATTTGTCTATTTTTGCTTTTGATACCTGTGTGTGGAATACAACATGCTTTTTCTAGCTTTATTGAGGCATAATTGACAAATAATGATTGTGTATATTTATGGTACATGATGTGATGATTTGATATATGTGTACATTGTGAAATGATTGCCACAGTGAAACTAATTAACAAATCCATTACCTCACATAATTATCCTTTCTGTTTGTGGTTAGAACATTTAAGATCTATTTTCTTAGCAAGTTGCAGGTACGTTATGATTAACTTTTGTCACCATGCTGTACAATAGATCTCCAGAACTTAGTCCTCCTGCCCAACTGAACCTCATGTCCCAAAAATCATTGCCCAGACCAATGTCAAGGGGCTTTTTTTCCTGTTTTCTTCTAGAAGTTTTATAGTCTCAGGACCCAAGTCCTTACCCATTTTGAGCTGATTTTTCTATGCAGTGTGAAGTAAGGGTCTAATTTCGTTAGTCCACATGCAGATAGCTGGTTTCCCAATGTATTTTATTAAGAAGATTGTCCTTTCCCATGGTTTATTCTTGGCACCTTTGTTGAAAATCAGTTGACCATAAAGGCATGGGCATATTTCTGGAGTCTGTTGTGGAGTCTATTGTGGTCTGTTGTGTTCCACTGGACTTTACGTCTGTTTTTATGTCCGTTAACATCCAAAATACAAAAGGAAGTCAAACAACTCAATAGCAAGAAAACAACATAATTTAAAAATGGGCAAAGAACATGAATAGACATTTCTCAAAAGATATACAAACGGCCAATACATTTATGGAAAAAAAAGCTCAACATTAATAATCATCAAGGAAGTTCAAATTAAAACCACAAAGAGAAACTTCTTCACACCTGTTAGGGTGGCTATTCTAAACCAACCAACCAACCAAAAACAAACAAACAAAAAACCCAAGATAACAATTATTGAAGAGGATATGGAGAAAAGGGAAGCCTGTTGGTGAGAATGTCAATTAGTACAGCCACTGTGGAAAAAAGTCTAGAGGTTCTTCAAAAAAATTAAAAATAGAACTATTATATGATCCAGCAATTCCACCTCTGGGTATACGTTCAAAGGAAGTGAAGTTAGGATGTCAAAGAGATGTCTGCACGCTCATGTTCATTCCAGCATTATTCACAAGAGCCAAGACATTAAAACAACCTAAATGTCCATTTATAGATGAATGAACATGAAATATTATTCTGCCTTGGAAAATAAGAAATCTTGTAATTTATGACAACTTGGATGAACATGGAGGACGTTGCGCTAACAAAACAAGCCAGGCACAGAAAGACACACACGATATGACTCACAAATACCACATAATTTATACATGGAATTATAAAAAGGTGAACTCATCGAAGCCAAGAATTAAATAGTAGCTTCCAGGATCTACGTGGAGCAGGGAACGGGAAGGTGTTACAAAGTTTCAGGTAGGCAGGAGGAGTAAGTTCTGGAAATCTGTTTTACAAGCTGGTGACTACAATTAATAATAATGTACGAGACACTTGCAAATCCCACCCCGGCCTGCAGAGGCGCTGTCCCGCCCCCAACCCAACCACGGGCATTTGCAACACGGGCGGAAAAAAGAACCAAAACTTCCTAAGGCCCCACTTTTTTCTAAAAGGTACTTTAAAAAAAACTTGTTTGTATTTTTTGTTTACATTTTACATTTGTGTACACATGGTTAGGGTCAGCCGTTTTTGATGATCTGGAATGACCAAACCAGCCTTCAGAGTGCGCTCTGTCCTACTTCTTGACTTTGCCTGTGGTGTAACCATGCTCACTACAACCTCAAGAAAAAACCTTGTAGGAAAATAAAAAACGGCAACAAAATGCCAATCTTCTTCCGAGCATTCCAGTAACTTGTTAGTGTGTGTACTTAGCTGTACTTACCATAAGTGGTTGGTTCCTATGAGACCGTTTAAAAGGCCAAAAATAAAAGGTCTTTTTTTTTTTGTCCATGAAGATGCTGTTTATTTATTTATTTTTAGCCTGTTTGATGTAAATGTGAGACAGTGTTATCCAACAATAAGCAGGAATTTTATTTTGTTGAGTTGTTCTTAAGCAACAAAAACAGTAACTAAAAAACCCTCGGGGTCAGATTACATGATCTGAGACACTGCCGAACTTAACATCCAAGAAGCGCAGGCTTTGTGGCGGGTCTTTGCAGAGTGATGATTTTACTCTGATTTTACTCTGGGGTGAATGGAGTCCACTATTCCCTGGGGCAATGTTTTTTCTCCTCCCCTCTGAACTCTCCCAACCTCTGTGGTTGCCAGATAAAACACAGGATGCTCAGTAATTCGTTTAATTTTCAAGTAAACAACAAATACTTTTTCAGAATAAGAAGGTCTCAAATATTTCATGGGACACACTTACGAGAAAATATTACCTGTTTATGTAAAATTTAAATTTAACTGTGTACTCTGTATTTTTAAATAATTGTTTCATTTTAGAGTAGCTGGAGAATATATGTTGCCAATATGGTGCGAGGGTCCCCACACACTCCTTGCACAGTTTTCCTGCTGTTAGCATTTTATGTGAGCATGCCTCATTTGTCACAGTTAATGAACACATCAACATGCTATTATCAACAAGGACACGTCACTGTTCCCCAAATCCACTCCCTCATTTTCTTAGTTTTCCCTGTCCTCTTTGTTTCCCAGGGTCCTATCCAGGATCCCACATGACATTAGCCCGTCTGCCCAGCCTCCTCTTGGCTGTGACAGTCTCTCAGTCTTTCCCTGCTTCTCATGGCCCAGGCGCTTTTGAGGTCAGGTGTGATGTAGAATTTTCCCCAGTCGGGATTTGTCTGATGTCTTCCTTGTGATTAGACTGGGCTGCGGTGTGGCGTGAGCCCGCAGAACTGCAGTGCCATCCCATCACAGTGTGACGAGGGCACACCCTACTATCCTGACAGGTCACTGTGGATGCTGACTGAGATCGCCAGGCTGAGGGGTGTGTAAGGCTTTCCCATTGCAAAGTTCACCTTTTCCCTCCATTTACATATTGTACTCTTTCAAAGAAATGTCACTGTGCACAGCCCTGAGCTGGGGAGTGAGGGGTTCTGTTCTGCTTCCTTGAGGTACTCTGTGGATTTTTGGCTAAATCTGGCAGCCCTCCTCACCCTTCAGTGGATCCTCCACTCTCCTCCACTGTCCTGGCTTCCTCATCCACTCCAGCCCAGGCAGCATTCTCCCTCTTTGCAAGCCAGGAGCACTAGGAATTTACAAGCCAGGATGCCTCACCCCAACCCCCTGCATAGCTGCCCTCTGATCACATACCTCAGACGAGACTGTCAGCTTCAAAGGGCAGAGGCCGTTCTTGGGTGACCGCTGACATCCCGGAGCACCTGGAAAGGAGCCAGCCGCAAACACCTGTCGGTCTCACTTGATGAACATCCTAACTGCAGGCTTCTTTTTCCCTGGACAGAGCAGACAGCCCTTCCAGAGTCATCACGAGCCCGGAAGCTGTAGTTCCCTCCTGAGCAGGGGAATTGGGTACCCCGATTTGTATCAGTTTCACAGGGTGAAGGAAAGGCCCCTGATGGACACACCATCCTATTTGTCCTCTGCGAGGCCAGTGATGACTGGCCAAGCAGCAGGAGGTACCAGTCACCCCAGGACCTGTGCCTACGTCTGTGCCAGGGTTCATCCTCATGCTGACTCCTGGTGAGGATGCTTGAGGCTGACTGGTCTGGAAACCAGCGTGGGATGGCATCCCATCCAGACCTTGCCTCTTGCAAGGCTGTCTTTCGCTTAACAGACTGAGGCCATGGTGCCCTCTGAGTCTCTGGCTCTCCCTGGCCTCCCTTTCAGGAAGATCTTCCTAGAGTCTATCCTCAAGCTTTCTATGGGCAGAGGACACTCTTCCCATCCTGGTCTACATCTCTGCAGAAAGGGCAGACCCTCCCCACATACCCTGAGAGTACCAGAGTTTAGCCTTGCGCCTCTCCCATTGCTCGGACTCCATAACACAGAGCTGTCCCTGGGACAAGAACACACCTTTCCAGAGATCGGGTCAGCCTGGTTAGTCCAGGTGGCCAGCGATCCTGGAATAGAGTTGAGTGGTCGATGGTGGCCACCTTTGTGGGGAGGAGGTCCAGGTCTTCAGATCTTGTGAACCAGACGCGAGTAGGTTCTGAGGCAGGGCAGCCCACGGTGCTGGGTGGTATCATCTGGCCTCACAGTGACCGGCCAAGGGCTCGGGGAGCCAGGGTTCCTGGCAAAAGCCAGCGGGGACGCCGGGTGTTCTGGGAGAGGCTGGTCTGTCCGTAAGCTGGCCCGGCTTTGATATGGAGCTGCACGTTCACCTGGAGGCAGGGTCCTAAAGGTAGAGAGGCTGCTGCGCCCCTCCTTGCTCTTTCCAAGCAGACCTGGCCTGCAGGAAAGGCCTCACACTGGGACAGGCTGGAGAGGCCACTGTGGTTGGGGAAGGTTCCAGGAGGGCAGGCGTGGAGGGAGCACAGGAACTGGGGGAGCCTGCTACCACCAGAGAGTTGGGGGAGTCCGGGTAGAGTCCAGCGTCCTGGGGAGTCGCAGCAAGGTCCTGCCGTGCCCACGGCCTGCTGCGTGGCTCTCCACGGTATCCTGGTCTCTCTGAGTTCCCTTCCCCATGGACAAGGCCATGGTGACAGCTCCACAGAAGCCTCCTGAGCATGGGAACCTGAGACAGTGCTGGGCCTCGGTGCTCCAAGGTGGGTCCTGGACCCCCAGGCTGGCTGAGCGGGAGCCTTGATCTGGAGGGAGTGGCCCTTGCCAAACCCGAGGAGGGCAGAGGCCTGGAGAAGCCTCACCTTGACAGGGGCTGAGGCTCTGAAGGTGGTGGGGAGGACTCTGAACCCCCTTGGGCCACCTGCCATTAAGAAATGGCAGGCACTTAAGCCAGTGTGCATGCTACACCTGGCTGTGTCAGCCCATCCTGGGAACGGGCCCTGTCTGGGAACGCCCCACCCCTGTCTGCTGCAGCGAGGTGAAGATCAGCACCTTGCCAGCATCCCCTGGCAGCCCTTTCTGTCTGTGCTATGAATTCTCTCTCACTTTTTCTTTTACCCAACACCATCTACATGGCTGTTCGTGCACAGGACTTTGATTTCTGTGATGTGCTCTGATGTGCGTCGACTGTATTTTATCTACCCATGACTGCACTGCTGGCTCCTGCAGCCATCAGAACCAACCTTTAATTAACATCACTGTATATACGGCTTATAGATTCAAAGGAGTTATTGAAGTTAGTCTTAAGACAGAATCCAAATGATGGGGTTTTATGCACTGGAAATGGCCCTTGAGGGGAAGGATGAGATTACCATTCCTGGGGAACTGTGGGGCTACGGTGGTGGAAAGGGGAGTTGCTGGTAATCCCTTCCCTCATTCTCACCCAGCGTGCATAAAATGCTGCTTCCTTTCCTAGCACATGTGCATTCCAATTCCTCCATTCTAATTTGATATATTTTTATCCAGGCACACATCTCCTCTGACAGGCAGGTGTCATTTGCTGGATTCTCTTTCTACCTTTTCTCTAAAACCTTTACTCATTTGCCAATCTTGGCAGACAGCTGGCATAATTTTTTATAGGTCCGGAATTTTATAATAGACTGGCATTATTTTGAGTTCTGGATGCCCCCATTTTTTAAAATGTCTTAAGAAAAGTCTCTGAGATATGGAAATGAAAACATGAAAAAGTTTAATTTCCTGCCTGAAATGGAGATGAAGAAGAGAAAATGTCAGAACAAACACAGATTAATTAATAGTAATATAAATTATCCTTTTTCTTTAATGAAAGAGGAATCATGCTTGGCAGATGTATGAGGGAAAATGCCTGCCTGGCTCTTGGATTTAGAGAAATCTGAATTTGCATCCTGGCACTGTGTGACCTTGAAGAAGTTATTAAGTGCCTCTAGGCCTTCATTTTTAAATATATAAAATAGGGATGGCTTTCTGCACTCATAGGACTTGTGTGAGGATTAAACGAGATACGATATCAGAGGATACCTCATGTGGGTTCAGGCACTGATTAGCATCTGAGCTTTGCCATCATCCTTAAGCTACAGATTGGATGGAGGAAGGTCAGCGTGAACCAGCCTGAGGGGTCCTGCGGTTCCTGTGGAAGGCTCACCTGTGGAGGGGGACAAAGTCCTTCTGAGCACCCACGCTGAGGCTGGGTTTCTCTGAGGCCCCCAGCTGACTGTGGACGCAAACACCCCCTGCTTCCCCCTCTCGCCAGGAGCTCCTGACCCTGTGAGCTCCAGGCAGCTCTTTACTGAACAGATCTTGATACCCAGGGGAACATTTCCTGAAGCAATTGCACGCTTGCATTTTATGCTTGGAAATTCCACTTAGGCTGTGCTCCTAGGGAAGGAGTCTGGACCCTGCCTCAGACCAGGGGCCCTCCAGCTGCCCCCTGTGATCCTGTCTCTCTGGAGGGGATGCTGTGCTCACCCCAGGCATTCATGGGGGCCCCTGGAATCCTCTACCAGATCAGATTAGCTAAGAGCTAGAGCTGGTGCCAGAGCAGACTGGGAACCACCTGGTGGCTAAGACCATTTTCTCCAGCTTCCGTGATGGTGTGACTAAGTGTGGCCCGAGGGGAGAGAGGGGAATTAATAATTGGTTCCGAGGTAAATTGATAGAGGAGATATAATGAGGAATGCTGACTTTGTGTGATATTGCTTGGTGCTCCTGTGCAATGATTGGATTTGCAAAGTCCGTGACTCAGCTCGTTCTTTGGGAAGTGAACCCTTAAAAATTGAGAGCTAATGAGAGCAGCCGTGTCCCTCTGATGCCAAGGTTCAGAACCTGGAGCCACGTGGGAGAAAGGCCATGAGAAATGGAGAAGAGTCTGCATCAGAAATGGCATGAGGGGCCCTGCAAACTGACCCCATTCCTTCTGGAATCGCTTCTCCTCTGGCTGGTAAGTGTGTACTTCTTTCTCCCACAGGCTCCTGTAAGTGGTGCTGGCTCTGCTGTCCACCCAAGGCAGCCGTCCCTGTGAGCCCCTGGTGAGCCGGGCTCCCGCCCTGTGAGGTACACACCCTGCAGGCGCAAGAGGGGTGCAGATGGGCTGAGTGCTGGGGGGATAAAGGCAGGAGGGGACTGAGAGGAAGGCTGGGTTGGACCGGGAGCCAGCTGGGCAGGGGCATTTATTGGGCACCACCGGGGCATACACAGTCCGGGTGCTACCTGAAGTGTGGAGCAGGGTGAGGACAAGAAAATGGAGAAAAGAAAAATCCCTGCTATTGGGTAGCTTAAGACTTGTGCTGGAAAATCAGTGGATCTGAGCAAGGTGCAGAGGAAGAGTGTGAGTCCAGGAATGCAGCAGTTGATGCTCCAGGCCTCACAGCGCTGGGCCCAGGGCCGGCTGACTGCACTGTACACCCAGACAGGGCAGCTCAGGGTGGAGTTATCGCAGGCCTCATCCAATTAGAGACTAAAAGTGTCCCCTACTCTTACTGTTCATGGTGACCTTGTGAGTCACCAATCTTCTATCTGATGCTAAATATTATTTTAATGGGTTTTGATATTTTAAATATAAACCATAGACGCACTCAGAACAGATGATTCTTATTTTATCACGTGGCTTTCTGAAGAGCTGTGCGTGTAGCTCTATGCAGGTAGATCTGGGTGAAAGCAACGGTGCAAAGTGGCTTCTGCCCTTCCAAGCTTTGGCAACTCAGCAGGGAGGTGCTGGTTCCTTCTCCCACCTACGCTCCCTGTCAGGGCTGATCCTCAGTAATGGGCAGTGTGGTCCTCGCTTTTTCACCTGTTATCTGTCACCGACAGCAGCAAATCAGGCAAGGGCTGTGCAGAGCCCACACAGGGAGCATGGCAGAGCAGCGGCCCTGAGGCTGCAGGATGGAGCCAACGCATCTCTCAGTTAAGAGCCAGGGGTCTGGGTTCCTTTCCACCTTTGCACCATCAAGCGGTGTGGCCTCTTACAAACCCTCAGTGCTGGTATCCTTGGTCCCTTCTGATTGCCACAAAGGGTCAGGAGTGGGGGCTGGACCACAATGAGAAAGTCCCTTCAAATTGTGACCATTTGTGGTTGAACTGTGTGACTTACAGCACGGAGATTCTGAGTCGCTTTGATAGGAGCTAGAGTTTCAAGGTTAAAAACAAGGTGAGTACAATATTGAGATAAGTAGATTCTAGATTCACCCTTGGAGACTGGCACAGTTTGTAGGTGTGGAGGAATGGGAACACAGCCCTGAGATCGAAGATGAACAAAAGGGAATAATCCAAGAGGAAAAGCTCAGAGGGTGGGTAGGTGTGGGGACAGGAGAGGCAGGACCAGCCCTGAAGAGCACAAGTAAATGTGGCCTGTCCTCGTCTGGAGCTGCTGAACACCCCGAGACACTGAGAGGGGAGGGGTGAGGTCACCTCCCCTTCCCAGGCCTGTGTGTGGGTCTCTCTCTCTGTGACACACACACACACACACACACACACACACACACACACACGCACGCACAGCATGAGGTATGCACATGGTCTCAGCTGACATCTGAAAGCATGGGAGTGCTTTATCTGCGCTGAGATCTCTCCCGCCGTCTTCCTGGGAGAGGAGGAACGGGTGCTTTACCACAGCCGAGCGTTAGGGGGCGCCAGAGGAGCTGATATCGGACTTGCTTAGAGGAAGATTTAGAAATGATTTTTGCTCAGAAAGGAAAAGCCGGGAGCATAAACACATCAAAAGGCCTCTGCAGCTGTGCTCCCTGCTAGCGAGGGGCTGGCCCTGGCTGAGTCCTCTGGTGGCTGTTGGAGATTTCCAGCCTGCCTCAAAGGGCCGTGCTTCTGCTCCAGCGCCAGGAGCCAAGGCTAGCCCAAGGTCATACAGATTTTTTTCCTGTTTTCTTCTCAAAGTTTTATAATTTTTGATTTTACATTTATTTCTATGATCTACTGTGAATCAAGTTTTGTATATGGTGTGATAAAGCTCATTTAATACATAACGAATTGTCTCAGCACTGTTTGTTAAAAAATACTCTTTTTTTTTTTCTGCTGAAACGCCTTTGTACTTTTGTGGAAAATTAATTGTGTATATATACTTGGGTCTATTTCTGGCCCCCCTAGTTTCTTCCCATGGGTCTATTTATTATCTGCATTTATGACAAGATCACACTGGTTTGAGTATTGCAGTTTTATAGTAAGTTTTGAATCAGATGTTAGGCCTTTAACTTTGTCTGTTGTACTTTCTGATAAATTTTAAAATGATGTTATTACGCATATATTCAGTAGTTTGATTTAGCTGTTCCACAATGTATATACATTTATCAATCTTCTTGTACACCACAAATATTTATAAATTTTGTCAATTGAAAAAATAAACAAAAATGTAAAACAAATTATTTAATGAATTTCTTAAACAATATTTCTGGGACTTGGAATTGCATCAAATATATAGATCAATTTGGGCATATTTGGTAAGATTATTGGGTCTTATGACCTATGGACATGGTGTATTTTCTCTGTTACTTAGGCTTTTTATTTTCACTCAGCATTACTTTATAGTTTTCGGTGTATAGGTGTTGCATGTCTTTGCCTTACTTGATGCTAAATATTCCTACTTTTTATCTTATTCTAAAGTGTATTCTAAGCATTTCAAGTTCCAAATATCGTTTGTAAGTATTACAGAATAAAGTTTATTTTTTGACATGAATACATGCTTTCAGATAGGCTTTATTTTTTAGAACAGTTTTAGATTTACCAAAAAATTGAGAGGGTAATATAGAGTCCCCTACCCCCGCACCCAGGTTCTCCTATTGTAAATATCTTACATTAGCATGGACAGTTGTCACAACTGATGGGCCTATGCTGATGCAGTAACTAAAATCCACACTCCATTCCAGTTTCTTTCATTTTCCCCTAACGCCCTCCCCCGTTTCAAGATCCCATGCGGAATCCTAGGTTACTTTCAGTCGTCATGTCTTCCTGGCCTCACTTGGCTATGAGTGGCTCAGGCTTCCATTGTCTTGGACAATCTTGACAGTTTTGAGGGCTACTCAGGTGTTCTATAGAGTGTCCCTCACCTGGGATTTGTCTGATGTTTTCCTTATGGCTAGACAGGGGTTATATATTTTTGGGAGGAAGGGGGATCACAGAGGTGAAACGTGCCATTCTCATCCCACTGTATGAAGGTATGGACTCAATGCCAGTGTTCCCAACCTTGGTCATGGTGAAACGTGCCATTCTCATCCTGCTATATGAAGGTATGGACTCAATGCCAGTGTTCCCAACCTTGGTCGTGGTGAAACGTGCCATTCTCATCCCACTGTATGAAGGTATGGACTCAATGCCAGTGTTCCCAACCTTGGTTGTGGGGCTGAGGCAGTGGTCACCAGGTTTCTCCACTGTAAAGCTGCTCCTTTCCCTGCCCCTCATATTGCACTCTTTGGAAGGAAGTCACTATGCACAGCCCATGCTTCAGGAGAGGGGTCATGCTACCCCTTCTTGAGGGCAGGGAATCTACAGGGATTTGAAATTCTTCTGCATGGGACAGTGGTCTCATCTTCCCAAGTTACTCACTTATTCAATCATTTCTTTATATCAGTACGGACTCATGGATATGTACTTTATACTTTGGGCTATAATCCAATAATTGTTTATTTTGTGGCTTAACTGTGTTCTACTTTTGGCCATTGGACATACATTCAGCTGGCTCCTCTGTTTCTTACCATTATCCACATGGTTTTAAAAATGGGTTGGTTTTTCCTTTTTTTTTTTCAGCGCGTTTTAAATTTCTGGGACTATAAGATGTTTCAGGCTTACCTTTTCTATTTCTTGCCCCAGTCTTAGAGTCAACCATTTCTGCAGTAAGCCCTGATTTCTTTTGTGGAGAATGACATTAGAAACCAAGATCTGGGTGCTAGGTACATTTGACTTTTGTATAATGAATGTGTATCCTGCAAACTTGCATTCATTATTATGTGTGTGTGTTTTGTAGTTTTTATTTTTTTTAAATTTAAATAAGCTTGTAATCTGTGAAAATAGGCAGTTTACTCATTTATTTATTTCTACTCAATCTGATTGTCTTCTTCTTCTTTTTTTTTCTAATTTAGCTGTTTAGAACTCCCAAAACAATAATAATTTTAGAGATAAGAACCATACAGTCTCTCCTGTTACTAATTTTAGGGGAAAATATAGAATATTTCAGCATTAAGTATGATATTAATTATAGGTTTTTAATAGATTCCCATTATCAGGTTGATAGCTGAGAGATTTTACTAGGAATAGATGTTGGATTTTGTCTGCATCAATTGAGATAATCACATGGTTTCTCTATTTTAATTACTGAATTACAATGAATGATTGATTTTTGAATGTTTTCTGACACTAAACACCACCACTTTAAGTGGTAAATTCCCAGAAAACTCTCCACACTCCAGAAACCAGCCACATTTGGGGTCCCCAGGCCACCTGCACTTCTGACTAATTGGCTACAAGTATAGAGTACTTCCCAATCTTCCTCAAATTCAATAGTTCAATAAATGACTCACACAAACCATATAAACATTATCATTACAATTTGATTCTAAAGGACACAAATCAAGATCAGCCAAATCAAGAGACACAGGACAAAATCTGAGAGGATCTCAAGCATACAGCTTTCGTGTTTTCTCCCTGTGGGATCAAGCACGTCACTATCCAGGCACATCAACTGGAAGCTCCACTAAGCCTTGGTGTCCAGAGTTTTTATGGGGCTTTATTAGGTAGGCATGATTGAGTCGTGGGTCAGGTGAGTAAACTTCATCTGTAGCCCCTTCACTCCCTGGAGGTCAGGCTGTCTTCAAGCCCCAACCCTCTAATTACACGGCTGGTCTTTCTGGTAAAGCCCCATCCTGAGTCAGTTCATCCTTAGCATAAACTCATATGTGGTCCAAGGGGCTCCTGAATAACAAGGACACTCCTATTACTTGGGAAATTACAGGGATCTAAAGTCTCCCAGGAACCAGGGGAAAAGGCCAGTGGAATGATTCATTATACAATATAACATTGAACCAACTTTGCGTTCCTGAAATAAGCTCCACTAGGTTATGATGCATTTTTTAAAAATGTATTGTTGGGTTCATTTCTATAATTTTGCTTAGAAATTTTGCACCTGTGTTCATGTGGGATGATGACTTACAGTTTTATTTTCTTGTAATGTCTTAGTGTAGTTTTGGGATGAAGGTAATTCTTGCTTCAAAAAATCTATTGGGAAATAATGTATCCTTTTAATTTTTTTGCAGGTTTGTGACAGATTGGCATAATTTCTTCTGTATGTACTTTGTAGAATTCACCAGTGGAACTATCTGGGCCTTCAGTTTTCTTTATGGGAAGGTTTTACAGTAAAAATTCACTTTCTAATATAGAGAGAGGTTTGTTCAAGTTTTATATGACTGTTCTTGCATTGTCTTTGATAGTTTGTATCTTCAAGTAATTTTTCCATCTTATCCAAGCTCTCAAATGCACTGACATAAAGCTGCTCGGGATATTCCGTTATTACCCTCTCAGCCTCTGATCTGCAGTGATGCACCTTCTACCCTTTCTGGTCTTGGTAATTTATGACTCCCATCAGTCCGATGAATTTTTATCAATTTTTAATCTCATCAAAGCTCTTGATTTTCTCTTCTATTAAAATGTTTTCTACCTCATTTTTCCCTTCTTTCGTCTGCATCATTTCCTGTCTTCAAATCACTTTGGATTTAATGTTGGGTTTTCCTTTACATCCAGTTCAAATTATTTTATAATTTCAATTTTTATTTCTTTATTGGCATGAGTGGCTATTTAAATAATAAGTATATTATGTAGTTTTCAAACAATTGGAAATTTTTAAGAGATGCTTTTATTATTGATTTCTAATGTAATTGTATTGTGGTCGGGGAACATATTTTGTATGTGCCTGATATGGTTTGGATGTTTGTTTCCTCCAAATCTCATGTTGAAATGTGTCCCTCAGTGTTGGAGGTGGGGCCTGGAGGAGATGACTGTGTCCTGGAGACAAAGCCCTCATGCACAGCTTGGTGCCCTCCTCATGGTGAAGAGTGAGTTCTTGCTCTATCAGTTCCTGCAAGGGCTGTTTGTTTAAAAGAACCAGGCACCTCCCTCCTCTGTCTCTTGGATTCTCTCTGGCCATGTGGTCTCTGCACACACAGGCTTCCCTTCAACTTTTCACTTTCCACTATGACTGGAAGCTTCCCGAGGGCCTCACCAGAAGCAAATGCTGGCACTGAGCTTTTTGCACAGCCTGCAGAACTGTGACTGTAACTTTTTCTTTATTAATTACCCAGCCTCAGGTTTTCCTTTACAGCAACACAAATGGATGAAGACAATTCCTCCGATTCTTTTAAATGTATTTGAGACTTTTTCTGGCCTATTATATGGTCTGTGTTAGAAAATATTCTGGGTTCAGTTGAAAAGAATGCTTACTGTGATATTTTAGGTGTTAATATTCATTAAATGTCAATTAGATCAAGTTACTTGATAGTATTTTTCAAATCTTCTATATCCTCAACAATTTTCTATTTGTTCTATTAATTATAGACAGAATGATATTTTTCAAATGTGATTAAGCTTGTGATTTTTTTCTCCTAGTCATTCTAAGAGTTTTTGCTTCAGCGATTTCAAAACTCTGTTACTAGGCAGGTATAAAACCATTTAGGATGGTTATGTGCTCCTGATGAACTGATCATTTTTCTTATAATGAGCCATATATTCTTTTTTCTTTGTGTGCCAGATACATTTTTATTGGATGCCAAACATTGTTAATTTTACCTTGTTAGGTGGTGTGTGTTTGTGTGTGTGTCTGTGTCTCTGTGAGTGTATGTGTATATGTGTGTGTGTATACATATATATTGCTGTACGTATTATCTGGCTCTGTTCTGTAATTCCGTCATGTTACTGGAAATTGATTTGGTCATTTTGAGTCATAGGTTGAACTGGAGCTCTATTTGGTGTAGGGGTAGTTATTTTTCACTACAGAGAAAAGACCCTTCTATGTACTGTAGCTGATGTCTCATGTCCTGTGAGGTTTTCCAGTCTGGCTGGTGGAGGCACACACTGTCCTTATTTCTGTGTGAATCTGCTGGACACTGCTGCGTCTAATCCTTTTGGGTATTTTCGTGACAATGGGTAACTTACTTACACCCGTGCACTGATAAGCACCCAATCATCCAGCTTTTATTTTTAATACTAAAGTGAGAAAAGCAAATCTGGGAGGAATTTCACGTGCTCTTTTCAAAGCCAAATGTAAATTTTCTACCTTTTTAGTCTCCACGCCTTTGATTCCCTTTCCCCAATTAGACAGGCACTTGAGGACTGGGTGCATATGTGAATGGGATGAGTCTTTCCTGCCACAGGTCCCCAATTAGACAGGCACTTGAGGACTGGGTGCATATGTGAATGGGATGACTCTTTCCTGCCACAGGTGATGGCACAGGAGGACAGAGTCCAACGGCACCTTGGGACTTGTTCTGGCTAAGGTGCCATATGTGACTTAGGCCACTGTACGCCAAGTGGGTCCCAGGCAGGGATCCATCTCCCTGGAGGGAGGAGAAGGAGTCTCCTGGGACTTATTAATTCTAGTGTCTTATTGATTATTAACAACTTCATACTGATAAGCTCGGCAATTGAAGAGACTTGGATGAGTCCTTGGAAGGACATGGAAGGACGTGCAGATGTGTTTGGGGGGCTTCCAGCTCTTTCTGCAGGTGGAGCTTTTCTGTTCCTCCAGTTGTGCCGCTTATGAGAGACTAGACTCTCTCCATCTTTTCTGTGAGCATCCAGTGGGTTTCATGGAGATAATACCTACAAGAAAAGTGTGGCCTTTCCCCACATCTCCACCCACAGTGGCTTTGCCCTCTCTCAGCAGTGCATAAACAGGCTGCAGCGGAAGACCAGCTGCTCACGACGAACGCTTCTCCCTGGTGCCCCACTGCCTCCAGCCTGAGTTCAGTCAGTACTCAGCTGCAAATCTCGTCTCTAAATCCCAGGCAATGTGGCTGTCCTGTCACCTCAGCATTCCAAGGGGGTCAAGAAAAGTTGTGAACTTGCTGTTTATCTGAATTATTTATTGCAAGTTTGGGAACAACACTCTTTCCAACTCTCCAGGCAGAAATAGGAAAGCCTCTGCATGCTTCTGGAGTACTTTTTGGTATCATTGTTTGCTCCTAAATAGTCTTATTCGCTACACTCTTTATATTTAGTGGTTTTCTTTATACACACACACACACACACGCACACAAACACACACACAAGTTAGCAAAACTTAGCAGTCTAAGTAAACCACTTCCTGTAAAATGCTGGAAACTTAGGAAATTGTTTCATTTACACCTCATGTCCTTTGCACTATTTCTCATGATTTTTGTGCATGTTATAAATCCCAAATGCATGGCTATTATTTTTCATTTAAACAGTTTATTATCTATTTTTTTTTTCCTGAGACAGAGTCTTGCTCTGTCACCCAGGCTGGAGTGCAGTGGTGTGATCTCGGCTCACTGTAACCTCTGCCCCCTGGGTTCAACCAGTTTTCCTGCTTCAGCCTTCTAAGTAGCTGGGATTACAGGCATGTGCCATCATGCCCAGCTAATTTTTGTATTTTTAATAGAGACGGGGTTTCACCGTGTTGGCCAGGCTGGCCTTGAACTTCTGACCTTGTGATCTGCCTCCCTCAGCCTCCCAAAGTGCTGGGATTACAGGCATTGAGCCATCGCACCTGGCCTATTAGCTGAGTTTTTTTTTTAATAAAAATTAAAAATAAGCCTTTAATATATACCTTCTTTTAAAAACATTTCCAACATATATTTTCCTTTCTATAAATACAGTTAACATTTGGTATAATATCATTTAGTCCGAAGAACTTCAACAGGTATGCAGCAACATTTGTTCAGAATATTTTGTCTTAAAATGTTTCTATTTTATGTTCAATTTTGAAGGCTATTTTTGCTGGATAGAGAATTTTAGGTTGACTTTTTTCTTCTGGTGCTTTAAATATGCTTTTGCATCATCTTCAGGCTTGCATTTTTTTTGTTGGTAACCTGCAAACATTCCAATGTTTATCCTTTATAGAGTAAGTCTATTTCTTCCTTCTGACTTCTAGTGTTTTCTTTCTATCACAGTTTTGTAGCAACTTAATTAAAATACACCACGTGTTTTCCGTTAGATATATATTGCTTGGGTTTTATCAGCTTTCTTGATGTTGCCCCACATGGCACAGCCCTGCAAGCTCCAGCAGCCTCCATATTTCTGGATTCTAATCTCTGTCTCCTCACTTCAGTGAGACGACTGTGCCGTGTTTGGTTTCCCTTTCCTTGGAAACCAGAACGGGAAAGGGACTCCAGAGGGGAAGGCATCGCTCAGGTGTTGCAATCCTGTGCTGTGTGTTGTCTGATTTGGGAGGAACTGTTACCCCATGTATCTGGCTCAGCTCTCTCAACGTGCATACATCGGGTCAAGTCTGGTGCCAGTTACTCTGTTAGAGCCACAGCCAGGGCTTTCCAATCACTCCTTAAGGATTCATTGGTTAGACATGCTAGTGCACACTTAGAAGGTTCTTCCCACTGTATAACTACTGCCATGTGATATGTATCTAAAGCAAATGAGGTTTCTCTAGTATAAGGAAACTGGTTTTAAAATAAAAATGCAACCCTTGCCATGCCCTTGAGTTTCCCGTTCTCTGTATTGTTGGGGCTGCATCCGGTAACCAAATTTCTTGCAGGCACTAGCAGATGAGCCCCTTGCTGTCCCTCCACATGCCCCCTCTCCACTTGGGCCCATGTTTGCTCATCTGGACCCCTCTCCTGAGGAGAAACTGGTCTTTCCTCAATTCTGATGAGAACATGTATCCCCAGCCAAGCCCATGGAACTCAAAATGACATGGACCTCAGCTGGCCCTTGCACTGGCTGGCCATGTCCTTCAGCAGAAGGCTCAGCAGGTCCTGTTGTGCTTTGCTAGGGTCAGCGTGAATGAAAGGGAAGGCTCATAATTACGGTAATAAAACAGTTATATTCAGTCGTCGTCATTTTCATGTCAGATGGAGGTAATTATCAGCATTTATAGAGGGTCTGCCAGGGGCCAGGCTCAGAGCTGGTGCTGGGTATACAGTGGTGCATAAAACCAGTGAGGTCTCTGATCCTGCAAAGCTTGGAATTGAGAATCTAGCTCAAGCAAAACCACTTTAATATTATTTGTCAATAAAATTTACTTTGTTTGGATTAGTAAATGTCATTTTTCCTCTTTAGAAATGATTTTGTTGTATATTAGAGTAGCATTGGGCGTAGTTCTCAAAATCATCCAAAATATTTTGGCAATGTGCGTTCACATAGACCCTTGACTGTGGCCAAACACATAACCGTTCCTTATGGCATGTCTCTGGCACATCCCTGGAAACAAATAGATGAGAGCAATAGGTCATGAACATCAGGGGACCACAGACTTAGATGTGTGTCAAGGAGATCTGGACACCTCCAAGGAACACTCTGTATTCAAGGAAGCATCCTATCGGTAATGCTTCCACTCTGGACACCTCCAAGGAACACTCTGTATTCAAGGAAGCATCCTATCGGTAATGCTTCCACTCTGTGTGACCATTTCTGCAAGGCTCTGGCACAGGGAAGCCATCCTGGCTCATTGTAAAGTCCTCCGCCGCCAAGAACACCATTTGACCACAATCCACTGCTACCAGTTACATGTAATGACTAGAATATCTAAGGTTCTTTGAAGCTAACATTAATTTTCAGTGGTGGAGAAGATCCCTTTTCTCCCACCATGGGTCTGAAGGGATAAAAATCCAATCACCTTGGGATAAAAGTGTCTTATTTTTGTCTTCTGAGTAATTTAGCATGAACGCAAAAAGTGCAACCATTCAGCAGAGAGAGATGGGAAGGAACCCAGGTTTATTTTCGAGAAACAAGCACATCTCTGCCTCTTTCTTTGACCCTGAAAGACAAACGTCTTTTCAAGATGCTGCACAGAATGTTAAGACAAAATGCTAACCAGTTCATGGAGAAAATGAGGTGCTTTCATTGAAAAATAACTGTGTTTTTATATTTTCATTATATAGTTCACAGTCACCCCCTAGTAGCAATTACACGTTTCCTCTTCCTCATGTTCTCCTGCAGCTTTCCTCTTTCCTCAGTTCAGGGAGTGTCAGCAAACTGGTTGGAAGGCTGCAAGCTGGGCAAAAGCTTTGCAGTCGGCATTCGCCATTCTGGGATATCATTCATTAGAACTGGCTGTCCACTACCAGACCTCCTTTTCTTATTTTGCCTAATAGGACAAGCTGCATTCATTGACAGAATTCACCGTTTTTATCCTTCTTCCCCCTGCCCACCACTGCCGCCACCTCTCTCTCTCTCTCTGTCTATTTAATACAGGGACTCAGGCTAAGAACTGCATGGTATAATGCGTTTATCATTCTTATCTCGTCGTTTTTATTCTAGTGTGAAGTTGTTTTTCAGGTAGTGATGAACTCACACACAATTTCTCCCCTTTTTGAGTAATATGCAGTGTTTATGAAGAGGAGGCTAATTGTGCTGACCTGTTACCAGAGTTGTCATTAGTGTTTTCCTGCAGTTGATTCCTATATTGTCTTCTGTCTCTCATGCAAGCCCATGCTCCTTTATTCTTTCTTAATGGATGCTTTTTCTGTGGGGATAATCAAGGAACTGACAGCTCCCTCGAGATTAAATGTATGACTTTGAAGTTGTAGAACGAGGAGAAAGTACCAGGTGTTGAAGCCAGTATAGGCAGATCCAGACCAGCGTCATGTCCCCAGGCAGCCTCTCCACCTCAATTCTTCACAGAAGGAAAAATAAGTATGTGTCACAAGTCAGTGCAGGACCAGCATCCCAGGGGCCCTGCATTGAAACTCCAGGTAACTGGCCAATACCTCACTGGGCAGGTGTGCCGTATCTGATTACCCCGTTTGATTAGATCATATCTTGGGATTCATTAAGATTAACTGATAGAGGCTGGGTGCAGTGGCTCATGCCTGTAATCTCAGTACTTTGAGAGGCCAAGGCAGGAGGATCACGAGGTGAGGAGTTTGAGACCAGCCTGGTAAACATGGTGAAACCCTGTCTCTACTAAAAATACAAAACTTAGCTGGGCATGGTGGCTCGTGCCTGTAATCCCAGCTACTTGGGAGGCTGAGGCAGAGGTTGCAGTGAGCGGAGATCACACCACTGCACTCCAGCCTGGGCGACAGAGTGAGACTCCATCAAAATAAATAAATACATAAATAAGATTAACTGTTAGAGCAGGACTTGGGGGCAGGGGGCAGGGCAGTGAGATATGCTAACCCTATTCTCCCACTCAGGTGACAGGAGGGCAGCTGCTGATGCAGACGGAGGGTGCTCCCTGTCTCAGCAAGAGCAGAGTCCACGGGTTGAGGCAAGGGGGGCCTGCTGGAAGTCAGGCCAAGTGGAGCTCCGGGTGTACTAGAAAGGTGGATGCAGCTCACAGCACGGTGAGATGTGGAAGTACAGGCATTTGGTGTGTGTGCAGGAGGAGCTGGTGACAACAAGGCTGGCCCAGGCCCAGGAGACCAATGGGGCATTAGGATGCCTCCTACATAAGGTCTAGGGAAGAAATGCAGCTGTGAGAATTAGGCTCAGAAACAAAGCAAAAGCACAGGGGCGTGTGGTGTGTCCCTAATGCTGAACTCTGGGAATAGGTCTGGAGGGTGGAAGACCAGACATTGTGCTGCAGTCGCGATTGGTCCTGGTGACTAGGAAAGGGAATCCAGAGACCTCATTTTTGGGACAAGGGGCTGCATATGGAGGTTTACTACCAGAAGGGGCCTGAGGTTTGTGTCACTATCACAAGGGCAAGGTCATAAGTTTTCTGTGAGGCCCTAAAATTAGTACCATGCCCCAGCCATAGACCATGTACTTCATATTTGCTAGTTCACTTGGAAATCTACATTGAGGGTGCCAAGCCATTGAGTGTCTGAGAAAGAATGAATGAAATGAATGACAGCAATCAGTGTCTGACACCTGCTATTTATGCATCAAATGCAGTAGAATGAATGATCAGTAAAAACTCTCTACCAGCAGGAAAAATAATCAAAGCGCTCCTTAACTGATCAGATGCTGTTGTCACACTGGAGTGTGGGTGATGAGGCTGACCTATAACAGGCCAGAATAAAAATCCGGTGGAATGAAGGTCTGTCTTAGAGACCCCGAAGACAAATGAGAACTGACACGGCTCTTGTGTTCTGCAAAGCGCTGTCACAGACGTGCCATTTTACCTCTGCAGTGACCCCGCTGCTATTGACATCATCACTCACATTTCACAGCCCAGGAGCCTGGGACTCAGGGTGATGGAACAACTGCCAAAGTTGGACCCACAGGGTGGACACATGATGGTCTGAGTGGTTCCTAAAGGCAGGACATGGAGGCCAGTTCTGTAGAAACACACCGGCAGCAGGACAGGACACCAGGAAGTCAGCACCAAAAACTCTAGAGGCAGAGAGAGCTGTGGAACTCGGTTCTGGACTGTGTGTCCTGTAGTATGTAGGCAAGTCTGGGCCCCAAGTACAGAGTCCTTCAAAAAGTGGGCCAGAAGCTAGCCTGTGTTTGAGGCAGGAAGATAAATGCTATTACTATTTCTAATTATACAAACACAAAGGAAGCTTTAGCTCTGAGATCGCAGTTACTGTTTAAAATTTAAGTCTAAATTCCAAATTTAAAGTTTCTTAAACGTTCACATGATGCCAGTGAAGGGCAGGTGTCCATTTTAATATATTCTCAAATGGGGCAATATTGAGAGTCAGAGGGGGAGTTGCTAAATATTTGCCTGGAGTGGTGGCATCAGCATTCCCTGGCAGATCTGCTGGTGTCGTGCCGGGCTGCCCCGGGGGCGCTGGAAGAACGGGCCCAGCAGCTCAGGACAGGGTTCCTCTCCCCAGGAGGGGCAGCTCCCAATTCCCACTGTGGACAGACACAGACTTTGTTTGAGTGAATCACTCCTACTAGTTGTGCAAAATCAGGAAGCCAGCCCAAAAGACCTTTGGATGCTGAGGATGAGGATGGGATCATTTAAATTTTATTTTTAAATGAAAGACCTGCCTTCTTTCCAATTCTGCCCTTAATTGGCCATGAGCCTCAGGCCTGCCCTGTTCTCTCTCCTTAGCATCACTTTGCTCATCTATTAAGTGGGAATTGTGGCCCCTTCCCCACCTCCCTGCTGTGTTTTTCTGAGGGGCAAATGAAACAAAGCGTGTTAAAGCTCCTCATGAGGTGGATACTCTTAACAAAGGTGTATGGTTAACTGTAGGTGTTAGCTTGACTGTATGAAGGAATACTTGGACGGTAAAACATTATCTCTGGGTGTGTCTGGGAGGGCATTTCTGGCAGAGGCACACTGGAGTCAGTGGACTGAGCCAGATCCACCCTCACCCAGCATGGGTGGGCACTGTCCAATCGCTGAGGTCTCGAGAAGAGCAAAAAGGCAGAGGAGGGTGAATTCTCTTTTGTCCCCTTTCTCTTGGAGCTGGGATGTCCTTCTCCTGCCCTTGGGTATCGGAACTCAAGGTTCTCTGTTCTTTGGACTCCAGGGCTCGCACCACAGCCCCCAGTTTCTCAGACCTTTAGCCTCAGACTGAGAGTCCCACTATCAGCCTTACTGGTCTTGATGCCTTCCAATTTGCTTGGAGCCATTCCACACCAGCTTCCCCGGGTCCCCCGCGTGCAGACGGCCTCTGCTGGGGCTTCTCAGCCTCCATAATCATGCGAGCCCATCCCCTGATCAGGCTCTTCTCATGTGTCTGGCAACGACCTATTTCTATTTCTTTTCTTTTCTTTTCTTTTTTGAGACAGAGTCTCATTCTGTCACCCGGGCTGGAGTGAGGTGGCACGATCTCGGCTCACTGCAAGCTCCATGTCCCACGTTCACGCCTTTCTCCTGCCTCAGCCTCCCGAGTAGCTGGGATTACAGGAGCCCGCCACCGACCAGCTAATTTTTTTTGTATTTTTAGTAGAGACGGGGTTTCACCGTGTTAGACAGGATGCTCTCGATCTCCTGACCTCATGATCCGCCCACCTCGGCCTCCCAAAGTGCTGGGATAACAGGCGTGAGCCACTGCGCCCGGCTCTATTTCTGTATTCATGTCTAGATCCTTTGTTTTTTCCTCTGGAGAACCCTGACTAATACAAAAGGTAAGAGCCCATCTGTGAGGCATCGTTTCCTCTTAGTAGCAGTGTCAGCTGACAGGGGTGCACCAGCGCTTGAATGCTCGTCCCTCCAAAACTCATGTTGACATGTGTAAGTCAGTCCAACCATAACAGTACTAAGAGGCGGGGCCTTGAAGAGGTGATTAGGCCATAAAGCTTCTGCCCTCATGGGTAGGTTTAGTGCTTTTACAAAGGGCTTTCAGGACTCGGTTCTTTCTCTCACCCTCTCACCTTCCACAACAGGAGGATCCACAAGGAAGACCCTCACCAGATGCCAGCACCTTGATGTTAAACTTCCCAGTCTCCAGAGCTGTGCAAAATACATTTCTGTTCATTATAAATTACCCAGTTTCAGGTATTCTGTTATAGCAGCACAGAACAGACTAAGACAGAGTGAAAGTTTGTTGTTGATTTTCCTTTGGTGAGGCTGTGAGCTCTGTGGATGGGTGTCTCGGGGAGAAGCAGGTCCTTCAGTTTGGGAGCACTGAGTTGAGAGAGCAGCAACAAGGAACCAAGCAGATGCTGTGCCCAGGACTCCTGGCTACCGAGAGGCCAGCAGGAAAGAGAAATGCCGCAGGAGTCGCAGATGGATAAGCAGGTGCCGCGCGGGTGTCAGTGTTTTCTATCTTAGCTCGGTAGCAAATAAACACATATCTCAGTAATATTCTTCCTGGGATAGAGAGATGCTGGGGGAAGGACCACTTCTTCCTCTCAGGCTTTAAAACAGCACATCAGGGAGCATGATGGGAAATGCTCTGATTTACTCCAGGGCTAGAGGATTTCAAAGATACAGGGGATGTGAAGGGAAGTCGGGCTGCTTCCAACGCCTGGGGAAGGGCGGGCCAGAGAGCCAGCTTAAAAACGATGGAAAAATGCGAGGTGGGACTCCTCCTGCCTCATTTGGTTTTAAAAATAAGGTATTTGTATTCCTAGAGCTAAGTCTCCAAACAAACTTAAATTTACATTAGGATACCTTGTCAAATATTGCTGTTTAAAATGGCCTGTTTAAATAAAGCTTGGTTTTTTTTTTAAAATGGGGATTATTGAGCCAGAGACATGTAAATTCTTCAGCCCTTGCTGGGAAAATGGGTCACTGCAATTAAATATCAAATAAACTCTTTTCAAGGACAATTATTCTTTCTTCTTTAATGATGAAGTTTCAATGATCAGTGTGTGTCCTGCATAGATATTTCTTTTCTTTCTCTCCATGTGGAAGGAAAGTGAGAAGAACCTATAAGAAATAAAACTTGGAGTGATCATCTGCGAGCAGGCAGTCACAGCCACAAAAGCAACAGTCGCTTCAGTGGCAGCGCCGGCAGCCAGGGGCTTTCAGGTGTTTCCCGCCAAGGTGCTCCGGAGACATGGAACAGACGCCACATGAGGGATTTTGTACCTCGATAGACTTGATGACAGTTTTTTTTAAAAGGCAGGAGAAGGGGAGCTGGAGAGGGGAGCATTGTAGCCCCAGCCCAGGCTTGAAGGTTGGGACTAAACAAAGTGATGACTGGTAGAATAACAGCTCACACTTACTGAGCTCTTACTGCCTGGCAAGCTCTCTTCTGTGTTCTTTTTTCTTTATTTATATTTTGAACTTTTATTTGAAGTTCAGGGGTACATGTGTGGGTTTGTTATATAGGTAAACTTGTCATGAGAGTTTGTTGTAGTTTATTTTGTGGTACTAAGCCTAGTACCCATTACTTATTTTTCCTAATCCTCTCCCTTCTTCCATTCTCCAGCCCCAGTGTGTGCTGTTCCCCTCGATGTGTCCATGTGTTCTTATTATTTAGCGCCCACTCATAAGTGAGAACATGCAGCATTTGGATTTCTGTTCCTGTGTTAGTTTTGCTGAAGGACAATGACCCCCGGCTCCATCTGTGTCCCTGCAGAGAACATGATCTTGCACATTCTTATCACCGCAGAGTATTCCATGCTGTGTATGTTGCCTTAATTCATCGGCTCTTTATGACAACCCTGGGACATATGTCCTACTGTTATCCCCACATCGGCACATGAGAACACTGGTCATCCAGAGGTTAAGAAACATTTCTAAGGTCACAGAGCTAGTGCAAGGTAGGAATGGAATGAGCAGCCCAGAGAGCACTGGATTAAACACTGTGCTAAACACCCACAGGCAATGGAGAGGAAATGCATTAGATTTGTTATATGGAAATCTGTCTTTAAATAATACCATCTTCAGATATATCATTGTGAAAATTACCTAGAAATATATACACTAATATGTTTTAAAAAGAATAAAGAATATTCTTTTACTTAATGTGTTCTTAAATGAAATAAGTATCTTTCAGTTTAGATTTTGAAACAAGTGTTGTTTTGGGACTCTGTTCACTGACATAGTATTTAGAACTTTTGCATCAATATTTGTAAGTGGTATTAGTCTGTAATCTAATTTCACTGTGCTGTGTTTATCAGGTTATATCCATTTTATACTTTATAAAGCTAATTTGAATATTTTATTTATGTTCATTGGCTGCAGCAATTTATGTATCATTTGAATTATTTCATCTTTGAATGTTTGTTGGAATTCACCTGTGAAACTATTCAGGGCTGGGTGTGGTGGCTCATGCCTGTAATCCCAGCACTTTGGGAGGCCGAGGCAGGCAGATTGCCTGAGGTCAAGAGTTCGAGACTAACCTGGTCAACATGGTGAAACCCAATCTCTGCTGTACAAAAAGAGCTGGGTATGGTGACACGTGCCTGCAATCCCAGGTAGTCAGGAGGCTGAAGCCAGAGAATCGCTTGAACCCGGGAGGTAGAGGTTGCAGTGAGCCAAGATCGCACCACTGCACTCTAGCCTGGGTGACAGAGCGAGAACCCTTCTCAAAAGGAAGAAAAACAAAAGAAACTATTGGAACCTGGTACCGTTTTTGTGTGTGTGGAATGGTAGAATCTTGATAATTTTCTCCATTTCTGTTGTTAGAATTGGTCTGTTTAAACTTTCTGTTTCTACTGGCATCAATTTTGGGAACCTGCTTTTCCCTAGGAAGTTACCCATTTCACATGGTTTCACTGTTTATGTTTATAGATGTGTGCAAATAGCCAATTAAACAATTTTTCCTTTGTCAATAATTATTTACTCCTGGATGCTTGTTACTATTATTTATTATATTTGTGCTTCTACCATTTTTCTTTATTAGTGACCAGTGGTTTATTGATTTATTAATTAGGTCTATTTCTTTCTGTTTTCATGTTAATTTTTGACTCTGTTTTCTGTATCCCGTTTCCTTTAGTTTGTGTGTGAATTACTCTTTTGTTCTGTTTCTAGGTTTTAAGTTGGTAATGTAATTCACTTGTGTTCAGTCATTGCTTAAAATGAAGCATTTGAGAAGGTTCAAGGCTGTGAGAGGAGGCTGGAGTCTGAAATGAGATAGCTAGCATGAAATTCTTGGCCAATTTGACTAGGGGATTGTTAAGAGCAGGAATGTCCAACACACTGCACTATCAATTAGTTAAGATCATCTATTCGAAAGTTCAGCTGTGTTGTGCCTGTCCTCTGAGACTCTCAAATCCTCAGTAAAGGTCTCTGCACATAATTGACTTGTGCATTGGTATTTTGGAGAATGCAGGGAAAGGGTGTTGTTATAGTCCATGGTTAGGATGTCAGAGGACAGAAAGAAGAGAAGACATTTGAATGAAAGACCAGCTTGGGGGAGGAAAAATTCGGCAGGAAAAGGAGATGCGAGAGAGAAGAAATCATGGGAACGTGGTCTTTGGAAACTCACCAACAGGTTGAGGACTGAGCACTGAACTTCGCCCAGCAATTGGGACAGAAGATGGAAGAAATGTTATTCAAATATTAAGCGGACCTGCTGACTTCATAGAGACATCTTGGTTACCAGGTACTGCCTTTCACAAAACCCCACTCTCTCCAAAATGGGAAGTATTGTTCATACTTCTATCTCCATGGCATTGAGATTAAGATTCTATAAATAATCTAACCCTGGCACTCTTTTTTTTTTTTTGAAACGGAGTCTTGCTTTGTCGCCCAGGCTGGAGTGCAGTAGCAGGATCTCGGCTCACTGCAAGCTCCGCCTCCCGGGTTAACACCATTCCCTGGCCTCAACCTCCCGAGTAGCTGGGACTACAGGCGCCTGCCACCACGTCCAGCTAATTTTTTTTTTTTGTATTTTTAGTAGAGTCAGGGTTTCACCATGTTAGCCAGGATGGTCTCGATCTCCTACCTTGTGATCTGCCCGCCTCAGCCTCCCAAAGTGCTGGGATTACAGGCATGAGCCACCGTGCCCGGCCAACCCTGGCATTCTTGTACTCACTTCCACATTGTCTCGGTGGAGGTCTGCGGTGCTCTGATGGCACGAGACTGTGGGTGGGACATTGCAATCTCTACTTGAGAAGCTGGCCTTTATCAGTCCTTCTAAGTAGATCACTTGCAACCAGGAGTTTAACAGAGGCTCTTTGGTGATTGTGAAGTTGAAAAGTATTGGTATATTTTTCTTTTATTAATTATTCTAATCTTGGTTAAGTTACTAAACAAAACAAAAAAAGTGGTAAATGCTGCCCCTATGAACCTCTGAACAACTTCCCCACTTGTCTGTGTCGTAGCTTATCTTTCTCAGAAACCAGTTCCCCTTAATTCATTTTGTGCCTCTGGGCTGTAAGTGGCAATAACATGTGGGCATTCAGAGAGACTAGCTACAGTTGCCTTCACAGACATCATGACTTTGCTCCCTGCAGCCTCCTCCACAGAACAAGGAGGCATTAGTCATGGTAGGCATTGGTCACCTGTAGAAGGCCATTCCAGAGCCACTGCTGGAAGGTGAGCACACCAGTTCTTGATGCCACATCTCCTTGATACTTCTTGCAATAAACCATTGCTCAGCGTCTGTGATGTTCTGATACCTTGCAAGTATTTCAGTTCTTTTTTTTTTTTTTTTTTGATGGAGTCTCGCTCTGTCACCCAGGTTGGAGTGCAGTGGCGCAATCTCAGCTCACTGCCAGCTCTGCCTCCCGGGTTCACGCCATTCTCCTACCTCAGCCTCCCGAGTAGCTGGGACTACAGGCGCTTGCCACCACGACCAGCTAATTGTTTGTATTTTTAGTAGAAACGGGGTTTCACCGTGTTAGCCAGGATGGTCTCGATCTCCTGACCTCGTGATCCTCCCACCTCGGCCTCCCAAAGTGCTGGGATTACAGGCGTGAGCCACCGCGCCTGGCCGTCATTTCAGTTCTTGCCTTTACCTCGAAGACAAGCCATGGAATCTCTGTACATCTCTGAAAAAGGAGCACCGAAGCATAACATTGCTCAACACCCACTTTCCCCGTAATTCCCACAAACACATCATTATGTCTTCTCCCTCTCCTACATTACAAGTAAAACACATCCAATCCATCTCTAGACATAAGATCAAGGTCATCTCCTCCTCATTTATGTGCCCAGGAAAATGTGTCTTTCTCGTATTCTAAGTTTCTTATCATGCATGACTAGTGCCTGGGTAATACAGTTGGTGAGCACATATTATTTGACCACAAATCCATGCTAGTCTCAAAATTGTTCTTTCTTTTTTACCCGGGGAGAATTTAGTTGCATTTTAGGAATGTCTGTCTGATAAAATTCAGAGTCCTGAATCCTAGGTCTAGCTCAAATATTGGTTTGAAGTGTGAGCCTGGTTGTCTTTAAGATGAGGAATAGAACCTCATGAGTACCACAATCTGCTTCCACTGTGAGGCTTCGTCCCTGGCAGGAAGTTCTGTGTGATTCTCATGCCAGGTGGTGCATCTCCCCAGAACTCAGGGCCCAGGGCAAAGACATAAGTGATGGAAACACTGGAAGCATGGGGTGCTGTCTTCATCCTTCTCTACACAGATGTTCACACTAAACCAGACAATATCTCAGAGCAGACGGCCAGGATGGATGAGTCTGTATACCCTGCAACGTTGCCAACAAACGCTGGGCAAAGGCTTACACACTGCACACTGGCAGGGGCCTTTAGAGAAATGTGGGGAGGGAGAGGGGTGAGGCATGGTAGGATAGAGCATTCTGGAAGGTTGAGCGGGTTGGGTTTGATGGGGACCATGCTGTGGTCCATCTTCTCCAGGCATTTCCGTGGCACTCCCGACAATGCGTCTCACTGCTTGAACTTTAGTCAGCACCTTCCTCTGTTAAGAGAAGCACAGTTACTCCTGAGCAGGAGTGTGTAAGGCTTTCCTGAGACAAGACTTTGTAATCACAGCACCGGCCAGATTCACATATTCTTCAAGGCTGAGTGCAGGCAGTGGGTCATGACTTCTTGTTGATTACATCCTTCTTTGAATTCCTATATTGTTTTTCTATAAATCATGTATTTTAATGTAAACTGTGGTCTGCCTTGGATTATTGAAATGCCTGGTGAATGTATCTAATTTCACTCTCTGGCCTTCAAGCTCCCAGGCTTGGCAGGCAGCATGTGCTACTCTCACTTCGTAGCCCTCTCTCCTCCCACGCGTGTACTCTCAGCACAGTGATCACGGTTGAGGGGTGTTTGGTAAGTACCTGCTGACTTATATTATGGTGGGTGATCAATTGACGATAGTGATCATGGAGAGGAGGGAAGAGAAGACGTTCTCCTGAGGAAAATCAGTCAACCTCGTGCGACGCACCTCAGCAAAGATGCTCGAGCCACTACACTTCCCCATTTGGCAAAGACAGCACTGACTTTTGATATCGAGTGGATCCGCGCTCTGGCTTGCCTCCTACTGAAGCTGGACTCCAGCATCTCTCTTGTCTGACTGCTTATTGGAAGCTCCCTGCCTACCTGTTGGGGAAATAGGTGTACACCCCCGACCCCTGGGAGCTGAAGGACTTTTATCTCATGTTTCTGTCTGGGTGTTTTATTGGTTGACATTTTACATTTAGATCTGCAATCCATCAAGAATAGACTCTTTATTGTTGTTATTGTATATGGTGAGAGGCAGGAAGCAGATTTTCCTGACAATATGCAGGTGTCTTTGGATTACAGGTCCAAAGCTCTCATACGGATGTTTGATTGTCTCAGCACCATGTGTTGAAAAGACTATTCTTTCCCCCCATACCGATTGATGCTCTTGTCACAGAAAAGCCGGCCGTATTTTCACACATCTCCTTATTTATCCTATTTTGTTCTGTTGGTCAAACTTTCTATCCTCACATCACTAGTATACTGAATAAGCCAGTACTGTGTTATAACACACCTGGGTATCTGCAGTAGCAAGTTACTTAGCAGTGTTTTTGTCAACATTACTTTGGTTATTCTTGGGTTTTGTATTTCCATCTAGATTTTAGAAATAGCTTATCACTTTTACAGGCACACACACACGCACACATTATGAGACTCCCGGTTAAAGCAGGCTCTGTGGTATTCCAGTCACTGAAAAGAAAGTGGGTATGTTTGTTTTCCTCTGAAAACAAGAATTACCATTTTGGGCACTGGTCAACAACATATTTTCAATGCTCTTCGAGTTTTTCTAATTGCATTTCTCTTGTTATGGTTGGCACTGTGATGGTGGCCACTTGGCCACCTTGCCCTAGTCAGTGTAGAAAAGTAGAAAGGCTCTTCTGTCAGACTGCACCACGTGTGCATGTCGTTGGATGCCTCCAAGGAGCTGATGAGGCCTGTGGGGTGGGTCAGGGAGGAAGCATGGTCCACAAAAGCGCCCATGATTGCCTGGCAGGAAAGCACAGAAATGATGCTCAGCAGTGAGCGACTGCTGTGACATTGGTGGTAATGATGATGTCATTGCCTAACATCGCCTTTGCCATCCAGGAGTGGGAACCAGACAACCGTATTGCAGTCTTGTTTCTGCCTTCATGACCCTCTGTTTCTTTATCTAAAAACTGGCTTCAGAAATAATTATTTCTACTGATTAACATATGTCATAATGAAATGACTTAGGTTAAAATGACTAACAGGGTCCCTGGAACATTGTGGTCCATTATGATATATTACTTTTCCAAAGCCCCTTTGGGGATTCAAACCATTCACTTTTCCTCTATAGCAATATCAGGCAGTATAAATATGTACAAATCAGTAATCAGCACCTGGAGAAGCTGGTGTCCTGTCCTAGGACTCTCCTAGCTCCTGAAACATATGTTTAACTGTGGAAGCAATAACAGGAGGGATGTATTTACACCTCCTCACAGGTGAGGTCCAGCTGCTCGTGGTGGCATGTGTGGGTTCCTGGGAGAGCTGAAACAAGTATGTAAAGTAACCATGTCAGAGGCCCTTGCTGCCCCCTCTCCAGAGCCACTTTACTGAGCTGGCCCATGTCTCAGATGCTGTCTGCTACATCTGCATTTTTCTCTGGAGGGCTGCTCCTTGCAGATGAAGGCTGCCTGCCAGGAGACACCACTGGGGCTGTCCGAGGCCACTGGCCACTCGTGCCAAAGTATAAACTTCCAATCTCTGTCCCAATATGGGGCAGGATTTGTGATGCACTTGGTGCCCCAGAACTCCTCATGAGACGGGACTGAGGCAGGACTTTGGAAGTGATGTTGATATGGTTTGGCTGTGTCCCCACCCAAATCTCATCTTAAATTGTACCTCCCGTAATTCCCACACGTTGTGGGAGGGACCTGGTGGGAGATAATTGAATCATGGGGGGTGGTCTTCCCCATACTCTTCTCATGGTAGTGAATGAGTCTCATGAGATCCGATGGTTTTATAAGGTGACACCCCTTTCACTAGGTTCTCATTCTTTCTCTTGCCTGCTGTCATGTAAGATGTGCCTTCACCTCCTGCCATGATTGTGAGGCCTCCCCAGCCACGTGGAACTGTGAGTCCATTACACCTCTTTTTCTTTATAATTTACCCAGTCTCAGGTATGTCTTTATCAGCAGTGTGAAAATGGACTAATACAGTAAATTGGTACCGGTAGAGTGGGGTGCTGCTGTAAAGACATCTGAAAATGTGGAAGCGACTTTGGGACTAGGCAAGCAGAAGTTGGAACAGTTTGGAGGGCTCAGAAGAAGACGGGAAAATGTGGGAAAGGTTGGAACTTCCTAGAGACTTGTTGAATGATTTTGACCAAAATGCTGATAATGATATGAACAATGAAGTCCAGGCGGAGGTGATCTTAGATGGAGATGAGGAACTTGTTGGGAACTGAAGTAAAGGTGACTCTTGCTATGTATTAGCAAAGATACTGGTAGCATTTTGCCCTGCTCTGGAGATGAGTGGAACTTTGAACTTGAGGGTGATGATTTAGGGTGTCTGGTGGAAGAAATTTCTAAGCAGCAAAGCCTTCAAGAGGGCACTTGGGTGCTGCTGAAAGCATTCAGTTTTAAAAGGGAAACACAGCATAAAAGTTCAGAAAATTTGCAGCCTGATGATGCAATAGAAAACACCCATTTTCTGAGGAGAAGTTAAAGCAGCATGCAGAAATTTGCATAAGTAATGAAGAGCCAAATGTTAATCACCAAGACAATGGGGAAAATGTGTCCAGGGCATGTCAGAGAACTTTGTGGCAGCCCCTCCCATCACAGACTTGGAGGCCTAGGAAGAAAAAAATGGTTTCATGGACTGGGCCCAGGGCCCCCTGCTGTGTGCAGCCTAGGGACTTGGTGCCCTGCCTCCCAGCCACTCTAGCTATGGCTAAAAATGCCAAGGTACAACTCAGGCCATGGCTTCAGAGGCTGCAAGCCCCAAGCCTTGGCAGCCTCCACATGGTGTTGAGCCTGCAGGTGCACGGAAGTCAAAAATCGAGGTTTGGGAACCTCTGCCTAGATTTCAGAGGATGTAGGGAAATGCCTAGATGTCCAGGCAGAAGTTTGCTGCAGGGTGGAATCCTCATGGAGAACCTCTTCTAGGGCAGTGCAGAAGGGAAATGTGGGGTTGAAGCCCCCACAAAGAGTCCCCACTGGGGCACTGCCTAATGGAGCTGTGAGAAGACGGCCACTGTCCTCCAGACCCCAGAATGGTAGATCCACCAACAGCTTGCACTGTGCACCTGGAAAAGCTGCAGACACTTAACACCAGCCTGTGAAAGTGGCCAGGAGGGAAGCTGTACCCTGCAAAGGGGCAGAGCTGCTGAAGACCATGGGAACCCACCTCTTGCATCAGCATGACCTGGATGTGAGACATGGAATCAAAGGAGATTATTTTGGAGCTTTAAGATTTGACTGCTCCACTGGATTTAGGACTTGCATGAGAGCTTTAGACCTTTTGGGTTGGCCCATTTCTGCCATTTGGAATGGTTATCTTTACCCAATGCCTGTACCATTGTATCTAGGAGGTAACTAACTTACTTTTGATTTTACAGGCTCATAGGTGGAAGGGACTTGCTTTGTCTGGGGTGAGACTTTGGACTGTGGACTTTTGAGTTAATGCTGGAATGAGTTAAGACTTTGGGGGACTGTTGGGAAGGCATGATTGGTTTTGAAATGTGAGGACATGAGATTTGGGAGGTGCCAGAGGTGGAATGATATGTTTGGCTGTGTCCCCATCCAAATCTCATCTTTAACTGTAGCTCCTGTAATTCCCACATGTTGTGGGAAGGACCCGGTGGGAAATAATGGAATCATGGGGGCAGCCTTCCCCATACAGTTCTTGTGGTAGTGAATCAATCTCATGAGATCTGATGGTTTTATAAAGAGACACCCCTTTCGCTGCTTGGCTCTCATTCTCTCTCTTGCCTGCTGTGATATAAGATGTGCCTTTTGCCTTCCACCATGATTATGAGGCCCCCCCCCGCCATATGGAACTGTGAGTCCATTAAGCCTCTTTTTCTTTCTTTTTTTTTTTATGATTTACCCAGTCTCAGGTATGTCTTTATCTGCAGTGTGAAAATGGGCTAATACAGACGTGTTTACTTCATCTCTTTCTCTCTTACCTTGCCTCCCTCACTCCAATGCAGGCATTTCCTCAGGGTACTTTCTCAGTAAGATGCTTGCCCAAGAATCCCATCTCAGCCTCTAGGGAAGCTCACCTAAGACCAGATAGAGGGTCAAAAGTCTGATTGAAGAAGTAAGACTTCCAACAACTACCTGTGCATTTCCAAACACCCTCATACTTTGCCTTCAGCAGTCAAAGTATCTGGATGTTGCTCTCAGCTTTGCTTGTCAGCATTCGGCATTTATTTTTAAAGAGGCCACAGGGATGAGGAGAAGTCACCTGATTTATCTTTTGCTCACAGCCCTCTTAGGGCAGCAGGGTCAAGGGCACACACAGAGGGTCTTTTGGGGTGGTGGGCAGTGTGGTATCAGGGAGATGTTTAGCCTTCGAGTCAAAAATCTTTATGTTAGGCCATTGGCCCATTACTCCTTAGCATGGGAGTAATTTTCCTATCTACAAATTGGGAATGTAAATATTCACCCTAAGGTGTTTTTCAGAGACCTACTTGAAATAATGAATATATTTGCACTTTTATATTATAAAATGTTAATGTAAATGTGAGAGTTTCTTTAAGTCATATACTTCAGACTGCAGTGGGTTGGTTATAGGCTAAACGTCTTTGTCATCACTGGGTAATTAATGCCAATGGTTCCCTAAAATGGTCCTATTAATTTACATTTCCACCAGCAGCACATGCTCCTAACAGTGCTGGATGGCTGAGATGCTTGCTTCTGCTTGGCTCACTTCTTGTATTAGGATTATACATCCCGACCTTTGTTACACAACCTTGTGATCTCTCCCTCTAGAGGAGGCACAACACACGTCCCCACCCAGTTGATGCTGGGTTTGAACTATGGAGTGGTAGCAGATGTATTGTGGGCGAGGGCCTTCAATCTGCTTGCCTGGCTTGGTTTAGCCAGTGTTCTCTGGTGGTCCCCCCCGGGAAGCACAACCATTGCTGCAACTGCCCCTTCGGCCTGGGGGCAGAACTGACCCCCAAGGTAAGCCTGGAGTCCAGGCTAGCTCAGCCTAGATGAGTTGAATCATAATCGGCTTGCAAACTGTTGAGAGTGAATATAAATACGGGAAATGATTGAGATTTTGAGATACAGGAGTCTGCCCGCATCAATGGTTTCACTTTCCACAGCTTCAGTTACTGTGGTATGAAAATATTAAGGTATTTTGAGAGAGAGAGAGAGTCCACATTCCCATGATTTTTATCACATTTTATTGTTGTAATTGTTAAATTGCTCTCTTATATTATCAGTTGCTGTTGATCTCTAACTGTGCCTAATTTATAAATTAAACTTTATCATAGACATGTGTATGTACAGGAAAAAAACAGTATATAGAGAGCACAGTACTACCTGCGGTTTCAGGCATCCCACAGGGGTTTTGGAACATATCACCTATAAATAAAGGGGGGCGGGAGACGCTAATGTAATTTGCTATACATCAAAAACCGACAAATACATTCTGTTAACTTTAGAGAAATAAACTATCAAGGTGTCATAACATGGAACACGGGAAATTGGTGAAAAATGAATAAAATGTAGTTATGTGTGTCTGCATGAACAAATACCCCAAACACAACATTATATACAAAAGCAAGTTTTAGTATAATATAATCGCATTCACAAAAAGTTTTAAAATAAAAATAATACCTATATGTGGTAAAAAATGTTATAAAACGACTAGTGGTAGTTATACCTTGGGAAAATGAATCATTCAGGAGTTGGTGATCGGGGATTTAGGCATCGTGGCAATGTTTTATTTTTCAAGCTGTGTGATAAGCCTATAGGTTATCATGTTATTATTCTTGTGCATGTTATACTCTTCAATATTACATACTGAATTTTGAAATATAAGAATGTAAGTTTTTGAGATAAGTTTTATGCCTATGAAGTGTTATCCAAATGTTAATCATACATGTTATTTTTGAGTCTTGGTCATGTAGGCATGTGTTGGTAGGAAGTGTGATGTTTTTCATTCTGCCTAGATTGTATTTTGGTCCACACCCATGCTAGTTCTGTTGGACTAAAGAACTCACTCAGGAGGTTGAGTCTTTACCACTAGAAGTCCTCACGAGGACTTCTCCTGGAGATCAAAACTCATAAAACATTTTCTGGGTTCCCTCTTCTCCCTCATCCCACCCGAAGGTGCATAGGGCACTGTTGTCAGTAGAATCACCATGTTCTCTACTGGCTGGACTCACCCTGCAATCAGCTGACATGAGATGACAAAATTGAGACTGTTCTTATCTTGGATTTGTTGAGATCGCTCACGTTTTTTATTCTCCCATCTGTTTGGTCTGGGAAGTACAGGAATTAAAACTTACATTTTTTGCACCTTATTGAACTTGTTTTAGGTTTAATCTACTTTTCCTTTTCTAGATTCTTCATACAGAAGCTTAGATAATTCATTGCAGACCATCTTCTGTTTTTCAGTCAGCATATAAATTTCTATCTTAGCAGTGCTTCAGCTGCACACTACAAATCGTGAAGTGTCGTGTTATTATTTTCATATGGTTCAAAATGTTCTCTAATTTCCCCTGATTTATCCTTCAACTTACAGGTTATTTATAAGGATGTCATTGAAGTTCCAAATAATTGGTGATTTTTGAAGTATATTGTTGTTGGTTTTTAATCTAATTCTGCTGTGCTCAGAGAACATACTCCACAAGACTTTGGTGCTGTTAAATTTATTGATATTTATTTCATAAACCAACATATAGTCTGTCTTCTTCTTCTTTTTTTTTTTTTGAGACAGAGTTTCGCTCTTGTTGCCCAGGCTGGAGTGCAATGGTGCGATCTCGGCTTACTGCAATCTCTGCCTCCCGGGTTCAAGCGATTCTCCTGCCTCAGTCTCCCGAGTAGCTGGGATTACAGGCACCTGCCCGGCTAATTTTTTTATATTTTTAGTAGAGACAGGGTTTCACCATGTTGGCCAGGCTGGTCTTGAACTCCTGACCTCAGGTGATATGCCTGCCGTGGCCTCCCAAAGTGCTGGGATTTCAAGTGTAAGCCACCATGTCCAGCCCATGTAGTCTTTCTTGGTGAAGATTATATGCATATTTGACAATAATACGCATCCTGTTCTTGGAGGACAGAGTGGTCTGTAAATGTTGATTAGGCCATGTTGTTTGAGAGACTTGCTGAATTCTTCAATACCACTATGGATTCTCCGTCTATATGTTCTATCAATTACTGAGAAAGGAGTACTTCAATCTCCAAATATAATTGTAAATTTGTCTACCTCTCCTCCCACTTTGTCAAATTTTGCCTCATGTATTTTGAATCTCTGTTATTTGGTTGCATACACATTTAGAATCATTATGTCTGCTTGGTTTATTTACCCCTTTATTATTATAAAATGTTTTTGGGCCCTGACGTAGCCCTTTTCTTTTTCTAGCTTTTCTGGTATTATCTTTGCCACTCAGAGCTCTCATGTGCAATGTTCCCATGGTGTATCATTTTCTGCTCACTGACTTTTAACATTTCTGTGTGTTTATGTTTAACACGATTTTCTTATAGACACCCCATACTAGTGTCTTGGTTTCTCTTTATAATCAATTCTAATAAACACTTTTTTATGGAAGTATTTAGACTATTTTGATCTAATGTTATTAATATTTTTCAGTCTTAAAACTGTTGTCTAGCTCTATTTCTTTTTATTCTTTGTTTTGGTTTTTATTATAAAAAGTAAATACTCATTAAGTATTTAATATTTATTAATAATTCCACTGTATCTTCACTGTTGGTTTATTAGCTATATCATCTTGCTTTAATTATTTAAGAGTATTTAGGAATTACATGTGTACCTGGGCTTTTCTTTGTGTGAAGTTTTTTTTTATTACTAATTCACTATCTCCTCGTTATAGATATAATCCAATTTTCTATTACTTTTGATGTTGTTTTTGACAGTTTATCACTTTCCAGAAATATTTTCCATCTCATCTAAGTTGTCTACTTTGTTGCACACAATTTTTTATGGTATTTCTTTATCATTCATAGAGAATTCTGTAAGGTTGGGATTGACTGTCCCCTATTCTGTTAATGATTTTAATTATTTGAGTCTTCTTCCTTATTTTCTTAATCTGTTTAGCTAAAGATTTGCCAGTTTTTGTTCATCTTTTTCAGGAACCAACTCTGGTTTCATTAATGTTCTGTATTGTTTTTCTATTCTCTAGTTCATTTATTTGCCATCTAAACTTCACTATTTCCTTGTTTTTTTTTTCTGTTTTTTTGTTTTTGTTTTTGTTTTTGTTTTTGTTTTTTTTACTAATATATTAAGGTGTATGATTAGGTTATTGGTTTGAGATAATTTTTCTTTTTTAAATAGAGTAGATTAACAGCTGTTAATTTCTATCTAAACACTGCTCCAGCTGTACACCATAAGTTCTATTACGTTGCATATTCATTTTTATTTACCTCAAGTTGTTTTCTAATTTTTCTTGTGATTTTTTTTCTTTGATCCATTGGTTGTTTAAGACTGTGTTGTTTAATTTCCACAAATTTGCAAATATTTGTTTTTCTTCTGTTATTGAGCTCTAACTTTATTTCATTATGGTCAGAGAAGATACTTAGCATGATTTTGCTGTTTTTAAAATTATTGAGGCTTGCTTTGCAGCTCACCATTTGGTCCACCATAGAGAATATTCCAACTGCACTGGAGAAGAACAGGTGGTCTACTGGGTGGAATGCTCCACATTTGTTTGTTAGGGCTAGTTGGTTTGTAATGTTTTCAAGTCTTTTGTTTCTTTATTGATCTTGTTGAGTTTTTCTACACATTTTGAAAGCTGAGTATTGAAGCCCACAACTACTGTTGTTGAGTTGTCTATTTCTCCTTTTCTCGTTGTCAGGTTTTGATTCATGTAGTTTGGCACTCTGTTATTACGTGTACATGTTTGAAATTGTTATGTCTACCTGGTGATTAACTCTTTTATCATTATAAAATGTCTTGTCTTTCCCTAAGAATTTTTGTGTCAAATTCTATTTTGTCTGATATTAGTATAAGCATTCCAGCTCTTTTTGATGACTATTTGCATGCTGTATCTTTGCTTTTAATCTTCGGGTGTCATTGAATCTCAAGTGTTCAACTTGTAGACACAAGATAGTTGAGTTTTTTTTTTCATTTATTCTGCCAATTTTTGCCTGTTTATTAATATGTTTAGTCTATCTATATTCAAAGTATACATTTAATATTCACCCCCATAATACATTGTTAGTGTTTTGGCTTTAAATATTGACATTTTAAAATGAGAAGCCTACTTTCATAATGTAAGTCATGATTTCAGGGACTTTTTTTTTGTTTTTGTTTTTGTTTTTTTTCTGTTGATACCCTAGTTCTATCTAAATAACTTTATTTACCTTTACTATAGTGTATCCTTGCTGGCAACATATTTCTTCAGCTTTAATATGTTTGAAAAATGTATTATTTACCTTCCTAGGGATATTTTACTGGATAGAGAATTCTAGAAGTATGTCTATGTTTCTTTTAACTCTTTTATTATGTTGTTCCATTGAATTTTGCCTTACCTAGTTTCTAACCACATAGCTATGGCCTTTCTTGTATTTGGTCTATTGTAAGTAATATGATTTTATTTCTTGATATTTTAAAGATTTCTCTTTATCATTATTTTATGATGTAAACTTGCTTTGATTTGGTCTTTTGGTTTGTTTCTTTTATTTTGTTTTTCTGCGTGGAATTCTTGGCTGTATAGTCCCATTGTTTTTATCAAATTTTAAATACTCTCTGTGGTTATTTCCTCCTATATTTCGTTTTCTACCTCCTCTCATTTGGGTTTCCTATTATGTATACATGAGCCCCTTTGCACTGTTTCCTAAATACCTGTCATTCTGCTTTTCTTTCCTACTCTTTTAATTTTCCCTGAATTGATTTGGGATAGGTTATATTGTTACAAGTTTAAGTTTACAATCTTTTCTTCTGCACTGTCTAATCTGCAGTTATTCCTATTTCTATCTCTAGATGCTCCACGTGGTTCATTTTTATGTTTTGCTTTTCCCCTCATTATATTGATGTTTGCCTTTAAACTGTTGCGTGTATTCAGTGTGTGTATTACAGCGTTTTCCTAACTTTGTCTGCTAATTTCATCATGCCCGTCTCATTTCTGAGTCTTTCTGCTGATTGAATTTTCATTTGGTCATGGATCACGTTTGCTGTTTTTTGCCTGACCAGTTGTTTTTTATTGGCTGAGTACTGTATTTTGTTGTATTCCTAGAAAGAGTGGTGGACTTAGTTCTTGTAAACTTAGGTTACTGGTTCGTCAGTTTTATTTCTCAAACTGATGCATGTCTGTATACCTGTCTTTTAAAATGTCTAGAATGCATTTCAGGGAGGCCTTACTCTGCTGAATATCACCTTTGTTCAATGTCGTCTCTTCACGGTGGCTAATTGGCACTTGAACCTTTCTCAGTCCTCTGTAAGCTGTGGGTGTTTTATAGCTAATGTATTTTCCTTCTTCAGAAGTTATTTTTTGTTTAGACTCTTGATGTTTCTCCCTATGGGTATGCAGATTGGAATATCCAAATACTACAGGGGAAGCTATACAGATTTCTTGGCATGGCTTCTTTCGTACACTGCTCTGCAAATTCTAGTTACTCTGGTCCCTCAAAACTCTGATCTCTGTCTCCTCAGCACAGTGATTCTTCTGGGCTCTGTTTGGCTTCGTCTTCTGCTGTGGTCCTAAAATTACCTCCAGATATAAAGCCAGAGTACATGTAGTGCTCACTTCCTATGTTTTCTTGTCTTGAGGATTAGTCACCCATTGCTTTCTGTCCAGTATATAAAATTTATTGTTTTATACATTTCATGCACCCCTGTAGTTGTTTATGCTTGAGATTAACTTTGAAATCTACAAGATACTTTTAAATAAAGGACATCAAACTCCAATTCAAAACACGTGTGTTCTGTCTCTATCCACAATCACAGATATATTTCTAAAATACGTGTTTCTAAACATCTACATCCTACTTGTTGGCTTCTGTGTGCCATCCTCAGGAGGCCTTTTCTCATATCATGGGCTGGGCCTGCCTCTCTGCCATATACATTTTACACTCTGGATCTCATGTTTGCTATCCGTATCCCACTTGTACTAACGTGTTGAGTGTCTCCCTAAGAGACTGTGAGCTCTGAGAGGGCAGAAGACGTTGTGTCAGTCTTGTGCCCCTGCTCTCCCTGCAGAGCCCAAAACATGGCCTTGTGCCTAGGCTTACAACAAATATTTATGAAATCCATACGTATACATAAGAAACAAATGTGTTATCAATTAATATTACCAGTTTAGTAGCCTTGGAAAATGTCTCATAAAAACTTTATGTCAGAGTTTCCCTTATCTGGAAATCAAAGAGATGAGCGAATATCATTAAAGTTTTTTATACTCTAAAATTGTTTCTCCGATTTTCTTTGATTTTCACAACTATCTGCTGAGAAAGAAAGATACTCATTTTAATTTTCAGATTATAAGTGAGAAAAACATTTTTCAAAAGGATTAAGCAATCTGTTTAAAATTGCATAGCTAATTAGTAAAAAGGCTTGGGCTCAAAGTTGTTTGACTTTATACTTTATTTCGAGAAATACATTATTATATGGAGAAATCCCTTCTACTGTAGCTTAACTCCTCCTTTAAAAAAGGAAAACAAGCAAACACAAAAAATCTTTGTGTTTATATCCTGCTTCTTCAAGAGATTGTGAGCTTCTTGAAGGCCAGAGCTGTAAATTATATATTTTTGTGATTTCCCCAAAGTCTCAAATGTGTTCTACACAGTGCAGTAAATAATTTGATATAATTCTCTGCAGGAAAATTGATCCAGTGCTGAAAACCAGTAAACAATTCTCATTAACTGTCTCTGTACCTCATGTGTCACACAGAATTTGTCCTATGGTAAGTGATTAAACCTGGTTGTTAAAGCAATGAATGATTTATCTAGCAGAATGTCAAGTTTTGAAGCCCTCCCACCTGGACCCTTTAGCCTCAAGGCTGCCATACCACAGCCCAGGTTCTGTTGAGAAAGATGTTGCCGGACAGTCTAGGTACGGGTGTAGAATTTGCCCTTCCTAATTTGTTTATCCTCTTCCAATCTTCATTGCATCCTTTATCTGGTAGCAGATTATTTTTTCAGGGGTTAAAACTTCATGTGCTTTCTAGGACTAGATAGGTAACATGAATGTGTAAATCTGTGGTCATAAAACAATAGGGTGGGACGATTCCTGTAGCAAACTAGAGCTGAGAAGGCCCTATGCATAGGTAAAAACAAATTTTAAATGCTAAAATCACCCCACCTTCCTGAGCAAATAAAATGTCTGTGCATCAAGCTAAGCCTGGGGCCCGCAAGTTCATGTCCCCTGCTTGGGGTCATTCCACACCTTTGCTCAGATGTTTGCCGTGTACTCCACCCGGCTACACAGACACATTCAGACTTCTCAGCTGGGCACACAGGCTGCTCCGAAGTCTGGTCTCAGCCCAATTTCCCAGCTGCTTCTCCCCTCTGCTCCCACACACAGCCTCCCACACTCCTGTCCACCTCTACTGTGGGCTGTCCCTGAGCCTGACACTGTGCATCTCACCTGCTGGTCTGCTCTGCTAGACGGGTAACATGAATGTGTGAATCCGCTGGCCTGCTCCGTGCTCTGCATGCTGGAATCTGACTGTTGGAATCCTGGGTTGCCTCAGCTGCGCTCTCCACAATGAGGCCTTTTCGACTGACTCCTGCAGGGTGCATGTGGACCTTTCCCTTTGGTTTGCATAGCCCTGGGAGGCTATTTATTTTCACTCTCGAAGCCATTTTCTGTACCTTCACCACCAGTTTACACTTCAGGAAACTAAGACATTGAAAGCTAAGTGAGCTGACCAAGGCTGCATTTTGAGAAATGGCTTTTCTTTACCAGTACCTGCACACTTGATAACTGCATACCTTCCCTACTGGTTTAAAACTATCTGTGGGCCCTTGTCCAATGTTTGTACTGTCCACAGCACTTTTCACAGTGTTTGGCACACTGTAGATGATCAGTGAATGTCTGAAGGTCGAATGGAGTTTATGCTGAATAGGTGTGCGTCTGTGTGTGTGTGTGCGTCTGTGCGTGTGTGTGTGTCTGCATTTCAGGTAATAGAGTCTCATTATTCCTTCACAAAGGCATTGGTATTTGGAATTGACATCCAGAGCTGGTTTCCTTCAAACTCATTTTTTACCTTGATTTCCTCAGTGATGATGATGACATACACCCATTGGCCCATCTCTATCTTTAACTCACCACTGGATCCATCCTTTTCTCTTTCTTTTAACCTGCTTGAATGCAAACCAAGCCTTTGATGCAACGACAGCTTTGCTGATGTACGTGGTGTTGGTGACGTCATGGTTTCCTAAGTAACAATCAATCTGCTGTGCTAAAACTCTACGGAAGAAAGCCATTAAAAAGGATTGTGTGAGTGGTGTGTGTGTGTGTGTGTGTGTGTCTGTGTATACCTGAAAACAAACACACTAAGTGTCCATGCACACACACTGGTCATCTTTTTAAAGAATATCATCAACAAAATTTCACTGTAGCAGCATCAGTGAGATGAGTCCCAGTGGATGAAGTGGTTTCCATGGAAATGTGTTATTGTGCTTTGGAAAAGCAGCTTGTTCTGCACATGAGAAAGATGTAAAATAGGGGCTCAAATCCCATGTGAACTCACACCACTGCAAATATAGCCTCTAAGCACCTGGAACAGGCAAAGGCAGAGGCTGGAGTTTAAGAAATAGGGTCAGTTCCACCAGCATGCCCGGGACCTTGGCTGTTGTCATTTACTTGTTCCTTGTTGTCAGAGACCCCAGAAGCTGGGAGCTCTCCGAGATTAGGCACTGCACCTTGAGTCACGATGGTTGTTATTATTTTGTATTACTTATCAGCCATGTATAAGTGCTTTACATATATTATCTCATTTAGTTATCACACAGCCTTAAATGCGAGTTAGGTTCTTAAGTCCTTTCTGTAGTTAGGGAGGTTAGAACTATGTTTAATTGCCTTGGGGCCTTGCTAATGCCTGGCTGCTGGTAGGTGTTTAGATGGATAAATGGATGCAGGAGTGAATGAGGGAGCAAGGGAAGATGTGGCAGAAAAGGCAGGTTGTTACTGGGAAGTCTCTGCCCAAGCCTGGGGAGCAGGGTACAGGATCGGAACCATCAGACATTCATGCTGATAATGGGGGCCGAGGAGCTTGGGGACTGAATGGCTTGACCAAATCTTTCCAGCACCTCCCTAGAATATTGGTTGACAGCCCCCAAGAGAACAACCTGTTTAGGTCAGCTGAAGCTGAACCACTCAATCTCAATTCATAAGTCCACCGAGGAATACATTTTTTTTTCTCCAGCAAGCTTTAATACAAGAGGCCTGAATTCTCAGCCATAGAACCTGTTCTCAGCCTGTTTTTCTGGCTCTGGCTGAGCCCCAGCCAGATAGAAGATATTTCTGAACATGGAGGGTGGTTTAGGAGCTGTCAGCATCTAGTTCACAGAAATGGCCAGGAGGTGTTCAAATACCAGAGCAGAGGGGACAGTGGGAAGAGACATTTTCAGCAACTATGGGCTCTTCCTCTGAGATTAAAAAAATACAAAAGGCAAAACTCCTTTTTTGCTCGATGTTGATAAGAATGTACACTTTTGGCAGGGTGTGGTGGCTCACGCCTGTAATCCCACCACTTTGGGAGGCCAAGGCGGGTGGATCATCAGGTCAGGAGATCGAGACCATCCTGGCTAACATAGTGAAACCCCATCTCTACTAAAAATACAAAAATTAGCTGGGCATGGTGGCGCATGCCTGTAATCCCAGCTACTCGGGAGGCGGAGGCAGAAGAATCCCTTGAACCAGGGAGTTGGAGGTTGCAGTGAGCCGAGATCACGCCACAGCACTCTAGCCTGGCAACAGAGCGAGACTCTGTCTCAAAAAAAAAAAAAAAGAATTTACACTTTCTTCCATTATTACTGTGCCTTAGGACAGCAAAAAGGCACCACCCAGATTGAATGTGGTCTTGCTCAACCCAGGGGTACAGAGCACTATGGCTGTCTCTCCTTCAGCCACAGAAGGTGGGGTTCACGTCCCCCACTGAACCAGGCCAGGCCCAGCCGCTTAAGGTGTAAACCAGGGAAAGACCTGGTGCTGCCAATTAGTGCATGCATGGGACGTGCATCCCTCTAGCTCCTCACTGTGATTTCATGGTTCCATTCCATCCAAGACTCCTCAGCACAACTCGCCGTCCTCACCCGGGATGTGACAGAGGAGCCTGAGAGCAGCCAGGACAGAGGGAGCTGCGGGACCCAGAGGGCCAGTTCCTGCTTCTGGAGAAGCAGCCAAGGGGGCTGTTCCTTCCTCTCCAGACAGCTGCTGGGGTCCAGGCCATGGTGGAGAGAGGAACAGAACCATGCTTCTGATATTTTATAGTGTAAAAATCAGGGAACATTTTTAGGCCATTGCTATGGTCAAAGTTCTGGTGAGGTTATTTTTTTATTAACTGACAAATAATGATTGTATATATTTTGGGGTACAATGGGATTTTTTGGCATACACATACATTGTGGAATGTTTGAATCAAGCCAGCTGACATATCCATCACCTCACATACTTAACATTTTTTTGAAGTGGGAACGTTTAAAATGTACTCTTTTAGCAATTGTGAAATATATAATTATTATTAACTATCGTTCTTTGCTGTGCAGTAAGTCACTGAAACTTATTCTCGGGTGAGGTTTCTTGATCAAATCTTGCCTTAAATATTCTTACAACCTATGTGGTAGATGGGTATATAAAAGCTAAATGTTTTCAGGAAATAATACATGGTTGAATTTAGGCCAAAATCAAGTTCTTCAAGTGATTCATCTTCATTTCAGCTGGAAATTCTGTGTTTCAAATCCCTGTCTTTGGCCCTTCCTGTTTTCATGGGGCCTAAGGGAAGCCTATTCATGGAACCCAAGAACGTTCTTCGGCTTCCAGTTTTGCAATGTACTTCGCACTCTGCTCTTTCTCAGTGTGCTCTGCTAATAAAGTCTCTCCCCAGCTGCCTCATCTGTGCTCCAGCACAGCCAATGCCAGGCAACAATGGTGGATGTGCACCTGCACCTGCTCAGGTCTCCTCCTACTGCGGTGAAGAGGAAGACACCTGCAGAGACCTGCACATCTGGATGGGCAAGGCCATGTCCAGTCTGGCCTCTGTGTCCTTGGACCGTGAGGTTTCTCCTCCTCCTTGTCTCCTCGAGCCAAGCCCATGCAGGATGATGGGGCTGGGCTATCCAAGCCCACTACGTCCACCCAGGGAATTGCTTTGTTTTCTGTGGGAACAGAATGGAAGGACTTTTATTTCTAGAAGACATTATCTCATCTCCTATATTAATCCGAGATGTATTAATGACATTTTTGACCCAAAAATATGCCTTTGAAATGAAGCAGTTATCTATTGAAGAAACTTTATTTCTAACGGAGAACAGAGCTGGACTCTGACAAGTTCCAGAGTGTCTCAGGAAATAGCAAATCTATCCTGGAATAGGAGCAAGAGAGCTTTGAAAGCAAAGAGCTGAGGATTCCAGCTGCAGGAGGCACTCTAGGGAAGGCGGCTGGAGCCAAGCCAGTGTCATCTGCCAACAGTGGCCACATTCTTAGGACAGACCAGGGAAAAGGAGGCCTTTCTGGTAACCTTGTTCACCCCAAATCTTCATTCCTACTTGCTGAGATTTTTTAAGTACCAAAATATCTGTGATTCTAGATGTTGACATAAAAATAGCCTTCAAGCTTCACCCAGTCCTTGGGGGCTCTATGCAGCAAAGTAAGCTGGTGAGGAAAGGCTGGCTGAGCTTCCTCTGGGAGCCGGGGCAGATGCTCATTGCCAAGTGTGGGGAGGCGATCCTGGAATGGGTCCAAATAAACATTCAATAAACTTGTCAGCCCGCTGTGGGGGTCCCTGCGAAGGACAGGCATCTCCCCTGTTTGCGGTGTCCTGGCAGTGACCTCACTTACTTCATGAGGGGCTGCCCCAGCACCTCCTACCACGGCCACGTTTCTGCCCAGGGAGCGTGTCATCGGGGGCTCCAGCTGTGCTGATTTTTATTTTGTGGCAGGAAATCAGCACTCCCCAGGCACCGCGTGGGCTGGGTAAGGGTGGAACGGTTCAGGGGAAGAGCAGAGCTCACGTCTGGAGTATGAGTAAATCTCCGACCCTCATGTCTGTCTGATTTTGTTTTTAAGAGTTTTGGGGAAGCTGGTATTCAGGATGGGTCCTGACTGGCAGTGAGCAGCACCTGCGGGCACTCGGGAGGGAGCAGGGAGCAGGTGGAGAGACGGAGCAGGAGGTGGACCAGACAGAACAGGAGGCGATGAGGAAAGCGAGGGGAAGACAGGGATGAGAACGGGGCAGACAAGAGGCAGAGGAAAGAAATGGGAACTAAAAGGGAAAAGGGAGGCAAGAAAGGATCAGAAAGTGTACTGTGTGGAGGACATGAGGGAAAGTCAGGGAGAATGCAAGGAGACAGCTCTGCCCGAAAGGTGAGATAAAAAGAACCGATGGCAGAACCTGAAATGTGAAAGGAAATGTGAATAAAACAGAAGGAAGAGTGGCTCGTCTGAGTGCGGAGAGCGGGAAAGCAGCCAGCACGTGAGTGTGCTCACGGCCGGGGATCGGGGGGATGCAGGGGCTGGACGATGCCCCTTCCCTGCTGCCCACATTTTGCTCATCTGAGAAGCTCCACAGCTGAGGTAGATGACCAGGCGGAGACAGGTGGAACTCCTCCCACCCATCCCCAGGCTTCCTCGTGGTGGCCAGGCTGACATGTCAGTAGTGAACCCCGAGGCTCCTTCTCCAACTTTGTCTCTGGCATAGAGATCATCCAGGGGCCGGAACGCAGCCTCTTCCTGAAGGTGAACTGAGGCTACATCCTTCAATGGCCCAGGAGCACCTGTTGAGGTGGGCATACCCTCCTTGAGTGCTGGCAGGCTCTAAGCCTCTGCATGCTGGCTCAGAAGTGCACCTGAATGGCCGGGAGCAGCGGCTTATGCCTGTAATCCCAGCACTTTGGGAGGCCGAGGTGGGGGGATTGCCTGAGCTCAGGAGTTCACGACCAGCCTGGGCAACATGGTAAAACCTCGTCTCTACTAAAATACAAAAAAATTAGCCGGGTATGGTGGTGTGTGCCTAAAGTCCCAGCTACTCGCAGGCTGAGGCAGAAGAGTTGCCTGAATCTGGGAGGCGGAGGTTGTGGTGAGCTGAGATAGCGCCACTGCACTCCAGCCTGGCAACAGAGCAAGACTCCATCTAAAACAAACAAACAAACAAACAAACAAACAAACAAACAAACAAACAAACAGTGCACCTTATGAGCAAGGATGCCCTTTGCTGTACAGGAGCTCCCTGTAGTTCCGCTCTTAGCCTACCTTCAGCCTTGCAGGGAGGTGCTGGGTGCCCCTAGCATTGCTCCCAGAGCCAGGTCCTGGGGAAGGACAAGGGCTCTAGGAAGGAGTCTGGAGGGAAAATGAGGTGAAGTGAAGTGCCCTGAACAGGTGAGCACAGCAGCAGGTCTAGATCCACAGAGAAACTGGGACTCAGCACTAAGCACCAGTGTACAGGCAACGCGGCCCATGGACATTAAGGAGGCATGAACTCACCTCCTTCAGGAGGCACGCTTCTCCCCGGAGCTTGCTCTCACTGTCTCTGGGCTTCTCTGGGGGGAACTGCAGCCTGGTAATGCAGGGGGATGGGGACCAGCCCCTAAGTGAATAGAGGATCTCAGGTTGAAGGCAGGGACTGTGGAGGTCATCAGGGCCATCCCACTGCTCTGGCTTGACCCCATGCCCCTGGGCTGGGAAGGACAGAAGTGCATGGCTCCGGAAGAAGAGGAGGGGAAGAGTGGAGCTACCAGGAAGGAGATCCCCTCTGCTGCATCCCACCAAGCCATTCGTCCCCATAAAATAACAACCTTGGTTATAACTGCAGAGACCCAAATATGGGAAAAAATTCCAAGGTCTGTTATCCCTCAATTTGTAATTAGAAAAACCATGTTTGAGCCCAAGCTGTGTCTCTTACCAATGGGATCAATTTTATTAAATCACCCAATCTCTCTGAGCCTCAGTTTCTTCTCCTATAAAGTGTTGTTGATGGTGCGCACATTTCAAACTCATTGTGGAGAAAAAGGACAACATAGGGCCACTATCAACAACCCTTCTGGAATGTAATTTGTGCTAATACACAAAAGTTTTTTACCATTGCTATGCGTAAAGAACCTGATTATCTGAACAGCCAATCATGTAAACCATATTTCAGTCACTTTGATAACCAAGAGGAAACATGTCTTTCACTAAGAAATATTGTTCTGGGTTATGCTGCATCTGTAGGCTCCTCCACCTCACCCCTGCCCACATTTGCTCACACTCTGCGTCGCGGAATGCAGTAGGTGGATCCTCAGGGATCTCTGCAGTTAAGGAGAAGCCCTTGGCCATACATAAGGCTCTTCCGCAGTGCAGGAGAGCTCATTCTCCCACTCCCCCTCCACTTGAGTGACTAAAATTGAATCAGTAGAATTCAGCAGATTAAGAAAATTGGTGTCATCCCACAGCTTCATTACCTTGCAGGAGATAATAGCACCTCCAGATCCCAGAGGGCAATTACCAAACTATAACACATCATTCATGAGCTAACCATACATCCGCCCCCTCTGTGAGCTGAATCCCTGCCACCCTCCCTTGGTGCAGAAGACTTTACTTCCAGAGAGCACCCCCAGCCCAGCAGTGCCGTGCACATTCCTCCCCCGACACTTCCCAAGCATAGGCAGATGCAGCCACTCTGTCAGCCTCAGAGCATGAGGACCTAGTTGCAGGTTGAGCGCCTGAACCCAAAATGAGATAATACCTTTGCAAAAACTGTCATGTATTGTCTTAAGAAAGCAATTATAATCAGGGCTGGGGTGCAGCTATGTCTCATAAATGACTTTGTATAGGACACTGCAGGCCACCAGGAACATCCCCATCTTTCATTTGTGTTTCCTGCAGAGAACTTCTCTCTCTCAGAGAACTTCTACATGGCTGAATTCCACGTGGGCCCCACATGTGTACCGCAAGTGGTGTGGTACACAGTGCAAACTTCATCACCAGTGAGGGACTGAGACCAGTTCTCTTATGACTCAAGTTAAAAAATAATAATGAAGTTTTTTTTAAAAGCAAGCGTTTTCAAGGGCCTTCCAGTAGCTTGGGGGAGAAGATATGTATTTTCTTGGATAGGCAAAGCAAAACATATTGATTATGACAATGCAGTGATTTTTGGAAGCAAATCTAATGAGAATAGTTGCCTTTTAATGTCAGGCCACCCCAACTGGGATTCCTTGGCTTATCATCCCTTTTTGTTTACCCTTTGTAATCACTGAGGCTCAGTCCCTATGGGTACTGATGTTGGGTGAATTGGAGGAACCGGAACATTAAGTAATTCACCAACTGAAGACACAGCCATTCTGACTTTGCAAGCTCATCCTCTTCTACTTAAACCTGTACAGCTGAGGTTCTTCAAGGCTGGGTTGTAGTCCTCTTTTTCTCCTTTGTCCAGACTCTTCTATGGAGAGTCATTCAAGTCATTATATGCTAGTATAGTAAGTGTGAACGACATACATATATCTTCAGCACCTACTTGTCTTCTGAGCTCCAGACCTACATATTCAAGTGCCTTTCTGATTTCTCTCCTTGGATGTTTCCAAAGCACATCATACTGGTCATGTCAAAAGCTAGATCAGTGACCCCTCACTGACCACTCCCCAGCCTGCTTATCCTCTTCTGTGCCCATAATGCTGAGCACCCAATGGCAAGACATGAAGCATGGCAGTCACCCTTGACCTCTTCTCCTTTAGCCGCACATTCAATTCCTTACCAAGTCATCTACGAACTAAACGTTTATTAAACATACCCATTTCTCTATACCGCAACCATAATTTTAGTCCAAGCTATAATCATTTTCTGCCTGAGATGCTGAAATGGCCATCTATATGGCCTGGTGTCCAGCATCCCCACCTGCACCAAAAGTGACCTGCTCAATACTTAACTATGGTGACGCTGACCACGTTATTAAACATTATTCAATGGCTTCTCATTAGTTTGAGGATAAAGCTAAACATTTTTCATGTTGTCTGTGAAGCAAGTAAAGGCTGACATGAACCCTCATGTAGATTCCACCGCAATGAATCCTGCACACCCCAGATGACAACTTCAGCACCAAGGCCACATGAAAATATTTGGGGCATAGAACATTTATCTTAATTGGCTATGTTAAAGGGATAAAGGAAGTCTTGGATCTTTGGGCTTCTGGCCCTTCCAATCAATAGCACATAAAATACGTAAAGCATTGCTTTTGGTTGACAGTAAGAACAATAAATCCTCAATAAATCACATTAATGAGAAGTCCTCAATTATAGAAATCAATAAGACTCTCAGAGGTAATGCAAACATAACTCAGGAACCTGGAATAAACTGGGACATGACCATGTATTTCTATGCATACAGAAGTTATAAATATGCATGTGAACACTGGGTGGGGGTTATCCAAAGATGGTAGGAAACTCCTGTGAATTTCAAATCCCCTAAAAATAATTTTGCTGTGAAGTCTCAACTCAGCTGATATTAATTATTTAACAGCTAATTTAACATAGTGGTTAAGAACGTGACTCCGGAGCCACAGTACCCAGCTCATATTCTGACTTTACTAACTCATTCTGGTTCTCTGGGCAAATTACTTAACCCACCTGCGCCTTGGTTTCCTAAATAATGAGAAGGATTGTAACAATAGTGCCCACTTCATTAGAGCTATTGAGATAATTAAATTATATACAAAAGACATTTAAAAGAATATCTAATATATAAGAAGCACTACATAAAATATTAATATTGCCTATGTTTTTATGTGAGTATGGTCAGCAGCATAATGCTTCCTCAAAGGACATTCCCTGTCCCAAATCCCTAGAATCTATGAATGTGTTGCCTTGTGACAAACGGACTTTGCAGATATGATTACAGTTTAATCCCTGAGATGGGAGATAAGAGGTGCTGCTTATGACATAGACCTTGATGATGAGGGCTTTTAGGCCTGGCCTGGTGAATAACTACATATGCTTCTGCTCCTCCGAATGAAACTAATTTTTCTCCTCTGAGTTTGATGTGGTTTGAAGGCATTTTGGTTGAGGAAAGAGCAAGGGTCGAACCAGTAACAGGCTGGCTATGGGAGAAGCCTGTGGATGGCAGGCCAGAATTAGGGGCAGGCAAATTTAGGAGTGGAAAGTTGCTCTGGGGAAGTAATAATATTACAGAATGTTTATTTTGTGCTTATTACAGACTAGGTGCTACTCACCCCACTTAATCCTTAGAACTCGTAATTATTTCCCTAAACAGATGGAGAAACTAAGGTATGGATGGTGTCATGCACAAGGATGCGTCGCTGGTGAGTTGCAGGTTTGGTAGATCTGAGATTAAAGCCTGCACAGTCTCGTGCCAGAGCCTGCACCCTTGGCCCCACCCTACACTGCAAATTGACCTGGATTACATCATGTGGTGTTTGAATGACAGGATTTATTGTCGAGGCAATGGGTAAGTACACAAAGGTCTGGATAGGATGTGGCCATATCAGAGATCTGCCCCAGGAAGACTGCTCTGGCATCGATGCCAAGATAGAGTCAGTGGACCAGGGGAAGCAGAGACCAGCTCAGAGCAGGATTCCCAGTGAAGGAAAGGACGAAGAGGCAAACGGGAGTCTGTGAGGGGGTGGTGATATTTGTGCTGGAAGAGGTGTCTGAGTTGCTTATCTGGGAATCACTGTAGAGAATTGTCAGGCCAAGTTTTGAATTAAGCATAAGGAGAAATAATTTATGTAGCTATAAAAGCCCAGAGTGGGTGACTGAGTTGGTGGCTTACATGGTCTCTAAATTGAGTAATGCTATGTCAGAGACAGGAAGGCAAAGGCATCTCAGCCGTGGGATTCATCTGCAATGTCTTCTTCAAGGCGTAAATATGTTTTTATTAGCTTTATGCATATAACCATAAGGAATTAGAACATCAGAGAGAAGAAGACCCTCATAAAATTGGGATCTTTTTTAGCACAGGTGCCAGGATGTCAGGTATCAGGTCACTTTCAGATGATTCACCACAGCGTCCCTTTCCTTGCTGCTGGTGGTCACTCTACACAAGGCCAGTGGGCAGGCTGAAACCACCAAGGTCAGCAACCCAGGACAGGGAAAGGCAGAAGCCTTTCTTTCCACTCTCTTTCCCAGGGTATTGGGAGAGCTAAACCATCCAGGCATTGGTCTTTCCACTGCAGAAAATTTTTCTTCCCCAGCCAAGGACCTTAACTATTAGCCCAATGGGTGACTCTTGAATCTGGGACCACTAGGTCCCTCACTGCATGGAGATTAGTTATCAAAGGCACTGCTACGCTGAGCAGTCTGTTGCAGAGCTGACTTCGGTTTGATGTTAGGTCGTTTTGACTTTATCCTTAGAAACAGCTGCTGAGAGTGTCTGCCAGTGTTCTACAATGTGCCGAAGAAGCCAGCCAGCATCTTTTTACCCTGCCTGTACCTCCAAATCACTGGGGAACCTATGCCTCACCCGAGGCCGATTGACCCAGAACGGCTTTGGCTAAGACACAGGTGTTAATAGTCTTTAAAGCACTCTTTGTGAAATCTAATTTGCATTCAGAGCTAAGAAACACTGTGCTAGATTTTTTTAAAGATGCACACAGCTATATGCCATGATTCTTCTTCCGGTTGAAGGAGACAGAACTTGTGAACATAAGAATTATCAGCCACAGGAGGTAGCAGATGCCAAATGCTGAGCGCTATCACTAAATGCCAATCATGAGGAGACACGAACTAATATGAGGTGATGCAGGAAGTCTTCCCAGAGGAGGTGAGACTTGTGACAGGAAGGGAAGCAGGGTTAGGACTTAAACAAATGGAGGGGGCATCTTTGATGTCAGAATCCCAAGAGCAAATGCACCAAGGCTGTGCATGTAAGGTGAAGTGAGGAACTGACCCTCAAGCCCACCTCTGCTGGGGGAAACAAGGTGGTTCAGTGTCGTGAGTGCTTTTTCCATGCTGAGGAGACTGGGGAGATGAGACGGTCTCATTGATCTGCTAGGGATGTGTTCCTGGCTCCAGTTCCAGCTCGTAGTCCACCTCGGAAGGACTGTGGGCTTAGATCACACCCTCCCCTCCCTCCTCATGGATAGGCGAGGGCAGAGATGAGACAGAGAAGGAGGAGAGCTGAGGGGTCACCAGCAATGTCCCTGGACGGGGCCCTCAGAAAGGCGTGGCAGCCCAGGCTCGCTCAGGGAGAGCAGTGAGCGATCGTGGCCCCACAGGCTTGGAACTAATTCATCCGTGAGCCCTTCCTGTTTCCTTTAGCTGGCCGATCTTAAACTAGACCGCCACGAAATGGAGCCCTGAGACCCACTCTCGGTTTTCGGATTTGGTGAGTCTGGGGCAGCGTGGGGATGTGGACACCCAACAATCTCCCACGTGACAGTGATGCTGCGGCTGCGACCTGGCTCTGAGAGGTGCTGGGTGCATTTCATCCTGCGCGCTGAGTTCGTATTGAGGAAAGATCTTTTTGAAAGTTTCCATCTTAGCTGTGCTGAAGGAAAATGAAGACAGGGGTGTCTGCTCACACCTGGATGATCCAGAGAGAGAAAGCTGATCCCACAGTCCTGAGGGCTGGTGCAGTGGCAGCAGAGGGATAAACAGCAGGCGACTCTGTGGGTACAGAGATATGGGCTACGCGCTGGCATCATCACAGCCTGGGGTATGCGGAGCTTTGCTTCAATGATGGAAACAGTTTCCTTCCCATTGTCAGGGATTCCAGGGAGTTTGTTGTTGTGGCCAGACATGGGGTCCTGATTAGAGAGGAGAGGGATACAAGAAGGACAGACTGAGGCAAAATTTCTAGATAGCTTTAGACTAGAAACTTAGGGGCTTAGATTTGAATAAATGTTCTAACGTTTGACGGCAGTGTGGTTTTAATCCTGTCATTTATTCTCCCTGAGCCTTGTGTCTAATCTTTGAAATGGAGATGACAACGATGACAATGATGATGATGATGACAATGACAGCAAATAGTCGTAGCCAGCACAAACAAGAGCATGAAGCCTGCACACCCTGCAACAGGCCTGCGTCTCCTCCCAAAGCAATGCCCCAAGCACATCCTCGGACATTCCCTGTCCTGGGTGGCCGGAGGGCAAGCGAATGAGCTGTCCTCGTGATCCTGGATCCCTCCCTAGGGTACTTGGGGTGCCGCATGAGGCGGTCAGGGTGGTTGGTGTCAGGAGAAGAATGTTGAGGAACTGGTGAGGGCATGAAGGAGGAGGACAGTGGAGGAGAGAGGGCATCCTGGAGAAAGTCACCTTGGAGCTGAGATGGGAGCAAATGATGGCTTGCAAGGCAGTCAAGAGAGAAGGGCACTCTGCGTGGAGACAGTGTCATATATGACTGCATCAATATTAAAAGACCAGGAGGGCACGATCAGTGAGTGTCACAGCGTGTGTGCTTGCTGCTGTAAAGGAAGGGCTCTGGGTGAGTCAGGTGAGGGCCTTGCGTGCCCTGCCAGGCAGTCGTGGGTGCCGAGCAAGTATCGGCTGTTGTCCTTTATCTAAGCAGGTGCACCCTGACCATGCTAGCCTGACAGCCCCACCCCACTGCAGGATGCTTTTGCCTATTTCAGCTCCAATCTGGTCTGCGGCAGTGACCATTGTGTCCTCTGGCTGGTGCTGGAAGGTCAGGACTGATCTTTTCTAGTCTGGATGGCTGGGCCTCTCTTCTGCTGGGGTCAAGTCCCCACCTCTGAGTGTAGTGAACCAAACATGGGTTAGTCTTCTGCAGGCCAAGGACCATACTGGGCACAGCAAGGAAGAAGAGGATGTCCAGAGCAGCCTCTCTTTCATAATCCTGTGGAAAAGACGAAGGGAAAACTGTGCTTACGTTTGTGCCACGTGCCAAACCATGGGCCAGGACATCACTGAGATTTTATTTAATGTGAAAAACAATGCTCTAAACCAGTATCATTCTTCCTGTTTTATAGAGAAAGAAACTAAGGCTCAGGGGTGCTCCTAACCGGCCCAAGCCACGGCTGAGAGAGAGTGGGCCAGACATCTATAAAGGACGATGATGAAAGCCAACCCAGCCCCTGTGACGCCCTTGGTTTTCATCCATGGCGTTAAAGCAAGATAAAGACCTCGCATGGGAATAAAGTTTTCTGGGCTTGTAAGGGGAAGGATGATAAATTACACTGTGGAAAACGGGGCCAGTGACTCACAGCTGGAGGTGAGCTCCGCTGCCAGCCACTTCCCTGCTGGCTCATGGCACAGAGCCCCTTCCCTCCAGGAGCAGCCTCTTGTGTATCTGACTCTGGCCTGGCCCAGCATACTGTCTACACTGCAGACAGAAAGCATGTGGCCTTAAACCTGGCACAGAGTGAAAGCTCAATAGCCATGAGCTGTTGTTTTAAGTGAGAGTGTGAATCAGGGCAGGTTCTGTCCTTCCTGAAGCACCTTCTCTTACTTTCTGGTGCCCTTCATAAGAAACCCCCCAATTCTGGCCTCGCCCACCCTCCCACCTCGCTCCCCGTTTGTCAGGCTGAACTGCTGCCCTTCTCCACATGCCACACTGCTCTCTTCCGTGCCTTCACTTTGTGCTCTCTGAATTCCTTTGTTCTCTAATCCATCTGACCAGCTTCTCCTCCCAGATGGCACCTCTAGCCTGGCCTCTCATTCTCTGCACTTTGTATTTCCTTCTCCCTAACACTCCTCATAGCCACAGGGATGGTTCAGGGTCCTTCTCCCCAGGGGCTAGGGCCTCCTAAATTCAGGCTGTGTCTTGCCGAGACTCCAACCCAGTGCCCCGCAAAGCTTAAGATCCTTAGTGAATGCTCAGGAAATGTTTGCAGAAGGAAAAAATGCTTTTCTCCAGCATCAGCGTCCTTTCTTTTTTCACGTTCTGCCTTTGGCAAGCTCTCGTCCCACCACTCAACCTTCCCAGCTGGGTTTAGTCTCCCTCCTGGGCCATGAAACCTCCTCCCCACCCTGCCCTCCTCCTGAGGGGCTGTGCACTCTTTTCTCTGAGGTTTCTGCTCCTGGTTTCTTCTGCTGGTACATCAGTTAAGTCCTTGTATTGTTTACCCTTCTGCCTCCCTGTGAGCCTGTGAAGGGCAGGGGCTGTCTTGTTCATCTTTATATGCTCAGCACAGAGCCTCCACAGGGTCGGGACTTGGGGAACACTTGCTGTTTAAATGATGGACTGGTTGAGTAAATGAAAAGCAAGTCTGCACTAGTATTTGGAATGGATGCCACTGTGGGTGTCAGGAGGAAGTGAAGTCACTTTCTCCTGTTCAGAATGAAGAGCAAACAGACCTTAAAGTCTGTGTGTGCTCCACCGTGGTGCTGGCTTTTAATATGGCACACTAAGGGAAGAGGGATGGACACGCACCAGGGCACAGCCACCCCGCCCCACGCACCTGCTGCCAGTGGAACACAGCTTCGGCACATGCTAGTAAGAGATCAGGATACTGCAACAGGGAAGCCCGCTCCCTTTCTTGAGGAAGTCGAGGCCTAAAGAAAATTGGAAGGAGTGTCTCCAAATAGACTTGGGAAGGCATTCCCTGGGGAGCAGAAGCCTTCTCTGAAAAGCATTGTGTGCTGAACAAGTTAAATGTATTTATTTAACTGTGCTGGCTTGCTCAACAGGTGCTGGGATGATCTAGAAGGGCTCAAGAGGCTCCCATCTCCCAAACTGAAGACCTGGCCCCTCTCCTTCAAGTTTACAGTGGCTGATGCAGCTGAGCGAGGAGCAGCTCTGGGGCCTGGGAGGGGAACATCTCACTACAGGCAACGCTGGCTCCCCACTGCTGAAGAAGCTGGAAATGGATCTCTGTGGTTTTGAGCCATTGCAGTTTCAAGTCTGCTGATGACAGTGGCTGAACCTACACTAACACACAGAATTCTGCCAACAACAATAGCTCTGGGACAAAATACAGACTGCCTTTTACTGAGACATATGTGAGGTCTGTGTGCCTGCAATAGCTTCACCTACATTCTAAGGCCTGGAAGAGCAGGGCTGTGATTTGTGCTTCAGTATTTAGGACAGCATTTGCCTTTTCCCCTAGTTTAGTTATGGAAGCATTTGTGTAAGTCCTGGGTTCCTTCTTCCTTAAATGTTTGAAAGGATTCACTGGAAAACCCTTTCTGGCCTGAATTTGTGTGTGTGAAGGTTTTCAATCGAGTATTTAATTTCTCTAATGCTTGTTACAAGTGATCTCTTTGTCTGATTATTCTATGTCATTCTAAAGCACAATCTTTAAAAAGTTGTGCTTTTCTGGGAATCTGTCTGTCTTATCTAATGATGCAAATTCACTGACATAAAGTTGTTCTGTTATTAGAGATTTTATGAGCTGTGTGGTCTGTACTGATGTTGCCTTCCATGTTATCTTGGTAGCTGAAATTGTCTTTTTTCTTTTCTTTTTCAAAAAAATCAGACTCTCCAGGGGTTTATTTAATTAATTATTCAATTAATTTGTTTTAAGAAACAACTCTTGACTTGATTGACTGTCTCTACTAAACACTTGCTTCTATTTCACTGATTTCTGCCTGTGCACTTATGTTGTTTTCTAATTCTTGTACTGAAGCACTTAGCATGGTGCCGGGTAGAGAGTAACTTAAACGTTAGCATCACCACTGTAAAGAAAAGCCTCAACTCAGGGTGTCTGTTATAAGAGATTGTTAAACATTAGAACTTTCACAACTTCTTTGGTGATGAGGTCTCAGAAAACATTAAATCCATTTGACCCATTCAAACTTTTACTATTATCATTATACATTAAATCCATGTATATTTGAAAGCATATGAATATATATATTTGAAAACATACAAATAAATATAAATTTATTAATATAATATGTATTTGTATTTAATATACATATATTCTTTTCATTACTTATTATTCCTTATCTTTGTGCTTCCACCTGGAGATATAATCCCTCTGCTGAAAAATCCCCTTAGTATTTTATTTACTGTAGATCTTTCAGTAGTAAATGATCTCCATTTATGTGTATGTAAAAATGTTTACTTTCACCTTCACGTCTGAAGCATTGGGCAGAAACTTCCTTTTACTACTTTGAAGTGGTTATTCATTGCCTTCTAGCTTGTATTATTCTGCTGAAGCATTAGCTAATTGTATTATTGTTGCTTGTTTGGGAGGAAATTGCTTTTCTTTGTTTGCTCTTAAGTTCTAGTATTTGAAAGTACAATAGGAAAATTACAGCAACTATAATACAATTTTTTAGTAAATATAGTACAATTTTTCTCTTCTAGTTATTTTGAAATATATAATAAATAAGACATAATACATGTACAGAATGTGTAATGACCACATCAGCATAATCGGGATCTCCATCACCTCAGACATTTATATTTTGTTTGTGTTGGGAACGTTACTATTTTTCTCTTCTAGTTATTTTGAATGTATAATAAATAATAATTATATATTTAAAATATTGTGTATAATAATTATATTTGTCAAAATAACTAGAAAAGAAAAATTGAAAGTTTCCAACACGAAGAAAATGTGTCTGAGGTGATGGAGATCCCGATTACACTGATGTGGTCATTACATGTTCTGTACGTGTATCACAACCATATGTATCCCCAAAATACGTAAAACTATATCAATAAAAATATTAAAAAACTTAAAAATAATGTTTTTTATATTTGCTTTTTAGTAATTTAGGTTTGAGGTGACTGGGTATCTTTTAAAAAATCTTTCTTGGAGTTCTTTATGCATCTCTAGCCTGCATATAAATATTTTTTAGTGGTTTTTAAGATAATTTCGGAGAATATCTCCTCATATAATATTTGTACCTCATTCTCTCTTCTTTCTGTCTCCACATGCTCACACATATACATACATATGTGTGTATATACCTTCCCTAGTTCCCATATTATCTCCTAAGCTATGCACACACATATACATATATATACCTTCACTAGTTCCAATATTATCTCCTAAGCTAGTTTCTATATTTGCAGTCTTTTCTTCTATGTTTGAATCTGGATATATCTAAATTCAATAATAATGACTCCTCTGTGTTTTCCGTTGTATAATTTCTATTTCTTTTATAAATTCAGCTTCTCACATGAAATTCTCTACCTGGCTATCTTGTAATGTCCTGAATATGTTTGTTATTTATTTTAAATCCCATATCTGATACCTGCCAGCATCTATTTATCCAGTGGATCTCTTTCCCATGTTGGCGTTTGTCTCTCTTATTATTCTGTCATGTGATCTTGTCTCCTGATATGCTTGGTAATTATTGATTGACTAGCAAAAATGTGTATGAAAAATCGTACAAATAATTTAAGTCTCTGGGTGATGTTTTCATCTGTGAGAGGGAAGTAATATTGGCTTCTGGCAAATTACTGTGATTAAAGGGGAAAGCCCTACTGTAATCAGAAACCAAGCCTGTGAAGCAGAACCTCGGGCTTCCTGAGGGTCTTCTCTTCCAGTCCCCTCACTCTGAGTGCAAGTTCCTTTGTGGGCCCAATGGAATGTATGGGCATTTCATGGACCATTCCATTCTGGTAAACTGTGAGCCCTCATTTTATATTCCTATCTCCTTCAGACCTACAGAAGCTCCCTGTGTCTTCCAGACTTCCCATTGGTCACACTTCTGATCAGTTTTTCAGAAACCCAGCCCCAATTTTGGAAATGGCAATGTTGGGGAAAATCAATATTAAATGTTGTCTCTGAACCCTGTTTTTCCCTCCACCCCCAACCAGGGATCTTTTTCCCTCAATTATTCTCTGATGCTTTCGAATATTTTTTTTTCTCCTCTTCCTTCTTTATTTTAAAAAGTTTTTCTAGCCATTCTTAACAGATGGCTTGTTCTCCTAAAGTTCATCTATTATTACCAGAAGCAATTGTTATTTTCTAGTCTAGACCATAAAAAAATCACAGGAATTTTGGTATTATGGAGATAATATAACAAAAAGAGTATTTCAGAAAGTCAAACCTGGTGGTTCATTTCAGAAGGGTCACTGACAGTAAAAGCAAGTTAATAGACGGTGGCCGCAGATGGAATAACCAATGGTTCTTATTAGGTATTCAGAAGATACGAAATGCTCAGTGGTGTATTTCTTCTCATTTTCGTGTATTTCATAAAAGGAGTTCAAAGAAACTCGAAAGCTATCATCTGGCCCTAAGCTTCCAGGGTAAAATAGGAACTATTGACTGAGAAATAGTTTGAAACTAACATTCTTGAACTATTGTTATGAACAAGAAAATATTTAATAGACTTGCATGAGGAATTAGAAAGCTTTTGTGTTTCTTTTCTAAGTCAATGTCATATTGAAGAGTAAACTAAAAGAGCCCTCTCAGTAGAATGAACATTTAAATAAGGATAAGAAGATAGACCTTAGGTAGAGATAGATGGATGTAGACACGGACATAGTCATGGATATAGGTAATAAAGACGTAGACACAAATGTGGACATGCACGTGTGCAAACAAACACACACACTACTACACTAGAAAGAAAGAGGGAGATTGGGGAAAGGGTCTGAGAGAACACAAAAGGAGTGGAGTCTGGAAGGATAAGTAGGAGTTACAAATGAAGAAGAAAAGCTTTCCATCTTTAACTGTGGAAAAACCTGTCAAACTCTGGTTGTAAATCCAAGTTTTCCAAATCGTTAATTTTCACTTGAAATTTCAGATTTCTCATTGGCAACTCACACATGAGTTGTTTTCCTTGAAGTTGTGTTATTTTTTGAGAAAATATCCATTCCATGAAAAAAATAAAGTCTATGTCAGCTTGCAACGCAGACACTTGCAGGCACGGCTCTCCTTGAGACAGTCAATGCGCTTCAGCAGCCTCAGAGGGGAACTTCCCGTTTGGCCTCATGGGATGTCACAAAGTTATGCACTCAAGGAATAAAATCAATAAGTTTTACTGCTTCATCAAGGCAATTTTTAAGTGGAATTGCCCACACTTGCTGTGCATGCATGGCCCTAAGATGATGACAGAGTATGGAGCCTCTGCCTTGATTGGTGCTGAGGCCTCAGCAGTTGTGTCTTCATTTTTGCATCATGAGTGGAAATGTCAGCACAGAATTAAGAAAACAAGTGGGTCTCATGAATCCTTCCATGGTACAGAGACCACAGTTTGAAAACCTTTGATGTGAGGCTTAAGGCGTGGGAAGAAGATTCTTCTTTCCTCCTTTTCCTGCTCCTACTGTCCCTGCTCTTCTCCTCCCACTTTGTCATCGCTCTGCCCTCCGTGGGTTTCTTTGGGGCCTGTCCTAGGAGTAGGAAGGGGCAGATGGCACTGGGGCTGCACTGAAAGCTAAAATCTCTCTGGAGCAATTAGGGTTTCTGGCTCACCACTGTTCTGGTTCCTTTTGCTGGTGGCTTTCTCTGCACCAACTCATCCAACCCCCACATTGCCAAAACAAATAAAACATAACGACAAAGCTAAAAATTCTACAGGAATTAATGTGTATACTCTTTCTTTTCTGTAATAATTCCTGTGCACAAATTAAGAATTTAAGGAGCTTTCAGAAAACTCCCCTACGCATTATTTTTTACTTCATCTTCACAGCAAGCTTGAGAGGCAGGTAAACACATATCATTATTACCGTTTCACTAATGAAGAAACCAAGGCTCAGAAGGGGTGAGGTCATGCTAAAAATCTAAACTTAGCCACCCACTGGTTTCCCCTCTGAGGATCCAAGTTCTCAGGGCAGGGAAAGTGTCTGTCCAGCTCTGGAAAATCATTCTGAAAACCCTGTGCAGTCATCAGCAGGAAAGGGAGAAGTGTTATGTGAAGTCTTCCGTGTAACTCCTAGGAGCCTCTCCTCATGGTGCCACATCCTTGCCTCTGGCATGTTCCTGAGAGCTGAGTTTGGGTTGGACACCTCCTCTCTTTCTCCTTCCCCACAGCTTTGAAAGCCCAGCCAAGTCCTTAGCTGGGCTCACTAACTAGGCTCAGAACAAAAGACTGATCTGTCCCATAAGTCAGCACTCCAACTGGTTCAACTAGACTATCAACCCTTCACGGGAATCAATTGCTTCTCAGCAATGGCAGGTGATTGGCAGGTGCTGGGGGAGGAAGAAGGGAGTGGGGAGAGGTTGTGCGGAGCTGCAGGGAGTGGCACCAGTGTGGCCAGGGTCTGCAGGAGGTCACTAGCTCTGCTCTTCACAACCCTTAACCTTTTGAAATGACAGATACAAAATTACTTGCTGGATTTGAATTTATTCCTTTGCCTTCAACACTGGAGTTTTCCTGATGAGATGAGGGTTGACACAAGTTTTCCAGACTTCTAATCTCTGAACACTCTGAAAAAATAAAACCTCTCTGACTCTTTGGAGAATAGGTCCTAGTAAGTTTCAAAGGGCTACATCCCTGTCAATACCTTCATCCACAAATGTGAACTGTATTCAAAGCAGGTGGAAAAAAGTTCTCAATCCTTCAGGTTATAAACCTTTATGTGGGGCAAATATTGTGACTCCGTGTTATTTTTACAGAATATAGTGACAAAAGCAAAACAGCAGGTTCACAAAGTTAGCATCTCCCTTCCTATGTGGCAAGTCTGGCTTCCATCCTGTAGGACATTGACATGGCTTGGATGTCCCACCCCAATCTCATGTTGAACAGTGTTTCCAGGTGCTGGAGGTTGGGCCTGGTGGGAGGTGTGTGTATTACGTGGGCAGATCCCTTGTGAATGACTTGGGCCATCCCTTGCTGATGAGTGAGCTCAGGCTTTGAGTTCACATGAAATCTGGTTGTTTAAAAGTGTGTGGCACTGCCTCTGCCTCTTTCTCTTCCTCTTCCTCCTGCTCTCACCATGTGACACGCCTGCTTCTAATACAATCTGCCTGCTGTCGCTTGGCCTTCCATCATGATTGAAAGCTCCCTGAGGCCTCACCAGAGGTGGAGCAGATGCTAGCCATACTTCCTGTACAGCCTGCGTACCTTGAGCCAGTTAAACCTCTTTTCTTCATCAATTACCCAGTCTCAGGTATTTCTTTATAGCAATGCAAAAATGGCTTATTACAAGTGTGCAGGTCATTTAGGAAGAACTTGAGCAGGAGGCAAGGTAGGGAGTAGAATGAAGAGAAACAGAGGCCATACTGTGAAACCTCACCTGTCACCACCCTCTCCAGGTGTGTGTCCTTGGTGTTGGAGTAAGAGGGATTGGAAACCTCACCTCGGGATGGCTGTGATTTTAGTCCATCCATTTCTGCAGGTGCTGGCTTCCTTTCCTTTTATGTCCCCTGAATTTCTCTGACTGCTTTTGAGATTATAGCAAGGTGAATGGGTGGGATGATGGGGAGATTTAACTATTTCCTGGCCCCTGGAGCATCTCCAACCTCCGACTTAGCGGGCAGGGGCTGGGCTGTGGGTCATAGCCAGCCTGCGTTATCAGGGGGTGCCTGTCATTCTAACCCCCTTATCTATAGCAGACAGGTTCACACCTAACCCTTATCTCACGTAGGCTGGGGGAGTTTGTGAAAACCCTCCTGAGCAAAGTAGCAATGACTCTTTTCACTGAACAGGCACAGCGAAGCTAAATATTTCCTTCTTACCTGCCTCTTTCCTATCCCCAGTACTCAGAGGGAGGCCGTGAGCCCCGGGGATGTTCCCTCAGTAGGTTGTGTGTTTTCATCTTGGTTTTCCACACAGGGGATGTATTTGTGTTGTCCTCAGCACCTTCTTACCTGGTGTCTTTGTGACAAAATGAGGGAGCTGGATGGGAGAGGGAGGCTCATTTTCTGGAGGTATTGAATAAAGAGGGCCTTTCCTCCATTGTTTTGGTTGAGAGTTTAATAATATGCACTGAAAGTCAGGGAGAAGTGCTGAATTGTCCTTCCCTCCTACCAAGGAAGTACCAGGCTTTGGGCTGTCTGTGATAGAACAAGGGATGGCTCCCGAGAGCCTGGCAAACCCAAAGTAGGGGTTTGATGCAGGTGGTTCAGCATCCTGGCATGTAGGCAGCGAGTCAAGTTGAATTTGCAGTGGAGTGATAGGTGAGCTGAATTATCAACTCAGGAGTCAGGTCGACACACAGGTGTTCCGGTGAAGGCCAGGGCAAGCCGGGTCAGGCGATCCAGCCTGCAGGGTAGCCTTTCATTGGATGCTGATGCAAAGCAAGCGGCAAGCTTGGCCAGGGCCAAGTCCTGAGCACCAGGAGGACAAGGACATGGGCCAGACAATTTATGCAAGAAAATCATGGAGAGATGTGAGTGCCAGGGGCACCACCACTACGAAGTTACACCCTGCCTCAGATCAGCTGCTTCTGTGCAGTGTAAATTTGTTCTTGATGACTTATTTGTCATTCTGTTCCCAGAGTCTTTCTGGTTCAAAACAAGATTAAGTTTTTTGGTTCTTGATTTTTTTAAAGAAGGATCTTGCTCTGTTGCTCGGGTTGGAGAGCAGTGGTGCCATCATAGCTCACCATAGCCTTGAATTCATGTCCTCAAGCGATCCTCCCACCTCAGCCTCCCGACGTGCTGGGACTACAGGCCTGAGCCACTGTGCCCTGACCCCCTCATTTTCCCCAGGCATCCTTTCCTCCTCCAGCATCTCATCCAGGAGACCACATCATACTAGCTGTCGGGGATCCCTAGATTCCTCTTGGCTGTGCTGTTTTCTTGGGCTTTCCTAGTTCTTGCTGACCTTGACTATTTTCAGGAGTGCTAATTCGGTAGAACCTTCCTTTATCAGAAGGGTCCTGATGTTTTTCTCATGATGAGATGAGTTTATGCGTTTAGAGGACTAAGGGCACAGTGGTAAAATGCCGCTCATCACACCGAGTCAAGGGTACGTGCCGACCCCACTGACCGCTGTGCATGTGCCCTGATCGCCGGCCAGAGGAGCGCTGGCCGGGCGGTTTCTCCACTGTATGCAAAGGCCCCCCTTCCACGCTGCATTCTAGGAAGAAAGTCACTATGGGCAGCTCACATTTCAGAGTAAGAAGGTACGTTCCTCCTCATCGAAGGCTGAGCATCTACAGAAATTATGTGAAAAATTTTTGCATGGGAGATTTGACTTTTGTGTCCCATGTATTTATTTATTCATTTATTTATATCACTATAGACTCGTGGGCATTTATTTTCTGTTCTGTAATGTAATCCGGCATGTTATTTTGTTGCTGCAGAGCGCAGTCGTTGAGACCTCTTTCATTTCGCAGCTGTGTCCCTCTCACTTCCCTGCATCACTGTGTGTGTGTGTGTGTGTGTAAGTATGGTTATGTGAGTGTAAGTGTGGGTATGAGTGTGTGTGTATGTGAGTGTGTATGAATGTGGGTGTGTGTATGTGTGTGTGCGAGTGTGGGTATGTGAGTGTGTGTGTATGTTATTGTGTGTGAATGTAGGTATATGTGTGTGTGAATGTAGTTATATCTATGTATACGTGTGTGTGTGAATGTGGGTGTGCGTGTGTGAATGTGTGTGTGTGAGTGAATGTGGGTGTGTGAGAGTGTAGGTGGATGTGTGTGAATGTGGGTGTGTGAGTGTGTGAGAGGGTGTGTGTGAATGTGAGTGTGGTTATGTGACTGTGTGTATGCACTCTCATGTAATATTTTATTACTTGCTGGCACAACAAGATGTTCCAGGCTCTTTTTTTATTTCTTGTCTTAGTCCTACTAAGTCTTAGTCCTACTAAGTCTTAGTCTTAGTCATCCATTTCTATAAGGAGCCTGGTTTCTTTTATTGCAGAATATGACCACAAATGAAGACCTGGGTGTTAGATGCATTCCTTTCTACTGGGATGTCATTGCTTCTAGGTCTTCTCAGCTGACATAGACATGTGTATGCTATCCTGTGTATATGTGCATAGTTATAAATGTTTCTGTATGTAACTATCTGTGTATAAATTAAACTAAACATGAGTTGATTCTGATATCTCTGACTCTGATTCAGTGCCACAGGAATTATTCTAGCCTCCTCCCCCTCACCTATGTACTTCTGCTCCTACCATGAGACAACTAGCTGCTAGCATCTGCCATCCATTTACTTAATTGTTCAATTCCAGCATACACAGTTTTGCTATTTTAACAGGAAAAACATAAATTCTTTCATTAAAAGAAAAAGAAAAGACAGGTAAGGTGCAGAAAAGGGAGTACAACCCCTCTCAACACAAGAACACAAAGAGAATTCCAGATTCCTGATTTCAATCATTTCAGTAGGAGAAAGGCATTAGCTAATGCTCAGAGTGGGGATGAAAGAGAGATTGTTGGAAGTTTAAATAAAGGGAAGACTGCATGACATGGGCGAGCTTATTTGTAAAAGATGCAAGATTGCTAACCAGCATTGAGGTAGGTTTCCATAGTTGATTGCTCACCAGTGTTGAGGCAGGTGGTCATAGTTGATTGTTAACCAGTGTTGAGGCAGGTGGTCATAGTTGATTGTTAACCGGTGTTGAGGCAGGTGGTCATAGTTGATTGTTAACCAGTGTTGAGGCAGGTGGTCATAGTTGATTGTTAACCAGTGTTGAGGCAGGTGGTCATAGTTGATTGTTACCCAGTGTTGAGGTAAGTGGTCATAGTTGATTGTTAACCAGTGTTGAGGCAGGTGGTCATAGTTGATTGTTAACCAGTGTTGAGGCAGGTGGTCATAGTTGATTGCTAACCAGTGTTGAGGCAGGTGGTCATAGTTGATTGTTAACCAGTGTTGAGGTAAGTGGTCATAGTTGATTGTTAACCAGTGTTGAGGCAGGTGGTCATAGCTGATTGCTAACCAGTGTTGAGGCATGTGGTCATAGTTGATTGCTAACCAGCGTTGAGGCAGGTGGTGATAGTTGATTGCTAACCAGTGTTGAGGTAAGTGGTCATAGTTGATTGCTAACCAGTGTTGAGGCAGGTGGTCATAGATGATTGTTAACCAGTGTTGAGGCAGGTGGCCATAGTTGATTGCTAACCAGCGTTGAGGTAAGTGGCCATAGTTGATTGTTAACTAGTGTTGAGGTAAGTGGTCATAGTTGATTGTTAACCAGTATTGAGGTAAGTGGCCATAGTTGATTGTTAACCAGTGTTGAGGCAGGTGGTCATAGTTGATTGTTAACCAGTGTTGAGGCAGGTGGTCATAGTTGATTGTTAACCAGTGTTGAGGCAGGTGGTCATAGTTGATTGTTAACCAGTGTTGAGGCAGGTGGTCATAGTTGATTGTTAACCAGTGTTGAGGTAAGTGGTCATAGTTCATTGTTAACCAGTGTTGAGGCAGGTGGTCATAGCTGATTGCTAACCAGTGTTGAGGTAAGTGGTCATAGTTGATTGTTAACCAGTGTTGAGGTAGGTGGTCATAGTTGATTGCTCACCAGTGTTGAGGCAGGTGGTCATAGTTGATTGCTAACCAGTGTTGAGGCAGGTGGTCATAGTTGATTGTTAACCAGTGTTGAGGCAGGTGGTCATAGTTGATTGTTAACCAGTGTTGAGGCAGGTGGTCATAGTTGATTGTTAACCAGTGTTGAGGTAGGTGGTCATAGTTGATTGTTAACCAGTGTTGAGGCAGGTGGTCATAGTTAATTGTTAACCAGTGTTGAGGTAAGTGGTCATAGTTGATTGTTAACCAGCGTTGAGGTAGGTGGTCATAGTTGATTGTTAACTAGTGTTGAGGTAGGTGGTCATAGTTGATTGTTAACCAGTGTTGAGGCAGATGGTCATAGTTGATTGTTAACCAGTGTTGAGGTAGGTGGCCATAGTTGATTGTTAACCAGTGTTGAGGCAGGTGGTCATAGTTGATTGTTAACGAGTGTTGAGGTAGGTGGTCATAGTTGATTGTTAACGAGTGTTGAGGTAGGTGGTCATAGTTGATTGTTAACCAGTGTTGAGGTAGGTGGCCATAGTTGATTGCTAACCAGTGTTGAGGTAAGTGGTCATAGTTGATTGTTAACCAGTGTTGAGGCAGGTGGTCATAGTTGATTGCTAACCAGTGTTGAGGTAAGTGGTCATAGTTGATTGCTAACCAGTGTTGAGGCAGGTGGTCATAGTTCATAGTTAACCAGTGTTGAGGCAGGTGGTCATAGTTGATTGTTAACCAGTGTTGAGGCAGGTGGTCATAGTTGATTGCTAACCAGTGTTGAGGCAGGTGGTCATAGTTGATTGTTAACCAGTGTTGAGGTAAGTGGTCATAGTTGATTGTTAACCAGTGTTGAGGCAGGTGGTCATAGCTGATTGCTAACCAGTGTTGAGGCATGTGGTCATAGTTGATTGCTAACCAGCGTTGAGGCAGGTGGTGATAGTTGATTGCTAACCAGTGTTGAGGTAAGTGGTCATAGTTGATTGCTAACCAGTGTTGAGGCAGGTGGTCATAGTTGATTGTTAACCAGTGTTGAGGCAGGTGGCCATAGTTGATTGCTAACCAGCGTTGAGGTAAGTGGCCATAGTTGATTGTTAACCAGTGTTGAGGTAAGTGGTCATAGTTGATTGTTAACCAGTATTGAGGTAAGTGGTCATAGTTGATTGTTAACCAGTGTTGAGGCAGGTGGTCATAGTTGATTGTTAACCAGTGTTGAGGCAGGTGGTCATAGTTGATTGTTAACCAGTGTTGAGGCAGGTGGTCATAGTTGATTGTTAACCAGTGTTGAGGCAGGTGGTCATAGTTGATTGTTAACCAGTGTTGAGGTAAGTGGTCATAGTTCATTGTTAACCAGTGTTGAGGCAGGTGGTCATAGCTGATTGCTAACCAGTGTTGAGGTAAGTGGTCATAGTTGATTGTTAACCAGTGTTGAGGTAGGTGGTCATAGTTGATTGCTCACCAGTGTTGAGGCAGGTGGTCATAGTTGATTGCTAACCAGTGTTGAGGCAGGTGGTCATAGTTGATTGTTAACCAGTGTTGAGGCAGGTGGTCATAGTTGATTGTTAACCAGTGTTGAGGCAGGTGGTCATAGTTGATTGTTAACCAGTGTTGAGGTAAGTGGTCATAGTTGATTGTTAACCAGTGTTGAGGCAGGTGGTCATAGTTGATTGTTAACCAGTGTTGAGGTAAGTGGTCATAGTTGATTGTTAACCAGCGTTGAGGTAGGTGGTCATAGTTGATTGTTAACTAGTGTTGAGGTAGGTGGTCATAGTTGATTGTTAACCAGTGTTGAGGCAGATGGTCATAGTTGATTGTTAACCAGTGTTGAGGCAGGTGGCCATAGTTGATTGTTAACCAGTGTTGAGGCAGGTGGTCATAGTTGATTGTTAACCAGTGTTGAGGCAGGTGGTCATAGTTGATTGTTAACGAGTGTTGAGGTAGGTGGTCATAGTTGATTGTTAACCAGTGTTGAGGTAGGTGGCCATAGTTGATTGCTAACCAGTGTTGAGGTAAGTGGTCATAGTTGATTGTTAACCAGTGTTGAGGCAGGTGTTCATAGTTGATTGCTAACCAGTGTTGAGGTAAGTGGTCATAGTTGATTGCTAACCAGTGTTGAGGCAGGTGGTCATAGTTCATAGTTAACCAGTGTTGAGACATGTGGTCATAGTTGATTGCTAACCAGTGTTGAGGTAAGTGGTCATAGTTGATTGCTAACCAGTGTTGAGGCAGGTGGTCATAGTTCATAGTTAACCAGTGTTGAGGCAGGTGGTCATAGTTGATTGCTAACCAGTGTTGAGGCAGGTGGTCATAGTTGATTGCTAACCAGTGTTGAGGTAAGTGGTCATAGTTGATAGTTAATGAGTGTTGAGGCAGGTGGTCATAGTTGATTGTTAACCAGTGTTGAGGCAGGTGGTCATAGTTGATTGTTAACCAGTGTTGAGGTAAGTGGTCATAGTTGATTGCTAACCAGTGTTGAGGTAAGTGGCCATAGTTGATTGCTAACCAGTGTTGAGGTAAGTGGTCATAGTTGATTGTCAACCAGTGTTGAGGCAGGTGGTCATAGTTGATTGCTAACTAGTGTTGAAGCAGGTGGTCATAGTTTATAGTGCAACTAATCTGCTGCTCTGTGTGATTTCTGTTCAGTAATGGCCAGTCTTGCCAGTATGCAGATAAAGAAAGTTTGGTTCAGATCTTCTAAGGCAAAGGCTTAGCAACTACATTGGAGTATAGGTTAGAACAGAAATTTAAGCTTAATTTTAACTAAGTGATTATGAAGATAGAACAAAGATTTAAGATAGTAGGACATTAGGAATGAAGGAAAAGTGTAATCTGCAACTATAACAAGTTAAATAACTATGACACGTTAAATATCTATAACACTGATATAGACAACCAGAAAGCCATAAGATCAATGAGAGGAGGTCTTGGTGAGGTTGATGAAGCTTCTGAAATAAGTAGTCTGGAAGCAGGAGGCTGTGTGATGAAAGTGGGCTATTGGAATTCATTTTGGGAGTGAAAAAGTTATTGGTGATGACAAGCTATGACCCCAGCAGTGGCTGAATACTGACTCCCCTCGGGTAGATGAGAAGGAAATTGACAACGTGGAGGTTAAAGCCCTGTGAATCCAGGTGCTGAGTGTTACATGGATAGTGAGCCACCAAGAAGGATAGCAGGTGCTGGGGGTGAAGAAGAAGAAGAAAGTAAACAGGGGCTACACGGAAGGGTGACCAGGATGGCAGTGGACTATAGTCACCAGGAGTGGGGAGCAGGCAGGTGGAAAAGCCGCAAGGGGAATGGGCTTTGCAAAGAGACAAGGATGGATGGCATCTGATATTAAGGGATTTAGGTGTTGAATGATGACAACTGTTGAAAAAAAAATGAATGAATTGTAAGCACACATACACAAATGCAGACACACACCTTGAATAAAATCAAACTATGGGGCAGGATAGAGTTCTTTATTTCTACTTCATCAGTTCTTTCCTTCACACTGATGCTAAGCCTAGCCCAGACAGACCATCTCACTTGGCTCACACCCAGGCTGAAATTTGGTATCACTGGACAGGAGGAACACAGGGATCCCTCCACAGGCAGCTACAACCATCCCCTCACCCCTAATTGCTGCCTTTTGGATAGCTTCGGTTTTGACTGCACGATTATTGCACTTAATATTCAAGTTTCATGGTCATTTCAGGAAAAAATTTCCATTAATAAAATGCAAATGAATACACCTGGGTGTCTCATTTACAAATAAATTTCTCGTTGATGTTTACTTTGTTTTTATATTCTTGCAAGGTTAAAAAGTTACCGTTTCTTGAATATTCCTTATTAATTTTTCTAGACATCAATTAATTTGTTGAATAGATTTAAACTTTATGATTTTTTTTCCCGACTCATTGGAAGCAAATCTTCAATTAGCAAAAGTTCAGAATTTTCCCATACAAAATCCTTATGGAGTAGAAGGGATGGTGGGGCTATTTAAATATCCTTGTGTTCCTGACAACACATGGGCTCCAAGGTGTGGTTTTTAGAATCAACCAAAGAAAAGTGCTGTCCTCCCGGGAGAGCTGGTAGAATCTCACAAGCCAGCTCTCATATCTGCGGTCTTGCTGCCGCCTTGTCAGAGAGGCATCTAACTAGCTTTGAGTTTGGGGTCAGCACCCTAACCGGGTTTATTATACTCCGTCTGAAAATAAGGGACCACGTTTGGTAAATATCCTGGCCTGAGTGTCCCATCCTGCTTTTACAAGGAACAAACTGAAGCTCCCAGAAACGAGGGAACAGGGGCAGCTCTGACTGTTTTCGTCTCCGGTATACACGGCATAGGAACTATCACAATAGACACAATTAAGCAAGAGGCATTGTCAAGCATTAAACATTTATATTTAATGTACAGCGGGATCTTCTAAGGTAGCTGTTTCAATTATTCCTGCTTTAGAAATCCAGAAATTGGGAGGCCGAGGCAGGTAGATCATGAGGTCAGGAGATCAAGACCATCCTGGCTAACACGGTGAAACCCCGTCTCTACTAAAAATACAAAAAAGTAGCCAGGCCTGGTGGTGGGTGCCTGTAATTCCAGCTATTTGGGAGGCTGAGGCAAGAGAATCACTTGAACCCGGGAGCTGGAGATTGCAGTGAGCCGAGAGCGAGACTCTGTCTCAAAAAAACAAGAAAGAAAGAAAGAGAAAGAAGGAAAGAAAGAAAGAAGAAAGAAAGAAAGAAAGAAAGAAAGAAAGAAAGAAGGAAAGAAAGAAATTGAGGTATGCAGAATTTAACCTGTTCACAGGCAATCAAAGTGTCAGAGCCAGGATTTGAATACGAGTGACGTTATGTCAAGCGACATATGCCACTCACAAAATAACAAACACTGCATGATTCCATTTATATGCAGTATTTTAAATAGCCCAACTCACAGAAGCAGAGTGGAAAATGGTGGTCTCCAGGATCTGGGAGGAGGGATGGGGAGTTGCTTCTCCTGGAGTGTGAAGCTTCCTTTATGCGGGTGAATCATTCTGGAGATTGGCTGCAACATCGTGCCTGCAACATCGTGCCTGCAGATGACACCACTGCACTGTGCACTTGGAAATCCACTCAGAGGGTAGAGCTCATGTTAAGTATCCTTACCATAATAAAACTTTAAAAAGAGAAAGAAGAAAAGATACTTTGAGACCTAACTCTTCCAATTTTTGTTCTGGCAGTCCTAATACACTCACCGAAGTTCATCCTTTTACAAAATTTTGCTGTAAACAAAACAAACAAGAAAAGATAGTCAGATTTCAGAAATGGAGAAGTTATAGCTAGAGCCTTCCAGCCTGAAACCTGGTATTCTTTCTATTCTACATTAAGGTGATTAAAAAGCAACTATCTGCAAGAAATGTCTAGGAAAATAAGGACACCTGGCCCTCCTCACCCTTTCCCCGGCTGTCTGCCAAGCATGGCGCTGTGTGAAGAGGAAAGGCAGCTTCAGGAGGCTTGTGGTGAGTCTCCTGGGTCAGAGAGGCGCAGGCCTGTGTCTCTTGGCAGTGAGCCCACCCTGCTCCAGTGCTTGCTATTTCTTGGTCCTCTCTACTCCACATTGTCCCAAAGGAGCAAGTTTACTGCACTCAAGTTGATCCCTCCCATACCAGAAGGAGCTCTTAGGCCTGCTTGGATCAATATCCTCACTTTGGCCCTGTCTAAGGCAATCAATGAAGAGCTGTCTGGCTGAGAACACAATCTGTGCATCAGGTCTGCATTTCACAAGGGCTCCCACCTCAGCCTTGAGCTGGGGGTTAATGGGGCCCTAATATGGTTCAGATCTGTGTCCCTGCCCAAATCTCTTGTTGAATTGAAATCCCCAGTGTTAGAGGAGGGGCCTGGTGGGAGGTAATGGGATCACGGGGCTGAATTCCCCCTTACTGTTCTCAGGGTAGTGAGTGAGTTCCCACAAGATCTGGTTGCTTGAAAATGTGTAGCTCCTCCCCTTTCACTGTCTTCCTCTTGCCCAGGCCATGTAAGATGTGCCTGCTTCCACTTTGCCTTCCACCATGACTGAAAGTTTCCTGAGGCCTCCGCAGCCATGCTTCCTGTACAGCCTGTGAAGCTGTGAGCCAATTAAACCTCTTTTCTTTAAAATTACCCAGTTTCAGGTACTTCTTTGTAGTAGTGTGAGAACAGGCCCCCAGGAGATGGGCATCTCCTCCAGAAATAACTGAAACAGTCTGTGCAAGACCTCACAGGGGTGTCTAAGGGAAAGAATATAGTCATGAGGCTCACAGAGGTGTCCAAGGGACAGAATACAGTCATGAGAGCTCACATGGGTGTCCAAGGGACAGAATACAGTCATGAGAGCTCACAGGGGTGTCCAAGGGACAGAATACAGTCATGAGAGCTCACAGGGGTGTCCAAGGGACAGAATACAGTCATGAGAGCTCACACGGGTGTCCAAGGGACAGAATACAGTCATGAGAGCTCACAGCGGTGTCCAAGGGACAGAATACAGTCATGAGAGCTCACACGGGTGTCCAAGGGACAGAATACAGTCATGAAAGCTCACAGGGGTGTCCAAGGGACAGAATACAGTCATGAGAGCTCACAGGGGTGTCCAAGAGACAGAATACAGTCATGAGAGCTCACAGGGGTGTCCAAGGGACAGAATACAGTCATGAGAGCTCACACGGGTGTCCAAGGGACAGAATATAGTCATGAGAGCTCACAGGGGTGTCCAAGGGACAGAATACAGTCATGAGAGCTCACAGGGGTGTCCAAGGGACAGAATACAGTCATGAGAGCTCACAGGGGTGTCCAAGGGACAGAATACAGGCATGAGAGCTCACAGGGGTGTCCAAGGGACAGAATACAGTCATGAGAGCTCACAGGGGTGTCCAAGGGACAGAATACAGGCATGAGAGCTCACAGGGGTGTCCAAGGGACAGAATACAGGCATGAGAGCTCACACGGGTGTCCAAGAGACAGAATACAGTCATGAGAGCTCACAGCGGTGTCCAAGGGACAGAATACAGTCATGAGAACTCACACGGGTGTCCAAGGGACAGAATACAGTCATGAGAGCTCACAGGGGTGTCCAAGGGACAGAATACAGTCATGAGAGCTCACAGGGGTGTCCAAGGGACAGAATACAGGCATGAGAGCTCACAGGGGTGTCCAAGGGAAAGAATACAGTCATGAGGCTCACAGAGGTGTCCAAGGGACAGAATACAGTCATGAGAGCTCACAGGGGTGTCCAAGGGACAGAATACAGTCATGAGAGCTCACAGAGGTGTCCAAGGGACAGAATACAGTCATGAGAGCTCACAGGGGTGTCCAAGGGACAGAATAGAGTCATGAGAGCTCACAGGGGGTCCAAGGGACAGAATACAGTCATGAGAGCTCACACGGGTGTCCAAGGGCCAGAATACAGGCATGAGAGCTCACAGTGGTGTCCAAGGGACAGAATACAGTCATGAGAGCTCACAGGGGTGTCCAAGGGACAGAATACAGTCATGAGAGCTCACACGGGTGTCCAAGGGACAGAATACAGTCATGAAAGCTCACAGGGGTGTCCAAGGGACAGAATACAGGCATGAGAGCTCACAGGGGTGTCCAAGGGACAGAATACAGTCATGAAAGCTTACAGGGATGTCCAAGGGACAGAATACAGGCATGAGAGCTCACAGGGGTGTCCAAGAGACAGAATACAGTCATGAGAGCTCACAGGGGTGTCCAAGGGACAGATTACAGTCATGAGAGCTCACACGGGTGTCCAAGGGACAGAATACAGTCATGAGAGCTCACACGGGTGTCCAAGGCACAGAATACAGTCATGAGAGCTCACACGGGTGTCCTAGGGACAGAATACAGTCATGAGAGCTCACACGGGTGTCCAAGGGACAAAATACAGTCATGAGAGCTCACATGGGTGTCCAAGGGACAGAATACAGTCATGAGAGCTCACAGGGGTTTCCAAGGGACAGAATACAGTCATGAGAGCTCACAGGGGTGTCCAAGGGACAGAATACAGTCATGAGAGCTCACAAGGGTGTCCAAGGGATGGAATACAGTCATGAGAGCTCACACGGGTGTCCAAGGGAAAGAATACAGTCATGAGGCTCACAGAGGTGTCCAAGGGACGGAAAACAGTCATGAGAGCTCACAGGGGTGTCCAAGGGACAGAATACAGTCATGAGAGCTCACACGGGTGTCCAAGGGACAGAATACAGTCATGAGAGCTCACAGGGGTATCCAAGGGACAGAATACAGTCATGAAAGCTCACAGGGGTGTCCAAGAGACAGAATACAGTCATGAGAGCTCACAGGGGTGTCCAAGGGACAGAATACAGGCATGAGAGCTCACACGGGTGTCCAAGGGAAAGAATACAGTCATGAGGCTCACAGAGGTGTCCAAGGGACAGAAAACAGTCATGAGAGCTCACAGGGGTGTCCAAGGGACAGAATACAGTCATGAGATCTCACAGGGGTGTCCAAGGGACAGAATACAGGCATGAGAGCTCACAGGGGTATCCAAGGGACAGAATACAGTCATGAAAGCTCACAGGGGTGTCCAAGGTACAGAATACAGGCATGAGAGCTCACAGGGGTGTCCAAGAGACAGAATACAGGCATGAGAGCTCACAGGTGTGTCCAAGGGACAGAATACAGTCATGAGAGCTCACAGGGGTGTCCAAGGGACAGAATACAGTCATGAGAACTCACAGGGGTGTCCAAGGGACAGAATACAGTCATGAGAACTCACAGGGGTGTCCAAGGGACAGAATACAGTCATGGGCTCTTGGTTTCTTACCCCAAACACAAGTGAGTTTCACATTGGGAGAGAGACCCTGGTGGAAGGGGCTCTCAGGACCCGCACATTTGCCTTACTTATCCCTCCCTTCATATCTCCCGTGTTTGGGCCTGAAAACTCTCTCTGGTCCCGTGGAAACTAGCCCTCTCCCTCCCCATCAACTTTTATAAACTTCCTTTTCTATTTCACCGTAGAATATTCCCATATTTCTGAGGGGTGTGTGATATCATGATGTAATAAGAAATATGTATTTGATCTCTGTCCCTGGTTCCTGGCACAGAAATCCTAAAATCCTGGTAGTTTTCTGAGCAATGGGGTGCAAGATACATCTTTGGTTCTAGTATTTTGTCTTTTACCCCCTGTATCCGACACAGAGCTCCTAAACATTTTAAATTTCCTGGGTGATAGGAGCATCTTTTGTTTTAATGAGGTGACTCTTGCTGGGCTCCTGGGTGGAAGCTGGTCCCAGAAAGACCATGCTGGGAACATTCAACTCCACTCCTCATCCTCTGGGAAGGGAGTTACAAGTAATAATGTTTTATCAAAAGGGATCTGGCACCAACCTGAAGAAGGATCTCTGGACAAAAATGAGACAGTTGAGCACCAGCAACTGCAGTGGATTAAAGCACATAAGCTATGTTAACATCCATGACAGCTTAATAACCTTAAAAACAAACAAAAATGCCAAAGGATATAGTGGCCATTTAAGGATGATATTGAACTAACTCAAACTTTTGAAAACTGATAAATAAAAGGAAAAAAGTCAAGCGTTTATCCTACTTTCCCGTTGACACTGTGCCTTAGATTAACCAGATAAATGATGTGAAGACAGGAGATGGCATCAGAACCAGAGCGCCCACCTGTGTTCAGGGCTGAGCTGGCTCACCGTGCTCGGGCATCAGAACCAGAGCGCCCACCTGTGTTCAGGGCTGAGCTGGCTCACTGTGCTCGGGCATCAGAACCAGAGCGCCCACCTGTGTTCAGGGCTGAGCAGGCTCACCGTGCTCGGGCATCAGAACCAGAGCGCCCACCTGTGTTCAGGGCTGAGCTGGCTCACTGTGCTCGGGCATCAGAACCAGAGCGCCCACCTGTGTTCAGGGCTGAGCTGGCTCACCGTGCTCTGATAGCATCAGAACCAGAGCGCCCACCTGTGTTCAGGGCTGAGCAGGCTCACCGTGCTCTGATAGCATCAGAACCAGAGCGCCCACCTGTGTTCAGGGCTGAGCTGGCTCACCGTGCTCTGATAGCATCAGAACCAGAGCGCCCACCTGTGTTCAGGGCTGAGCAGGCTCACCATGCTCGGGCATCAGAACCAGAGCGCCCACCTGTGTTCAGGGCTGAGCTGGCTCACTGTGCTCGGGCATCACAGTTCACAGGAAATGGAAAAGGCCATGCTGCAAGCCATGAGGACCAGGTCAGCCTCTGATGGGAGCTCTGCTTGAGAAAAATGAGAAGGATCCATCAATAATTTGTTCCTTTTCAGGCTCCTGGGGCTGGGCTGGCTGCCCAGTGCAGTAGGGTCCAGAGACGGATAAAGAGAAAGATGGGGAAAGTGGAACAACTGAGATCTTATCTGAAATCATGGGTGTGGGGACACCAGCTGGCCATGGAAACCTCTGTAGGAGTTAACTAACAAGTCCTTCCAATCACAGGTCAGGACTGTCCGCTACACTGGGAGACAGGGATAAGGGCAGGGTGGGAGGATGTCCTGCAGGTGTGTCTTGCATCGAATGGAGGTGGGGAGGAGCAGGCCTTTACCCAGAAAATTCCTCTTTGCTATTGATTTATTTTCTGTGCTAACCTACTGTCTTAATCAGTTTTGTGTTGCTATAACAGCGTTCTTGAGGCTCGGTAATTTATAAAAAGAAGAGGCTTATTTGGCTCACAATTCTGGTGGCTGGAAGGTTCAAGATTTGACAGCTCCATCTGGTGAGGACCTCACACGGCTTCAACTGCTACTGGAATGCAAAAGATGAGTAAGTGTGCAAAGAGACTACAAGGCAAGAGAAGAAACAGGAGAAACCAAGGGAGGCAGACTCTTAACAACTCACTCCAGTGAAAATCAATCTATTCCTGAGAAAGCAAGAGTGAGAGCTCACCCCCACAAAAGGACATTTACCTATTCAGGAGAGATCTACCCTATGACCCAAACACCTCCCACTAGGCCCCACCTCCCAGTGCTGCCACACTGGGGATCAAATTTCAACATGAGTTTTGGCAGGACCAAACCACATCCGAACCACAGCATGTACCCTAATATCCCCACTGTAGGCAACTACAGGAACTCACTGTGGCCCAAATGTCAGTGTCATACCCCCTCCCCAGACCCTGGGGATCCTTAGGATGGGGGGCAGAATCACCCTCTGCATTTACCCCTCTCCTTCCAGGATCTGGAGCAAGGGGATGAGGATGGGTCAGGAGGCTCTGGGAGATGGAGGTGTTCCACAGTGAGGGTCTCGTCAAGGGCAGAACTCCTCAACTATCAGATCCTTAACAATAATAGTGACAGTGACAGTTTTTGAAGCCTCAGTCTGTGCAAGAGCTTACAGGGGTGTCTAAGGGACATAATACACTCTTGGGTTCTTCATTCCTGTTTCTGGTTGGGCCAGTAAAACCCCTTCCTCATCCCTCTTTTCCACTTATCACTAGAGACAGAAACTAAAAACCATGGCTTCGGGCTGGTAAAAGCCTGAAACAAAACAACCACCACAAAATAAGGCGGGTTGGACAAGCTTGGATTACTTTAAGTGATATTTTCTAGCCTTTGATTTTGCAAAATGTCTGAACATAATTAAAAGTTGAGAATACAGTATGACACAGGGCCTTTCTTCCGGTCAACAGCCCCACACACCTGTCTTCCTTACACACATGCACATATACACACACAGAAATGCAGAGAAAGGGAAGATGAAGCACTTAGTGCAGAGACAATTCTGCCTCTGGCACAGTCCTATAGTGAGCCTGCTGCAGTCAGCCACTCTGTGTGGAGTGGGAGGAGCAGAGTGGCCCTTCCTGCTGTTTTTTCTTTTCTTCCTTCACAGTTGCAAGCCCTCAATGACCTGGCACTGGGCCTTTCCCATTTGCCCAGGACTGCATGCTTCAGAGGGTGATAATGAATGATATTAATAACAACAACGCAACCACCAAATCAAAACAACAATCATAATTGAGGCCACCAACTTTAGGTTTCTCAGGAGGAAGATGAGCCGCTGTATATTAATATACATTAAATATATATATGTATCTTTTAGTGGTGATCAATAAAATTTAATAAATTCTATAAAATTTAACAAATATTTAATAAATACAATGTGATAATTATTTTTAATAACATTTAATAAAAATTAGCCACAATAAAATTAGTTTTAATGTGGATTATCCAAATTTTGGATATTGGAGAGACACCTTCTGCCAAAACAAATGGTCAAAGGTAAATTTCAATGTATCACCCAAAAATATCCTCTAAGGAGCAAACTCACTGATGTCATAGTCAAACATACTGCACTTATCATGTAGCATTCAGTAGGAAACTGACCATTATTTTGAAGAGAAATATTTAGTTTTCCCTAGCACATCATGGGCTCACTCTGATTACTTTATTCTGGTAGTTTCATGGCTCCAGAAAAGAGCAAATTCCAATGATTACTGTTCAGAACCAATGTCCAGGATGTCTTGGAGTTAGGAACCACCACTGGTTAGAGGAAGTAGCTCTCTCTCCTGCTGCTTCTCCCTGGCTGGGGGTTGCAGGGTACACCGAGGGGCTCCTTCTGTCCCGCTTCCTGCTGTTGGAGGCTGGGGACCAGCTGTGACCTTCCTTCCCACACAGGCCTTTGCTCCCTCAGCAAAGCAGGAAGTTCCCACTGACACCCCGAGGCCTTTCCCAACAGGCCGCTCTGCCTTTAGAAGGCTCAGGGAGCACCCCCTGGTGGGCTGCTTGCCTGGGCTGGGAGAGACACGAAAGGGAAGCTGGTTCCTTTTCAGCAAATTTTTCTTTGGTCTGAACGTTTTTCACAGTAATTTGGTATTCATTAATTCATTCATTTTACCATGTATTTGTTCAAAGATCTGTTCTACAAATATGTATTGTGTGACTACTATTTGCCAAGCCCCATTCTAGGTGTTCAAATAATGACTTGGGGAATAATAAAAGTGGAAATAATAAAATTAACAACTCCGTTTGTTTAAAAGTAATGACACTTAAGATATTTGCATACATAATCTTGTTTCTTGTTCAAAAGAGCACTATGCAGGTGAACGTTATTATCCCTTCCCTTGAAAAGATGAGAAGCCTGGAGCCTAAATTCAGACAGGCAGCACGTGTGAGCGGAGGTGGTATTTGAACACATGTTCGCCTGCAGCAAAGTCCAGTGACGCTGCTGTGCTGTCGGCGGCAGCCGAGCCCCCAGGACCCTCATGCTCTTGCTGGGACTATTTCCCGCTAGCTGAATGGCAGGATTTATGTTTACAGTCAGTCATTTACCAAGGAATTTTTAAAAACTTACTCCCAAACTCTTTGCCTGTCTTTCTCTTATTTATTCCATATTAGAAACCCACCTCCACTCTGCCTTCTCCAATAACATAGAAGCGAAGGTGCTTGCACTCTTCACCCAGGGCAGGAGGCTGCAGAGCCCTGCACGGTGCAGTGGGGAAGCCCCGCTGGTCCCTCCTCTCGGCTGTCCCTCTCCTCCTGGACAGGGCCTCTGTGTCAAGGCCTGCCTGACACCTTCATGGCCCCCAGCAGGGAGTCCCCTTTGACTGACAGGGACACGGGAGATGCAAATGCAGGGAAAGAGGCCACCCTGTGGGGGGGGGGGGACCAGGGACGCAGCTGGCCACAGGCAGTGGCAAGACAGCCTGGAACTTTATTTCAGCAGGGGATTTGGTGGCATAGGTGAGGTGAAGGGGAGTCCTAGACTTCTGAGCAATCCTTCAACTGAGAAAATAGTGTTACTTCCTGAGGTATTCAAATAGACAAAAGTGTCAAAAGGAAAATACGCAATCTCACGTCCCCTACCCCGATGTCCCAGCACTTACGGGAGGAGAATGTGTAGGCCCCTCTCTGCTGCTGTCCTGGAGGGTGGGGCCATGGACACAGAGATGATGCCAGGATTTGGTAAGGGGAAAGCTGCTCTGTTCTGATTGCAACCCTGAAAACAGCCCTTCACTGCACTCTGCAGCTGTCTCTACTCTGATGACCAAAGTCTGCTTATTTCCTGGATAGTGGAGCATCTCAGCCAGCACTGTGTAACGCTGCTGATTCGTTTTATTTCTGCTCTGGCCACGTTCACCTCTCCTGGGCCAAACACACCCAATGCTAAGTGCAAAGAAAAACACCACTCTGCCTGAGCTCCTCCTCACCGCCATCCCGGTCCTCCTTTCCCAAACCTGGACAGGTCAGCTGAAGGGCCTGGGCAATGATGCCACTGCCCACACCCTGCACATCATTTGAGAGAAGGCCCCTATGTAATGATCAGGTGGGGGCTGGAAGTGGTCTTGGGGGCTTCAGGCGTGGGGAAGAAGGCCTGAGTGCTAGCTTCGCCGCTGCCTGCCAGCAGCCTGGCCATCACCTGTTGAAAACCAGAGCTACATCCAAAGAGCACTCTCAGTTTACGGAGTCCCAGTACTGTTTTGGCTTATTTATGTTGCTGGTGACCCCTTTATGAATGTCTTCGGCCTGGACTTCTAGCCTGAACATGCTTAAAGATGTACTTTCCTAACCCTATTCTCCATCCAGGAGACCATGTAATCAGTGCTAGGGAAACATCAACGAGTCGTAGGGAATCCTGGTGCAATTTGACAAGAGTGCAGGGAAGGAAAGCTCAAGTGAGGAGCTGGTTTGGACCATGATCATCCATGGATGGATCTTCCACACTGGGGCCTGGGGGTGGGGTCAGGGTTCTGGCCAAGCTGAGGATACTCTCCATGTACACACAGAGAGCAGCATGTGGTTCGGACTCTTTGCTCACCCAGCTTGGGGGTGTGTTTCCCATCTAACGACATACAAGCATGTGAGCCTCTCGCCAGGCTTCTTCGTGCAGACCCCTTCTCCTCCCACTGCCTCCCTGGCCTCTGAGAATGGAGGAGTTTATTGTAAACCACCAGGCTGGGTGCAGCGGAGTCAGAAGAATGACTCACAGGCAGGGTTGCAACCACCAGGGGGCGGAGCAGCGCGGCCCTCCCAGCAGGGGCGTAGGACTAGAGTGAGGAGGGGCGCGAGTGCGCGGCCCACAGAAGAGCCGCGGTTTAGATCAGTGGACGGATTGGCACAAAATCTGGAATTATTATTTTCCAATAGAGAGAGAAAAGGGGCTTGTAGGAACTGTTCACTGAACCAGGCAGAGAAAAATATTTTTCAAGGTGTTTTTTTAAATGGTTTCAGTCTTTTAGACACAATTACAAGTACTTTTATAGAAATGTCTGTGTAACTAAGACAACACACACATTTTTAAAGTGGTTTATTTACACAGAATGTAGATTTCTTCATGTGAAAAGAAATTCCAACAATTGACCGCAGCCTTTTTGAACTCCAGAGACTGAGGCCAGGGTGTCTACATTTCGGTGACCTTTCTTGGTTCCCATCCCGGGCTTCGCTGTTCCATGCTCACAAAGCCTCTTCCGAAAAGAAATCCCTCGCTTAAAAGAGCAGCATCTCTTCATCCAGGGTCAGAGTCAGACTCCGCCGGCGTTCAGTTTCAAAGAATCTCACACGGCCCTTTTTATAAAGAGCAAAGCTTTTCTCGTTCCATTGTCATTTACACTAGTTTATTTTGGTTTGTGGAAAAAAATGTATTATCTTATAAAGCACATTTCAGCAGACAGCATCGAGCACTTTGAGGCTTCATTTGCATAATAAACTGCCCAGAACAATGATAATCCATAAAAGGGTCCCATAAAAGGACCCTTCAGAAGGTGGCTGAATAAGTGGAAAAACAGGATGATTATCACAGCCACCAACAACGTCACCAGGAGTGCAGCTTCATAAACAGCTTGTCAGTTAGTTAATTAGTTGGGGGTGAAGGCCACAGCTGGGGCAAAAGGCCTGAGCCAGCCAGACAGTGTGCTTGCCAGACACTGACCCCAGCCAAGATCACATGCAGAAAGGGGGCAGCAGGGCTGGAGGGAACGCTCAGGTTTGACCAGACACACCTGGATTTGAAACCTGTCCTCACATTTCCGGGATGTGTCATTACACAGAGCTTTGGTTTTCTCATCTGCAAAGCGAACGTAAAAATACCTACCTTATAGGGTCGATTTGAAGACCAGAGGTTGGGTAATGGCAGGGTGGGGAGAGGGACACCACTGTTTCAGGACCATACGCATTGTAATCACCTCATCCTCGTGGCAATCCAGGTGCTGGTATATTTGGCATTTTCATGTTACAGATGAGGAAAGTAAGGCTCAGGCAGATGAAATAACTTGTCCAAGGCCACTCAGCAAGTAAACATTGAAACCAGAAGCCCCGCCCCATTCTGCAGGTCTCCCCAGCCTGGCCCCGCTTCTCCCTCCCAGTGCTCCCTGTCTTTGTGGTGTCTGGGGGGCTCCTCCCTGCTCGCCAGGTGATTACACAATTCTGCTTCACAGGTGGCTCATTTTTCTTTCCTGGACCTGAAGCTCCTTGAGGACAGTGACAAGATCATAACTGTCCTCGTAAACACTGCTCTGCCTGTTGATAGCTCCCCTTATTCTGAGGACTCCCCTGAAGGCAGCTCAGGAGCAGCAGTTTCCCTGCCAGGCCCTGCAGAGCCTGGGAGAATCTGCATCTGGTCCAGGCCTGTTCTCTTCTGGATGGAGCCTGCCTGGTTGCCCTCTGCCTGCTCATGGAGGTCTCCACTGCTCAGACCTAGGCCCTGGGAGGCCCTGGGAGAAGAGTTGACCAGTGGGAAGCAGGAGAAGGGGAGGGGATAAAAGCAAGGGAAAGCCGGATAGCAATGAAGAAGAGAGGTGGAAATAGTGCCTGTGCCAGGAGCAGGGTGCCCCACCTGCCCTCAGAGCTCAGGCAGAGTCCCCATGGCAGGGGCTGGGGCTGGGGAGGAAGCCAGGCAGATGCCACTGCCTCACAATTAGAACAGCATTGTGGCTCAGAAAACCATGACACCAAGAAGTGCCAGGAGGGCAGGGACCTACTGAGGGGCAGCAGTGGCGTGGCACAGGGGCAGCCTGTCAGCACCTCGGCCTGACTGTAGTTTAGGGGTGGGAATGGGGTGAGGTGTAAGCTGGAGATGGGGCAGGGGCCGGTCCCGAGGATGCAAATGACTCAGGCCTCTTGGTGCCAAGCAGGAAAACCCAGCCACAAGCAGCTTAAACATGATAATGGGCATTTATTGACTTGACCACCTAATAAGTCTGGGCCCAGCCAACTAGGTTCTCAAGTGACATCACCAGGTGCTAAGGTCAGCCCCACCCACCCACTCACGGGCTGAGAGTGGGGAGAGCAGGTTCTGCTGAGCAGGAAAATAGCAAATATTCACCATGCAGGGTAGCAAAAAGAAAAAGAATAGACAGGAACATGATTGGAGAGAAAGCTGAAAAGAAAAAGGGAGCAGGAGGAACAGGGAAAAACAAGAAGCGGGGAATCAGGCAAGGAGTTTCAAGACAGGTCCTTGCAAAGGTTGGGAAAGAAAGAGAGAGGCTCCAGCAGATTTGCAGGGTTTATTGTAAATTTGGCAAGAGTTACACAGAAACCAAAAAGAACGTGTGGTTCTGCTCCTGGCCATGGTGCGGTCATTGCATCACCTTCAGCCTGGCTTTCGGCAAAGCTCACCTCCCACCCCGCCCCACCCTGCCCGTGGAGGTGAAGAGCAGCTGTTCTTGGTCACTCGCTTCCTAGTCCCATCCATAGCTTGGCTCTGGGAATCCTCTCTTCAAAGCTCTGAGCAGATTCCACCGGTGTCTACAGGCTGTGGCCCAAAGCCGTGCAGCTGAGAGTGTGACGAAGTGGCTCCACACCTCCCGCTCCGGCTGAGCAGAGACACTGCCGCTTCACTGCCAGATCCAGGATCGTCACCCTCCAGTTCATTCTGGGCAAAGCCACCTGCCACCCATATGCACACTTGTCCTCAGCCTAACATGGGCCCCATGGCTTTCACCACCCCAAACTTTGGCTCCTAACCCTTTGTTCAGACAAACCTGGTTGCAGACCAAGATGCTTGATCTGTGAAGATGCAAGAAACTCTTATCACTGCTTTTGCTGTAACCCCTCTTTCTTCTCTGTCTTTCGAAGCATGCTTAGTGGGTTGGAAAGCAAAACTAAATGGGAAGAACTAATATTCATTAAACTCTTGCCATGCACTGAGCTCTTTCTATAGTTTTCTAATCCTCTTTTTCCTTTTCTGCATTTGCTGTTTCTTAAATTGAGTATTGTTTTGTGCAAGACAAAATGTTTTCATTAAGAAATCCTCTTTGCCTGTGTTAGATGGGTTGCTGGCACCTCACTGGCTGGTTCTCAGTGGAGGTGGGCATTCTCACTCAGCCATGCAGACCACAGGGCTCAGAGAGCTGACCTGGCTGCCCCAGGCCACGGAGCAGTAAGAAATAGAATCACAATTCAAACCTGGATTTTGTCTCCAAATCCAGCAAATCTGAACGGTGGCGCTATAAAGAAAAACATAAATAAATAATTTACCTGAAAGGACAGATAAAAGCACTTTTCTTTCTGTTGCAAATAACATAGGTTAGAGTTCAGATTTTAAGTGCCAGGGAGGTTAAGTCCTGTCAGGAAATTTTTGTCCAAAAAGGGGTGAAAATTGCCATGGTGTGCAGAGTAAAAGGGGAAGGGAGCAAAGCTGAGGTGTAGGAAAGAAGATGGGAGGTATCTGCGCCCCTTCCCTGAAAGGAGGTGTGGGCAGCAGCGTGTGTGGGGTGGAGACGTCCTGAGAGAGGCCCGAGAGTGCCCTCTGAAGAGGAAACCGCATCACCGAAGCCTGGGCTGGCCCCAGCTGAGGGCAGGAATACCTGCAAGCCCAGAGGGCCCCAGGGCCTCCTGAGCAGTGTGGGCTGAGTCAGCTCCTTACTGGGCAGGGTTAGACTGAGACAGGAGCTCCAGCCCCAGCAGGCTGGAGGTATTCGTTGGGCACCATCGCATCGAGCCCAGAGGGTGACTCCAGAGCATGACTGTCTTTCAAACTTTAGAAAATCTTGGGACCTTACTCTTACACAAAATTCACAGATGTTTAGCAAGTATACTGTTTCAATAATGTCTGTAAGACATAATTTAGTAGAAAAAACTTATATAAATCCATAATCGACGTTTGGAAGATATTGGAAAAGCAGTATGGATAGCCACATTAGGGCATTGAAGTTGGTGGTGAAATCGTAGGACTTCTAATAACATTTCTTTCATTTTTATGATTTAAAAATTATTATCAAGAAAAACTTTCATTCTATAGAACTTTAGAATTCCTAAGCAGGATGGAAAATCTCAATCCAAACCAATCTTGCCCTAACTCTTCCTGCCAGATGAGATCATTTTGGTAAAAGTAGATTTAATTCTATTAAAGCTGCTTTACTTTTCAATGCTTAATAGGATGCAAATGTATGCAATTAATTTAGTTATTTGCATAATAAATATTCCCATAAAGTATCTTTGCTGCATGATCCCAAGTGTTTTATTATTAATTATGTTTTTCAAAATCAGAGAAGAAATATGAATGTTGGTAAGTATTTTAAAAAGCATCTATTCCTGTTTGTTTCTCTAAATTCAGTTTGGGATTAGTGGCCCTTAGCAATGGATTAGAAATTTGCAGTGTGCAAGAATGGGTCTGAGAAGCTTGGCTCCTGAGCTCAGGAAAACCCTCTGGCTAAGATGGAGGTGGCAAGATCCGTCCTGAGCTCTTCCTGCACCATCCTTGCTTGGAGCTCATTGTCCTGAAAGAAAATGGAATATACAAGCAGGGTGTGAGGAGAGGAAAGCAAGCAGGCCCTGCACTGTGCTGTACCCACCCCAGTCCCTCATGTCTTCACTGGAGGTTCAGACCCTGCCTGGGTCCAGCCTGGGTTTCCCTCCTCCTCCGCAGGGAGGAGCCGCTCTATTCCCACCTTCCCACTCTGTCCACTGTTCTGCAGATCTGCCTGACCTCAGGTAGACCAGAGTTTTCATTGCATTAAAATATTTTCTCCACCACAAAAGCAATATATAGTCATTATGCAAAATATGTGATTCACAGATAAACAAAAGGAAAAATGCAAATTAACTATAATCCCACCATTCAGAAAAATTTATTTTTAATACCTTGAGATGATCAGCATGCCTTTAAGTTTCCCAGAATTAAATGTCTGTGGCCAAATCCTTTGGAGAAATCTACATGTGAAACTGGCTGCAGATCTTCCTCATTCCAAAACTCACTTGAACACAGAATCTTCATGTAGTAGTTTTTAATAAAACGTGTATTCTGTGAGACGGGTTTTGAGAAATCCTAGTGTAATCCCTGCTTGTTCCTGGCAGCTGCCCCCAGTGCCGTCTCTGTCAGGCTGGTGGCCTGTCTGTCCCTGCGGAGGAGAGAACAGGACCTTGCACTGCTGTGACCGCCAGTTCCCAGGCCCCGTGGGATGAGCCGTGTCCTCACGGCAAGCCTGCCCTGCCTGACCTCTGGGTCTGTCTCGTGGCTATTGTCTCTTTATTTTTCAGCTACCTCTTGTCTTCATAACATGAATGTCCTTGCCAGCATATGGGCACAGTTTGATTAGGGGAGAATTATCACCCGTTTAATGCAATATACAACCAGTGTGAGATGCAGAGACACCGAGTCTTGTGTAAATTATCTTACAAATCTGAGGCCAGGCACGGTGGTTCAAGCCTGTAATCCCAGCACTTTGGGAGGCTGAGGCGGGAGGATCACCCGAGGTCAGGAGTTGGAGACCAGCCCAGCCAATATGGTGAAACCCCGTCTCTACTAAAAATACAAAGATTAGCTGGGCATGGTGGCAGGCACCTGTAATCCTAGCTACTCAGGAGGCTGAGGCAGGAGAATCATTTGAACCTGGGAGGTGGAGGTTGTATTGAGCTGAGATCGTGCCACTGCACTCCAGCCTGGGTGACAGAGTGAGTCTCTATCCCAAAAAAAAAAATTAAATAAATAAATAATAATTTTACAAATCTGAGATATGCGCCTGAAAGACACATCTTAGATTTCTCGCCAACTCATTGATCAAGTCACCTATCCACAGAATAACTGAGTCAGTCTGCTGTCTTCACCCAGGAAAGTGATCAGGTCTTTATAGCTCAAGGCTGGGTTTGCTTGTAGGAAATCCCTGTGTGGGCTGCAAGATTCAAGATGCATTGGGGATTTCTCCCTCAAAAATATCTTCTCCATGGATGCCCCAGGGAGCTCTCATGGAAGCTATCAGAGTGGTCTTTGTCCAGGAGATGCAGTCATCCTCATGGAAGCTATCAGAGTGGTCTTTGGCCAAGAGATGCAGTCATCCTCATCGAAGCTATCAGAGTTGTCTTTGGCCAGGAGATGCAGTCATCCTCATGGAAGCTATCTGAGTGGTCTTTTGGCTGGGAGATGCAGTCATCCACAGATCTCTTCTTGTTTTAGCCACCTCTCTCTCCTCCATGGGCTCTCTAAGGAAAATACATGCATAGGCTAAACTGGCAAAGGAAAGCAAAGTAACGCTTTATTATTAATTGGGACTTTGGTTCCAAGCCTCCAAACAGAATTCCATTAAACTATGTTGGACTCAATAGGTAATTCTTCATGAGAATTTATGAGAATATGCATAAGGCAGCTCAGAGCTTAGAACCAAGTGCTGGGCAGTATATTCCTTTTTATGCACTCACAACCAGACCTTAAGCTTGACTCCATCAACCAGGCCAGAGAATTCCTACAATAGCAGGAGGAAATGGAGTCACAGCACAAGGGACCCTGTTTGTCTGCAGTGCTCAGCACAAAACCAGCCAAGCCTGGTTGCTGTATTAGGAAGAGAGAACTTTCCGAGAGAAAGCCTGTCTGGCCCTTGGCACTTCCCGCTGCAGTCACTGGAGAGGTAAGAGAGAAAAGGGGCCACTCTGTCATGTGTTTTCTCTGAAAACAAACCCAGGACACTATGACTAAGCATTGACCAAGAGCTTGGAATTTCCTGTCCTTGATGCCACAAGCAATCCCAAACTTGGCAATGTAAAATAGCAACTGTTTTGTAGTGCTCTTGGGTTCTGCAATCCAGGGATCTGAGAACAGCATTGTAGGGTGGTTTATCTCTGCTCCACACTGTCTGCATCCTCAGCTTGGAAGACCGGGAGGCTGGAGGCAGCTTGGCAGCTGGGGTCTGAACCCCCCTGCAGGCACACTTCTTCACATGGCAGTTGATGCTGGCTGCTGGCTGGGACCTCTGCTGGGCTGCCAGCCAGAATATCTGTTTGTGGCTTCTCCATGTGGCTGTTTGGGGTTCTTCAAATTTCTTCTAAGAGTGAACATCCCAAGAGAACCAGGCTGAAGCCATATCACCTTTCGCATGCTAGCCTTGGGAGTAAAATCATGTCCTTCTCATTGTACTCCATTAATCAGGGCAGTCGCAAAGATCCAGCCAGACTGAATGAGAGGGGACAGACATCATCATTCCACGGCTGGTACGTTAAGCTTACATTGTAAGAAAAGCATGTGGGATGTGCAGTGTTATTACTTGCCACCCAACTCACCCTCGATTAGTAATAAAGTGTCTATATGGGACACGTGGAAGCAAGGGGGAGAGAAATAAGAGTCCTAAGTTTCTCCCAGATACTGACTGATACTGGGAAACGTGCCTAAAACCCACTGCTGGAATCCTTCTCTGGATCAGAGCACGCAGCCTCAGAACAGTGAGTAATTAAGCTGTTATTGGCTGTTGGTGTCAATAGCCAATACTGACTACACACTTCATTGTCTATTGGTCATATTAGAAAGCAGACGGGACTGAAGATCTAGACGGATAAATTGTTCTTTGGTGAAGGGTTTTGGGACACGTTTCATCAATAGGTTCCTATCAGGCAAATGCTCCAGGAGGCTGGAGATGAAAACTGAACAAATAACTGAAAGAAAAGAATAAAGAAATGCCTTCTTTAAGCCTTGGCTCCTTCACAATTTGACCATGACCAGTCCTTCCCAGAAGTGAGAGTCAGCTGGGCAGGAGTTTTCCTCCATCAGTGGAGTCATTTTATCAACATCCAGCCTTAGAGCGCTTCTTTACGGAGGGAGAAACTCAAACACAAGGCAGGGGAGGTGACAAGTGTGTTCTCCAGGCCTGGGGTTTCAGGTGAGGGTGGAGGTGTGGGGCCAGGCAGGTGGTGGCTATCCCCTCTTCCCCATAAGGAAGATAACACGAACATGCAGGTTGATGCAGGGAGAGCAGAATTATGGGATGTTACATCTTACAGAAATATCAGTTATGTTTCTTTAATTGTCAGTGACAAAAAGATATTTTTTCTACAAATAAAAAAGGCCATATTTGGAATAATATGGAGCATCTTACAAAAGGAAAATTGTACCTGTACCTAATAAGCCATAGTAGCTCTGGGAACTGAATCTCGGGCACCAGGAACAGTCTCGCATGTCATTGTAATCTGGATTCATGAGCTCTGACTTTCCACAGTCTTTGAGTCACTGAGCACTAGGATCAACTTTCACAGAGGATCCAGATAATCAGCCAGCTTAAGTCACACTCCTACAGCTTGGCTAGGGTAGGGATTCCTCACCAACAGTCCCATAAGATCTTATCCAGTCAGGAGGGGCTGGCCCAATCTGAAGTGCAGCCGAGACCGGGAGCCACAGACCTGGAACCTGTGTACTCAAAGAGTTGTCCACATGCCAGCAGCACTGGCCCTTCCAGGAGCTGTTAGAAATGTAGAACCTCAGAGCCTACATTGAAGATATTGAATCGGAGTCTGCACATCGCTTCTGAGAAGCCATGAGCTAAGCTGATGCCATTCAGCTGGGTAGCATCGCAGTCACTGTGCAACTTTTAAACATACAGCTGCCCAGGCCCACTGCAGACCTGCTAAATTCAAGCTCCTTGTAGTGGGGCCAGGGCCCTGGGACTTCATACAAAACTCTGCAAGTCATCACTGATGAGAAAACCAAGACTCGATGAGGTAAAGCAACTTCCCCCACCACAAAACCTAGTCCTGTGTGAGGGAGCCAGGGGTATTTACATTTTCCTAATTTACATCCTTTTAAACTGCATTTTTCAGAGTCTCCTGAGCTCAGAGGAAGAAGCTGCATAACCAGCACACTTCCAGAGAGGACCGAGGAAGAGAGCGTTGCTTCAGCCAGGGTCTGATTAGTCATGCCTGGCAGGCTCTGCTGAGCTGGGTGCTCATGGGTTTTGCTTGCTGAGCTGAATTAATATATTAGTGGATTTCATGTTTGACTCGCTCTTTCTTTCTCACTGCGCAGGAGCTAAAGGAGTGGAGCTGGGGATGCCAATGTTTCTGTTTAGACAGCTGAAGGGGCCATGCGAGCCCACAGCGAGAGCTGCAGGAGCAGCTACTACAGGGAGTGGGCAGATTTTAGGGTGCGCAGATTTGTACTTGGTGTGGCTCGGTTGTACATTCAGGAATCTCTTTCCTTGTGATACGCAGAGCTGCACGTGGAAGATGTTAGGAACACAGCTGGGTGCAGTTTTGCTGGTTAGTTCTGAACAAACCTACAGACGTGAGATTTGAACTCTATAAGGGAAGAAAGCAAGGAGGAAGAAGGCACTGAGGCTGCCTGTCACCAGAAGGGTTCTGGGCAAAACGGGGTAGAGTGACTTGGGACAGTTCCTCCTAACGATAGCACAGGCAGTAGGGGTTGAGACACAGTGGGGTTGAGACTTGCTTAAATGTATAGTTATTCAGCCAGCCATTTTCATAGAATAATTGTGGGTTGCCCTGAGCTGCCGCGTTCACATGCTCTGCAGTGGAGTACTATATGCTAATGTGAGATGGGAGTACACCCAGATTTCACCCCCCTAGAACGTGGTTTTTTTTTTTTTAAAGTAAAACAATGCTATGGCCAGGTGTGGCCTGTTAGCTTTAAAAACAAATGGCCTCTGCTGAGGGACACTTGGGTTGTTTCCCTGTCTTGGCTACGGTGAGCAGTGCTGCAGTGGACATGGGAGGGCAGGCAGCTCTTCTACCCACTGACCTCCTTTCCTGTGGGTTTGTCCCCAGAAGTGGGACCTGCTGGATCATATCGAAGCTCTGGTTGTCATTTTCTGAGGAACCTTCAGGCTGTTTTCATCCTGGCTCTACTAATTTACATTCCCACCCTCAGTGAATAAGGGTTCACTCTTCACATCCTCACCAGCACAGGTTACCTTTTTTGACTTTTTCATAATTGCCATCCTAACAGGTGCGAGGTGATAACTGTTTGCGGCTTTAATTTGCATTTCCCTGATGATTAGTTGAGGACTTTTTCATATACCTGTTGCCCATTTGTATGTCTTCTTTGGAAAAATGTCTATTCAGGTCCTTTGCCCATTTTTAATCAGGTTATTACTCTTATTATTTTGCTACTGAGCTGTATGAGTTTCTTATTTATTTAAAATATTAACCCCCTTTCAGATATATGGTTTGAAAATGATGTCTTTTATTCCATAGGTTGGCAGATGAATGGATTAAGAATATGTGATACACACACACACACACACACAGGCACACGTACTAAAATATCTTTCAGCCTTAACAAGAAGAAAATCTTGCCATTTGCAATGACATAGATAAACCTAGAAGACATTATGTTAAATGAAATAAAGCAAGCACAGAAAATCACATACTACATGATCTCACTTATATGTAGAATCTAGAAAAGTTGGAATCATTGAAATAGAGTAGAATGAAAGCCACAAAGAGCTGGGGGTAGGAGAAACAGGGAGATGATGGTCAAAGGTCAAAGGACACAAACTTGCAGGTATAAGATGAGTCAGTTCTGGAGACCTAGTGTACAGCATGGGGACTCCAGTTAATAATGTGTTTGACACGTGGAACTTGGAAAGAGTCGATCTCAAGTATTTTCACTACACACACACACACACACACAAGTACCTGTGAGGTGAAGGATATGTTAATTTGCTTGATTGTGGTAATCATTTCACAATGTATGTCTATATAAAACATCATGCTTCACACTTTAAATACGTAGAGTTGTAAATGTCAATTTTACCTCAATGAAATGGCAGGTCCTTTCCTTGACCTGCCACCTGACCTGCTACAGTTCAGAGGTTTGAGGCAGGGTAGAGTCACCACCAGAGTGGAGATGGAGGCAGTGTTTAAATAACACACAATTATGTTGGGAAGTCAAAGGGGACACCAGGCTCTCTAAGGAAAAGCTTGGCCTCTTCAGGACATTCTAGGAGGACAGCACATAATCCACACCCCACACCACGCCTTTCCCTGGGTGATGTCATTCCTGAATCCACACCCCACACCATGCCTTTCCCTGGGTGATGTCATTCCTGAATCCACACCCCACACCATGCCTTTCCCTGGGTGATGTCATTCCTGAATCCACACCCCACACCATGCCTTTCCCTGGGTGATGTCATTCCTGAATCCACATCCCACACCATGACTTTCCCTGGGTGATGTCATTCCCGCTGTGGCATCTGGATCATCCACCTGCCAACACTGCCCAGAGCCTCACCTCCAGACCAGACCCACCCTCTTCAGATGGCCCACCCTGTAGACCCTCTCAAAGAGCTCACAGGCACCCCCAGAGAAGGTGTCCCAAATTCCTCCTTCTCTCACCAGCCTGTTCTCACTGAAGTCTTGGTTATCTTAGTAAATGGCACCACTACCCAACCAGTTGCTTGAGTCCATAAATGTGGGACTTGCCATTCACACCACCCGTTGTCTTATCACTCAGTTTAAACACATCTCTCAGCCTTGACCATTTCACTTTCAAAGTATACCTTGAATCTCTCCTTACCTCTTTGTGTTTATGGCCACCATCTGACTCTAAGCCACAGACACCTCTCATCCAGATGTGGCTACAGCCAGTGTCAGCCTGCCAGATACACACCCTGCTCACTTTCCTGCTTCCCTCCAGTCTATTCCACTTGCACACACATATACACTCACACACACTCATTCACATGCACACTACCACACACACACACACACAGCACTGCATACACTCATACTCACTTCCATACCCATGACCACACACTCACACACTCATGCACATACAGTCACATACAAACATGTGATCTTTAAGAACGTATGTTATATAACATTGTTTCTGCTTACGCTTCATCAGTAGCACCCTGTGGCATTTTGTATTTAATTCAAACTTCTTCACTTGTTCCAGAAGCTCCTGAGAGCCATGGCCCCTGCCGGCCTCCCAGGTTCCCCTGATACCACACCCTGCACTGCCCAGTCCCTCCACACTGACCCCCTTTAGCTGCTCAAAGTCTTCCTCTGCCGTGTAGTTTCCACACAGGCCCTCCCCTGCTGGGGTGCTCTCCCTGCCAGTCCTGGCCTGGCTACTCCTCCCGTAGACCCCCTGATGGAAGGAGGCTCCTTGGACCCAGGCACTGCTTCTGTGCTGGTCTCCATGGGGCCTCAGTAGTGGACAGTGTGTCCATTGTCCACTGAGTGAGTGAGCGTTCACTTGCTTACAGTGTGTGTCCTACACACTGTGCTCCATGAGGGAAGGGACTGATTTGCTCATCACTGAAATGCCCGACTTTCTGGTATTCCACACATGCTCAGTAATACCTGACTGAACAACTCAATACCATCTCCACTATAGAGACACCCACAGAGTGCGGCAGAGGCAGCCATGGGCCAATGTTTATGTGATTGAGTTTCTGATGCTATCACAGGCCCTAATTCCCCGTGTGAATTTGGGCAAATTGCTGTACCTCTCTGAGCCCAACTTCCTCACCTGTATGTAAGAGGGTTTACATCAGGCATCTTTATGGCCCTGAATTCTGAAAGCATAAGAAGACTTCACTTCCTGGGGTATTTGGGGCTGGCCCGTTATGTTTGCAGGGAGCCTGGTGGTGTTCCTGTACTTGTCCTCCATTTTTTGGCTTGAAGTGTTGAGAGCGTGTGCGCTTACTTGCTGGAGACCCCATGGTGTGTAAAGCTGTGGTTGCTGGATTTGGTAACAGCCTCTGCTGGAGCCTGCAGAGCCCCAGAGCAGTGGAACTGGCAACTCCCTGGGATCCTGATCCTCATCAGTTTGGATGCTTCTTGTAGCCATGTGACCCATCTGTGTCTCTACTTCCCTCTATGGGACCGAAGACCGCCTGACCGTGGCTCCATGTGGATGTGAAATAGGGTCTGGAGTGAGCCAAGTGGAGAGTAGTGGGTGCCGCCCCGCCGGCTGCGACACTGGGCTGGAGTCTGTGGTGGGTGGTGGACCCATTGAGCAGGCAGTGTGCACCTGATCTCATGCCAAGGGAATCCACGCGGTGCTTTCCTTGTTTTCTGATGAAAATCATTGGGTACAGTGAGAGAGCTGAGCCACCTGTGTGCCAGGTGCCAGAGATCAGTGGCCTCACCATAAACTTGGCCAGGGCAGAAGATGGCTGAAGGTCAAAGTAGCTGCAAGAGGTGTTGTTATCAAGCATGAAGATAAATCGCTTGATATCAGCTTAAAAATGACAAGAATAAAGCTCCTCCTTTACGCTGCCTGAGACCCTGTTTGCTGACAGTGATGGGTGTGAGCTAAAGCTCACTTGCTCTTGCCCCTTCAGATACAACCAGCTACTGTCCTGCAGAGATGGGCATCTGCCAACCTGCAGAGTCCAGTGTTTTGATAGAACAACTCTCTCGATATTCTTCTCTAACCCCCTCTTACCCTTCGAGCATTTCAAACACTGTCCTGGACTCTTCTCCCTCACCTCCAGCACAGAGGCACAGAGTGGAGAAGAAACACAGCACCAGGACCCTCTTTCCTATCTGTTTAGAGAGAAGAGGGTGGAGAGGGTATGGGCGGGAAAGTAAATAGAGACTAAGGGTAGGAGGAGAGAGGGGCAGGATGGGAGGGAGACAGGGCATGAGGGAGAAAGAGAAGTCATTGATGGGCAGAGGGTGAAGGGAGAAGAGGAGAGAGAAAATGAGGGGTGGAGGGAAGCTTGCCATGGAGGGCACAGAATGCATTTCCCCCTCAGAACACTGGCTTGAAGCAGAGAAAATGAATTTTAGTGATATTCAAGGTTGAAACACGCACCAGCAGTAGACACACTTAGAAATGGCTTAATAAATGCATTAACAATCTACAAAGACACAGAAAGGTCCAAGAATTCTAAATCCTCTCTCCCCTCTAGGTCTCAGCAGACCAAAGCAAGTTATTTTCTGATGAAAGGATTTCATCGGACCTTGATGCTCACTTGGATTTTTAAGTGGAAAAAGGTCACTGTGTCTCTGTGCAGTTGCATCATGCAATTCTAATGAGAGAGGCTTCTCAGTCACTCCAAATGTGACCGCGTGTGCAGATCCTCATGTTCTCAGACACCAGCCCCTTCTCCCAGACTGGCTTGCTCCAAACTGCAATCCTCTGAGGCCCATGATCAGTGTCCTGGTCTGAGGCACATGGAGTGTGTCACCCAGAATTTTTGGAATGGAAATGCACTGATCCTCACAAGAGGCAATCACCATTACACCAAGGGAGCTTCTATGGCTTTCTGTTTGATCGCAGTTCTACTCCAGGAGGCTGCCACTCTGTTATGCCCAGGATAGGTTCATGAAGTGGATTCCTGAAATGCTGCGATTCACAGAGGGTTTCCTCTCGCGTGTGACTGAATTTATCAACATGTTTAATAAAGCTACGTGATCTCCCGCAGGCGTTGGCTGCATAGCATCGCGTGTCCACCAGAGCTGCCTCCCTCCCTGAGTCAACGCATCCCTGAAGATACACAGCTTATGTCAGCAGCACAGACCTGCATCCCCCATGGTGACTCAATTTACATTCCATACCCTTGCCCCTGCATGGGGGTCTTCTTGGAAACTCTGAGACAAGTTGGCTGTGTTAGGAGTCCCCTGATCTCAATCTTGCCCAGCCCTATGTGAACTTAGGTCTCTGGAGACTAAGAAGCCCCATGGGCAGAGGAGGAGGAGCAGCAAAGGCCCCAAGCATGAAGTGATTTGGGGGGAGGAGAGAGGAGTTTCCAGAGAGGGTGAGCACCCCATCCCCACTGCGGCACTGTCCCTCTGCCAATGCACACGATACAGCGGGAGTCCTTCCTCCCGCCTGGCTGTGCAGAGTGGCCCTGGGACCTCTAGGTGGGCAGAGAGCGGGAGGTGCAGCAGATGGAGACGGGCTCCTTATACTCTCTCCTCACTGCTGGGGAGGATAGAAGCAGGAGCCACGTGGCTTCAGAGCCTCCTGTTCCTCCCCTTCCCCAAATTCCTATCAACAGCTAACCAAATCCCTGCAAACACCCGCTCTCCAAGCACCTGCTAAGAACCAGGGGTCCTTGGCAGAGGACTCCCCTCGCAGTGGGTGCTCAGAGCCCACTGATCTTGCCCCTCCGCTGGCCCGGCTATGGGAACTGGCAGGTGGCAGCGGAGCTGGAACTTAGGAAGGGCAGGATGTCAGCTTGGAGCCATGCCGGCTGTCACCAGAGGCCGCCCCTCCCACAGCTAAGCCTTCCCGGGTGTTGTGTCATGAGCACACACAGTCCGGAGTCTCCGACACCACTTTGTTTCCCCTGCTCTATCCATGGGGCCACCTCTCACTTTCCCAAAAGAGAGGGCAGGGTGTCAAGCCGTCTCACAGATGGCAGAGCAGATGCCTGACCATACTCTCGAGCAGCTTCAGAGAAGTATTTATGCCCTGAAGTGGTTTCTTCAGGTGACCAGATGAAGGTGAGTTGCTGGACACCACCTACCCCAAGGCCCCTGTCCTCAGGGAGCTCAGGTCCGTGCCCCTCAGAGGTTCATGCCCCTCAGAGCCAGCCAGCTCCCCCTTCCACCTAACCCTGACCAGCAGGAGACCTGTGGAAGTCAGGGGTCGGCCGTGCCCCCTTTCCTCAACCTTCCTGCCTCTCAGCCTTCCCAGGCTGCAGAATTTCACCCCTCAGAGGCTTCCAGAGTCTGCCCACTCCTGTGAGGAACCACCGTCCTCCATAAATGAAATGCAGCCCTTTCCCTGGGGAAGCATGGGGGGCTTACTGAACCCGCTTCTGTGAGGCTGGGCTTGACTAGTGGGCAAAGCTGAGTGTGGCTGGGCCTGGCTGCTCCAGCGGGGCGGTCCCTGCTGCTCCCCGACCCAGAAGGTGGCCTGTGGCCAGAACGTGGTCTTAGAGCTCAGCCCTGACCAGCTTGTGAACTCAGCCCCGGTCGACCCAGGAGGAAGCACAGGTCTCTTGTCTCACTGAGTCTCATCCCCTCAGCCACAGACCTTCCTCCCCATCTCCTCCACCCGCAGAGGTAACCGAGGGCTGGGATGGGGCTAGGAGGCCTCGTATAACTGTGGGAACTGTGGCTGGAGGGTGTCAGAGAGAGAACGCGGAATTCCAGTCTAGTGTGGAAGTGAGGTGAGAGATGCAGATTGCGGTTTTAAAATCTATATAAAATTACCAACTTGAATATTTCCTTATGACTCCTGGAATTCTACTTCTCGGCCCCTAAGTGTGGACATCTGATGCAGTTCTGGAATGTAGAAGGGTTTTATAAAGGTTTCAGGAAATGTTCTTCTTTCCCTATTACAAGAAACAATTGACGTTTCTGCTCCTATATGCTTTTCTTTCTGCTTTAAAAGCAGATAAAATTTTCAGCTACAGCTTCAAGCTAGTGAATAAAGCTGTGGAAATCTGGTTTCAATACATAGAATTCTACCTCTGCGATGACTGCCTGGCGGTGGCTGTTACGTGATTCCGGGGACGTAAGGCCTGTGAGAGTGAGGTCAGGGCTCTGCTGCACTGGGAAGCGTGGGGGCCGGCAGGTCATGATGATGTTGGAAAAACTTCATCTAGATCACTTTCAGGATATCATGCGATACTCAGTGTGGTAGGAAGAGATCAGTACAATGCTTCTACTTGTACAGCATAACCTAGGTATGCAGAGGGCAAAAGACAGAAACCTGTGATCAAGTCAGCACTAGAGCCTAGGATCTATTAACTCCCTATGTACTGTGGTTTTCCTGGAGAAAGAAATTAGTAAATGATAAAATTGCAGCAGTCAGATATAAAATACAGAGTTGTCTATGAGTGAATAGACATTTAAGAAACAGCATGCATAGCTTCACAGATAATCCGGTGACGTAGATTGAAAGTTTGTTTCCTTCCAAGATTCCAATGTGAAAATCCCAACCTGGGAAGGAATGAACAAACGCTGCTGAACCCAGGAGGCCCAGCAAGTGGGCAGTGCGCTCCAGTGGGCCTGGAAGGCAGAGCATTGAGCCAAAGGAAATCGGGTTCAACGCTCTTCATTCCAGGGAGTTTGCCTTGTGGTTTGGACTTGCCTGAGATCCATCACTCCTTTCTTCTTTCCTATTTCTGTCTCGGGAGAAATGTCTGTCCTATGCTTGCAGCACTACTCTACTCTGGAAGCACATAACATTTAGTTTCACAGATTCCTGCCTAGAGAGAAATTTGTTTCAAGATGACTTTTACCTTGAGTCTTAGCCATATCTAATTTAGAGGATATTTATATAAGACTTCCGATTTGAGATTTAGAGTTGACACTGATGGGGTTGAGATTTTGGGGCTACTGGGATGTAATTAGTGTATTTTGCATGTTAGAAGCACTCTAGGCCCGGAGCTGAATGCTGCAGCCTGATGGTTTATGTCTCTTCAAGATGCGTATGTTGAACTCCTAACACCTAAGGTGATGGTATTAGAAGGTGGGGCCTTTGGGAGGTGATTAGATCATAAAGGTGAGGCCTTCATGAATGGGATCAGTGCCCTCCTAGAAGAGACCCCACAGAGCTCTCTCACCTTCCATATGGGGACACAGTGACAAGACGACTGCCTATAAACCAGGAAGTAAGCCGTCACCAGACACTGAATTCTCAGCACCTGGATTTTGGACTTCTGGTCTTCATAACTGAGAAATGCATTTCTGTTGTTTGTAAGACAGTCTATGGTATTCTGGTATGGAAGCCTGAATGGACTAACACATTCAATAACTCAAAGTGATGTTTTAAGAACAGAAGATCTTGCCAACTGAAGGCACAGGCTTCCTCCCTCCTTACCTTCCTCTCACCCACATGGCTTCCCACCCCATCCCTTCACCACTTTTGTCACACCAACGCCACCTTCCCCTTTACCTCTCCCCCAGCATCAAGCCAACACTGCTGATTGCTGCTGACCTTCTGCTAATGCTAAATTTAAAATCAACTTTTTATTTAGAAAGTTTAAAACTTAAATTATAGACTTGGACCTAGGTGGAAGAGAGAAAGAAAAAAAGATTTCTAGACCCTGAGACAAACTCATACATCTGTCCATAAATCTGCTCATTTCATTTTATGGAAACAAAGAAATATGCTTAGTGGGTAGATTTAAATACTCAGACACTTAAAGTATAAGATAGCATGGCAACAACTAGTGGTGAGAAGAGTAGGGAGAGGTCCTGATTCTGCATTCCCCAAGAGCCTGATCTGATTACAATCTTTTGTTGAAATTACTCAATTGTTATTTTTAAGTATTTGATTTTCCCAGCTTTTTGTAAAAATTAAATAGACAGACAGACATACATACACTGTGAAGCTAAAGGCTAAGATTCAGCTGATTTTCCAAAGCTAATCATGAGAGTGGATGTTGTTTATGGAAGCTGAACAATATGACTTTCATCACCAGGCAGTGGCCCCTGGGCAAAGACTCCAGGGTCTCTGGATAAGAAGAAACTGATAGGGAAAAATGGCAGAAATGCTGCAATAAACAACCCTAATGAAGAAGAAATGTAAATCCATATATAACCAAGAATGGTTATTTCAGCTTCCTTCTCCTCCTTCTCCTTCTCCTCCTGCTCCTCCTCCTCCTAAGGATTTTTTTTGTCCCTTTATCAATGCATCATTTTTCAACTCTGTCACTTCCGCATAACACAGCCACCCTTTGCTGTTCTCAACTTTTCCTTTTTGTATTTGTTTGACACTAACTTTTCCCACAGTCTGTAGATTTCTTTTTGTCCTTTTCTAATAGTTCATGTTTTAGAAATTCAGAACAAACAATTTCTGAATGCTCCTCAGAACACCCATCTCAGGCAGAGAATCTCACCGAAATAGAGAAGAAGCTCATGCTCCTGGAAGAAACAGCCTGAGGAGAGCCGCTGGGCCACATCTGGCCACTGTCCACAGCGCTGTCAGATCCAACGAGAGCCGCTGAGTCACATCTGGCCACCGTCCGCAGCACTCACATCTGGCCACCGTCCGCTGCGCTCACATCTGGCCACCGTCCGCAGCGCTCACATCTGGCCACCGTCCGCAGCGCTCACATCTGGTCACCATCCACAGAGCTCACATCTGGCCACCGTCCGCTGCGCTCACATCTGGTCACCATCCACAGCGCTCACATCTGGCCACCGTCCGCTGCGCTCACATCTGGCCACCATCCGCAGCGCTCACATCTGGCCACCGTCCACAGAGCTCACATCTGGCCACCGTCCGCAGCACTCACATCTGGCCACCGTCCGCTGCGCTCACATCTGGCCACCGTCCGCAGCGCTCACATCTGGCCACCGTCTGCTGCACTCACATCTGGCCACCGTCCGCAGAGCTCACATCTGGCCACCATCCGCAGAGCTCACATCTGGCCACCGTCCGCAGCGCTCACATCTGGCCACCGTCCACTGCGCTCACATCTGGCCACCGTCCGCAGCGCTCACATCTGGCCACCGTCCGCTGCGCTCACATCTGGTCACCGTCCGCAGCGCTCACATCTGGCCACCGTCCGCAGCGCTCACATCTGGCCACCGTCCGCAGCGCTCACATCTGGCCACCGTCCGCAGAGCTCACATCTGGCCACCGTCCGCAGCGCTCACATCTGGCCACCGTCCGCTGCGCTCACATCTGGTCACCGTCCGCAGCGCTCACATCTGGCCACCGTCCGCAGTGCTCACATCTGGCCACCGTCCGCTGCGCTCACATCTGGTCACCGTCCGCAGCGCTCACATCTGGTCACCGTCCGCTGCGCTCACATCTGGCCACTGTCCACAGAGCTCACATCTGGCCACCGTCCCCAGCGCTGTCAGATGCCGACCAAACCCTGCTTTGGTGTTGAGGTGGTTTGTCTAGTAGCCTCCTTTCTTAAGGGAATTTAATCTGCTGCAAATGGTTCTCATGTATGCAATAGATGTTACTGTAACTGTTTTATAAGGTGCATTGCCTTCACCTTGCCAGGCTCTATGCCAGTCTGTGTCTAGTCTGATACCATTCCTGCACACATACATCAATGCCCCAGCATTTGGAGGGCTGGAGTTAGGAATAATCCTGTTGGTGACTTATTATTAACTATTGTATGGGACTTATTATGTATCTTCATGTTCTACTGTTCCCACCTCCCAAACCCCAAAAAAGGATGAGATCTGTTTTATAACAAAAACATTTACGATAAGGCCTATACCATAAAATAAGTAATAAAGTTAATACCAACAAAAAGAGAAGAAGTATGAATTACTGCTGTGGTTAGGGTTGACATTATTCCTACGATTGAGCTTCGAAGACTTTTCTAAGCAGTAATAAACATGAACCAAGCGTCACACAGTTCCATTCATGGTCCTGACCTGAGAGAGCGCTTTCCTAGATGGACACCCACTCCCTCTCCCAACTGCCCAACTCATCAGTAAATGGAGTTTGATTTAAGCCAAACCTAATGCAGTAGTTCCCTGTACTTGAGGTTTTTCCTTCTGGGATTTCAGTTACCTGTGGTCAACGAGATCCAAAAATATTAAATAGAAAATTCTAGAGATAAACAATTTACAAGTTCTAAACTGCACGCCTTTCTGGTAGCATGATAAAATCTCATGCTGTCCTGCTCTGTCCCTCATGGAATATGAATCATTCCTTGTCCAGCATATCTACTCTTCATAGCAGCAGTCTAGGTTATCAGATTGACAGCTCCAAGAAGAAAAGTGAGTTAAGTACAATAATATATTTGTGAAGAAAGACCATATTTATATAAGGTTTGTTACAAAACACTATCATAATTGTTCTATTTTATTATTAGTTGTTATGGTTAATCTGTTACTGTACCTAATTTATAAATTAAAATTTATCATAGGTATGTATATATAAGAAAAAACAAACAAACAAACAAAAAATATATATATAGGATTTGGTACTATCCACAATTTCAGCTATTCACTGGGGTCTAGGAAGATATTTTTCATGGATAAGAAGGGGGCTGGGGTATAGCAAAATAAAATTAAATATGCAAAAATGTCTAATCATATGACTAAAGAAAATATACACGACATTAGAAAAGATAAAAGGATCAGTGGTCATCATAGCAGCTTCAAATTTAGAATGCATATTTACAGTTAGTAATACATTTATAGCAATCTATTCATGATGGGTGGTAAGAAGAGAGTAAACAATCTTTCATTGGTAAATCTTTTCGAGATATCTCATTGCTGAATACTTTACATGCTATCTCATTGAATGTTTATGAGGATCTCAAGAAGTAGTCATATTCCTAATAGAGAAAAAAAACTTGAGTTTTTTTTTTCTTGCTATTTCAGTGTTCCTTTTCCTTTGCCAGTCCTCCAATAGCTGTTCAATGAATCTACATATTAAATTTAAGGCTGACTCCATCTCCTGAATCACAGTGGTCATTCTGCCTCTTGGACTGACTCCATTCTTCATTTATTGAGTCCTTGTGGATATAGAGCCTCAGCCCTTGTCATCCCCTAAGGCAAGTGTTGGTCTGAGAAGCGAAACCAAGCTGGCACAGCACTGTAGGCCTGGGAGGGAAAGTGACATGTGCCTGCATCCCAAGGAGTGGGGATGATGAAATCATGAGGGACTCAATGAGGCTATCATTTGGGGTGCCACTGGAACATTGATTAGTGATGAAAGAGGAGAGACCTTTGGCCTCCTGAGAGAATAAATCTGGTCCTCATGGTGTCTCCTTTCCAAGATCACCTCGTTCTTCCTGTCTTACCCACTTCTCAGCTTGGGTAAATATTAAACCCTCCAGTGAATGGGGCCATGTGAAATTTTAGTCTATCTATCTCTACATCACTGAACATGTTGGACTCCACTAATCTTAAGCACAAACATCATTTTTCCTCTTATCAATGATCTTTTAGCATTTTAAGCAACTTTTATATAACAATACTTTTAATATTTTTTCTGGTATCTTGTCTCAGTATCTTCCCATGTAGAACAACTCTATGTATCACAGAACTACTAAAAGCAATTAAATATGGCATATTAAGTTTTTAAACTACATTCTCTTCATTAAAATAACCAGAGTGAAGTTTTATTCATAAAAATAATGAAGTAAGAGCCTCTGAAAATCTCCTCCTCCATAAAAGCAATGGAAATCTGAAAAGAATTGTCAGATTCAGTGTCAACTTTTTCAAAACATAGGAGATTAACCAAAGGCTTAAAGAATGCTGGGAGCATGTATTAAAAAAAGGCTCGATCTCCACAAGAACTGCACATTTGTGTTTTAACTTGCCGTAGATGCACCCACCCTTCCGCGGTGAAGTCGTAGTCCTGAAAAATAAAAGCATTTCTGTCACAAAAAGGAGCAGAATGGAGTTAGATCCTAATTCCCAAAGAATTACAATTATTTGACCTGTCTGGTGGTTCCCTAGAAAACTGGGCTGGATAGGATTTTCTTTATGTAACCTTACTTAGATCTTATGCACTGTTAAAAACATCTACAAAAAGAGTGGTTGAGAGGGAATTTGAAAAAAAAAATTTATAGGCAAGTGTTTTAAATGTTGTGTTTGCCAGATATGGTGGATAACAGTTGTATCAAATAACGTATATTAACCAGAAAGCTTAAAAGAGACTGCTGAAGAGTGAGATGTTCACAGAGACTTTAAAAATATCAGACATATTCATGGGAATATAGACATTTATAAGTATATGTAGAGCTATGCACATGCTCAGGAAAGTATCTGAGAAAGCCCTAAGCTCTCACTTTTGGCTGAATTTGAGGCTCTGTGCAAGCAGAAAGTCAAGGCTAGGATAGATTTTTAAACCATTGAAGACATGCCTTAACACACATGCAGAATTCCCTCAGCAAAGACTGGAATATTTATTGGGCTCAGGTGTTTAAAGAAATATCTGGCCGGGTGTGGCGGCTCATGCCTGTAATCCCAGCACTTCACGAGGCTGAGATGAGTGGATCATGAGGTCAGGAGTTCAAGACCAGCCTGACCAACATGGTGAAACCCTGTCTCTACTAAAAATACAAAAATTAGCTGGGTGTGGTAGCGTGTGCCTGCAATACCAGCCACTCAGGAGGCTGAGGCAGGAGAATCGCTTGAACTAAGGAGGCAGAGGTTGCTGTGAGCTGAGATTGCACCATTGCACTCCAGCCTGGGTGACAGAGCAAGGCTCTGTATCAAAAAAAAAAAGGAAAGAAAAAAAAGGAAATGTCTGTACAATCATTACCTGACAACTAAACTGAGTAGAGGTTTCAGTGGCTGAACACAATAAATAATACAGACTGCACAGAATTTGTTCAGAAAAGATACTAAATAAACAATAATTACAACAAGCAGCAATAGCCACAAACTCTTATGAGGGAGAAGAAACTGCATTGCAGAGTTGCCATACTGTATAACATAAAATGTCTAGTTTTCAACAAAAGTACCAAACCACGAGGCATGCAAAGGAACAAAAAAGTATGTCAGGGAAGATAGAATAAATATAAAGTGATCCAGAGGAAGTCCAGGCATTGAACTTACTAGTCTAAAACCTTACATCACTGATCTTAAGTATATTCAAAGAATTAAAGGAAATGATAATTATATCTCACCAAACACGATGTCAATAAATGCATTGAAACTATAGAAAAAGAACCAAATAGAAACTCTGCAATTGTATAGTACAATAACTGACTTGAAAAATTTACTAGAGGTATTCAACAGCATATCTGAGCAGGAAGAAAAATCATCAGTGAACTTGGTAAGAAATCAGTTGAAATTATTTAGTCCACGGAACGTAAAGAAAAAAGAAAAAATGATTTGAAGTTATAATGGTCAAAAATTTCTAAATTTGATGAAAAAATATTACTTTATACATCTAAGAAGCTTAACTAACTCCAAGTAAGAAATTTAAAGAGATCCACTCTAAGGCACATCATAATCAAACTGTTGATAAAAAAAATGAAGCTTGGAAGCAGCAAGAAAGAAGTGACTCTTTATGTACACGAAGTTTGCAATAACTATAAGGATAATTGCTCATTAGAAATTATAAAGGCCATAAGCCAGCCCTGAAATATATCAAATTAACAAAAGCCTCTTAACTAAGAATACTATATTCAGTAGAACTATCCCTCAAAAATGAAAAGAAAATTAACATATTCACAGATAAATAAAAACTGAGGGACTTTGTCACTAGAGGACCTGCCCTGTAAGAAATATTACAGGGGGAATTTCAGGTTGAAATAAAAGGACATTAGACAGTAACTCAAACTGACATGAATAAATAAACAACAATGGTAAAGGTAACAATATAGGTAAATATAAAGACAATATTAATTTATTTTTATGCCACTTTTTCCTCTATCTAATAAAAAAACTGCACAAGGGAATACACACAAAATGTATAAGGATATAATCTGTGACAATGAGAACATAAAAGGAGTGTGGAGTTATTTAACAGCAAAATATTTCTTATGATTGAAATTAAGTTTGTTTTAATTTGAATATTGTTATAAATTAAGGTGTTATTAGTAATTCCTAGGGGAACCAATAAGAATATCACTCAAAAATATACAGTAAAAGAAACAGTAAGAAAATTAATATAGTAAACTAGAAAAATTTAACATGCAACAAAAATAAGCAATAATAGAGAAACTGAGGAATAAAAATGGCATAAGACATAAGAAAACAAATAGCAAAACTGAAGATGTAAATCCTACCCATAAACAGTTACATTAAATGAAAATGGATTACACTCTGCAAGTAAAAGCAGATATTAGCAGAATAATTTTTTTAATGATCCAACTATATGCTGTCTACAAGACATTCCTTTTAGATTCAACGACAAAATAGGTTGCAAGTAAAAGGATGGAAAATATGTACCATGCAAAAAGTTACCAAAAGAGAGCAGGAGTGACTATACTAGTATCAGACAAAATAGAGAAAAATTTTCATTAAATAACAACACTTTATAGCTATAAAAGAGTACATTTATCAAAAAGGTAAAAAATATATCTGTAAATTTTATGCACTTTACAACAGAATCCCCAAATACATGAAATAATAACTGACAGAATTGAAGGAAGGTATATGCAATTTAGGAAAATAGTTGGAGATTATTATACTATTATATTAGACTATTATATCTCACCTTCAATAATGGATCAAAAACTACATAGCACATTGCAAAGAAAATAGAAGACTTGGACAATATTATAAACCAATCAGACCTAACAAACATCTTCAGAGCACTCTACACAACAATGGAAAAAAAATACACATTCTTCCCAGGTGTATATGGAAAATTCTCCATGACAGAACATGTTTTAGGCTATACAACAAGCCTCAATAAATTTACAGGGATTGAAATCATATAATACTATGTTCTCAAGCCACTGCAATAAAACTAAAATCAATAACAAAAGGAAATCTCGTAAATTTTCAAACATATGGAAATTAAGACACTTTTAAATTGCCAATGTGCCAAAGAAGAAATCACAGGGCAATTATAAAATAGCTTCAGAAGAATGAAAACAAAAACATAACAGACCGAATATTATGGGATACAATGAAAGCAGCACTCAGAGGGACATTTAGAGCTGTTAAATGCCTATATTAAAAACATTAGAGACTGTAAATCAATAAACTCATCTTTTTGTCTAAACAAGTAAGAAAAGAAGAGAAAATGGCATCTAAACCAAGCAAAAGGAAGGAAATAATTAAGATTAGATGATGGATAAACAAAATAAAAAATGAGGAAAAAAGAGAAAAAAAGTTTATTTGAAAATATCACCAAAATTGACTAACTTCTAAGTAAAATGATCAAGAAAAAAAGAGTTAAACATTAAATTACTGAAATCAGATAAAAAGGGTATGCTACTTCCAACTAGAACAAAATAAAAAAGATTATAAAATAATACTATAAACAATTTGCCACAAATCAAATAATTCAGATGAAGTAAACAAATTTTAGGACATGAGCTACCTACCAAAAACCGACTCAAGGCCAGCTGTGGTGGCTCCTGCCTGTAATTCCAGCACTTTGGGAGGCTGAGGTGGGAGGATCACTTAAGCCCAGTAGTTTGAGACCAGCTTGGGCAACATAGAGAGACCCCATCTCTACCAAAAAAAAAAATTTTTTTTTTAACTAGCCAGGCATGGTGGCTCGTGCCTGTAGTTCTAGCTACTGGGGAGGCTAAGGTGGGAGGATTCCTTGTGCCCAGGAATTTGAGAATGCAGTGAGCCAAGATTGTACCACTGCACTCTAGCCTGGGCAACAAAGTGAGACCCTGTCTCAAATAACAATAATAACAAAACTGACTCAATAAGAAATAGAAAATGTAAATACATCTGTAAGAGTTACAGAAGTTAATAATAATTTACAAAAAAAAAATTTCCCACATGAAAAGCCCACAACAGATGACTTTACTAGTGGACTCTCTTAAGCATTTAAATAATTAACCCTAATCCTTCACAAACCCTTCCAAAAAATAGAAGGAAGCGCTTTCTAACTTATTTTATAAGACCAAATAACAAAATCAGACAAGACTCACAAGAAAAAACTACAGAACGATATTCCTTATATAAATATAGATGGAAAAATCTTCAACAAAACTAGCAAATGAATCTAGCAGCATATAAGAAGGATTATACATCATGACATAGTTGAATTTATCCCAAGAGTGCAAAGCTAGTTCAACATAGGGAAATCAATCTATGTAATATGCTATAATAAAAGAATAAAAAGGAGGATATGATTACCTCAATATGGTTAGAAAAAGTATTTGACAAAATCCAACACGCCTTCATAATACCAACACACAGCAAACTAAGAATAAAAGGGATCTTCCTTAACCTGTTAAAGAGCGTCTGCAAAACACCCACAGCCAGCCTCCTACTTCCTGATGAAAGACTGAATGTTTTCCCCTTAAAATCAGGAATGAGGTGAGGATTTCTGTTCTCACTACTTCTGTTTAACATTATACTATAAATTCTAGCCAGCGTAATTAGGCAATAAAATGCCATAAAACATATAAGGATTGGGAAGGAAGAAATAAAACTATTTCTATCTGTAGATGGCATTAAAGAAACACTAAATAATACACACACATGCACAAAGTGTTATAGGCAATAAATTCAACAAAGATACAGGGTATGAAATAAATATACAAAAATAAAAATCAGTTATATTTTTATAAAGTAGCAATAAAATTTCTGAAAATGAAATTTTTAATTTACAATAGCATTAAAAAATACTTAGAAATAAATTTAACCAAAGTAGTGCAAGACTTTACACTGAAAACTATGAAACATTGTTGAAGGAAATTTAAGAAGACCTAATTAAATGGAAACACATCTCATCTTTATGAATTAGAGGACTTAATATGGTTAAGATGGTGAAATGTACTAAATCAATCTTCAAATATGCCACCCTAATCAAAATTTCACTGTTTTTTTAAATGAACAAGGTGATTTGCAAATTCATATGTACATTCAAGGTAACCCAAAAAGCCAGAACAATCTTAAAGAGGAAAAAAATCAAAAACAGAGTTGGCGTACACATTTCAAAACACAGGGCCACACTACAGTCACCAAGACAGTGCGGTGCTGGCATAAAGATCGACTCATAAGCCAGCGGAACAGAACTGACGCTCCAGAAAAATATCCACACACATGTGTTCAGCTGATTTTAACAAGGATGCGAAGCCCATTCAATAAGGAATAATCATCTTTTCAACAAATGAGACTGAGATATTATGAAGAAAGTAAAAACACTGACCCACAGAATGGGAAAAATATTTGCAAACTGTAATCTGACCAGGGTCTAGTATAAAGAATAAAGACGTCTTACAGCTCAAACACGAAAGGGAAAATATTCCAATTAAGGTGAACAAAGAATTTAAATAGGCATCTCTCCCGGAACTTTATCAATGGCCAAGAAGCCCATGAAGAGATGCTCTGCCCCATGAGCCACCAGGGGAAGGCAAGTCAAGACCATAGTCACATGCCACTCATACCCATCACAATGGATATTTTTTAAAAAAATGAACAATAAGCATTGGCAAAGATGCTGAGAAATTGAAACCCTCCCACATTGCAGGGGGGTATGTAAATGGTGCAGGGCTGCAGCTTAACATAGAGTGTGCTGGAAAGTAGAGTCTGCCCAGTTCAAATGCCTTATGATTCTGTTAATACAACAGGAAGGATCAACATCGAATCCTACACTTAGATTGGCTTCTGGAAGCATGAGTTGTAACCAGAGATCGCGGCACTGTGAATTACTCCAGTAAAGTCTCTAATGACATAAACAATCATAACAAACCACAAGTCCTAATAACACAACCAGTAACAGCAACATCAAGAGCAACAAACAGTAAATATTATTTACTATGTGCCAGATGCTAACATAAGTACTTTGCATATATTAACGCATGTAAATATTATAACACATTTTTGAAGGAATTCTGCTTAGCAAAAGTTTATAGTTGGGGATGTTAATCAAAGCACTCAAGATCACACAGCTATCAGTGGAAGATCTGGGCCTCAAACAGGTAAACTCCAAAATCTTCGCTCTTAGTGACTGTGCTTTCCAGCTGATGTCTGTACTCCACTTTAGATTGTGAAAACTGTTTTCATCTGCAATAGCTCATTTCATCTTTACAACAGTGCTATCAGCAGACAGGGCAGAATCATTACCTCTCGTTATAGGCGAGAAAACGAAGGATCAGGAATCTTAAAGCCACTCCTCCAAGGTGATTCGATGGGTAAGTGACAGGAACGGGATCCAAACCAAGTTCTAACTCCTGACACCAGAGCCATGCCTTTTTTTTTTTCATAGATGAAGCCATTCTCTCTCTGTTAAACCTCTGTGAAAACACATGGCTCCTCAGCTGAAGGCCTCTATAAAGCTCGAGGACTGACCAAGATGCTTACTCCACATAAACCATGTGCTCACAAGCATTCTGCACCTGTCCACAGTTTTAAACTTAGAGGCACGTAGGGTACAAGAGCTTCCACTTCATCACACGGCGCTAGTGTGTGAATCTCAGTCCCAAGGTGTCTGAGAGATGGGGCTTACATCTCTGCCTCTCCGGGAGACTCCTGCCTGGAGATGGCCCTGACCGATGGGGAGGAAGAAGCTGATGGTTTCAGCCTGACCTTGGCAAATGGCTCTGTGTCCATCTCTCTTAACCTTTGCCTTACAAAAATAACCTGCTCTCAGCACAAAAACAAAGAATTAGCAGAACATGAAAATCAGGCAGAGACGCCACTGGTGTGGAAAGAATAGCAATATTATCCTAACGACTCCGCAATAAAATACAATCATGCGAGGAAATTTACCCTGAAATCATGTTCCTAAGCTTTGCAGAGAAGCCTCTGTTTCCCGGCCTTCGGCACACTGCCCTTCTGAAAGACCTCTCCCTGAGGGATTGGCAAGGTCTTTTCTTATTCCTTTGTCTCTAGACTGATGCCCTTGTCTGTGGACTGCCTAGAAGAGAGGTCCCAACTGCCCCTGTGGGTCCATCTCCATTGAGAAAGCTGCCTTGTCAGCCACAGACGTGCCAACCACATGGAGCACGGAAACACCTCGGCCCGCTCTGGCCCTGTGGCTTCAGGAAGGTCACTTCCCTCTTGGGTTGAGAAACTGACCCAGAAGATGCAATACGTTTCTTGCTTTTCACATAGCAGAGCTCTTCTGGTATATAATCTGGGCACTAACATTGGAAATCTTAAATTGTGCATTCCTCTGTTCAAATTTGGGTCCAGCAATACTTTTCTATCTCCTGCTGCTCAGCAAGTCACCTATGCCCAAAGCACACAGATTTCTCAATGCAGCATGCATGTGGACGTTTATGTGCCTGCTGAGTGGCTGCTGGCATTGTGGAAAGGCCGGGTGGTATAGGACAGAGCACAGGATCAGGCTGGGTGGTTCAGCCTGGACCACATCACTCAGGATGACAGGTTGTATGTAACTGAGGAGGGCTGGACCTGGCACTTGTTGATTCTCATGTTTCAAGCACCAATATAACTTTTATATATTCATGAAACATACTGCTTATAATAGCCCTCTAAAGTATTTTCATCTGTATTTTATGTGTGAGGAAACTGAGACTTAGGGAGGTTAATTCTCACGTAAAGTCCCCAAGCTGATATGTGGCAAAGCCACGCTTTGTATAATGAAAAAGTTTCTTGAGCAGAGACCACATGACCTCCACTTAACTTCTCTCAGCCCCAATTCTCTCATCTGTAACTGAGAGAAAATAACTTTGTGGGGTTGCTGTGAGGACTAAGTAAGAAAAGCACCAAGCACAGCTGTCTGCATGTATATGTGATTTCCCTTTTCCCCAGCCGTAGAGATTAAGCCCAGGATGAAGGAAGGATTTATGACAACTCTGCCAGGGCACAATAATCTATTATTTAAGCATTTATGGATCTGTACTCAAAGCAGGTCAAGAAAAACATTAAGGCACCTCAAAAAGATATATAGAACCAAGCAAGATGAAGTAAAATGTAAAATAAGTGGGTCAAGGAACAAAAGAAAAAAGAAAAAAATGGGTGAAAGATAGGGGGAGGTCAGGAGAGACGTTCGTATGCAAAACTGCATGGTTCCAGCCTCTGTGGTGTTGCCGTTTGGGGACCTGAGAGTTATTATTAGTGAGCTCCAAATTGGCTATGAGGTTATTATTTGTTTGTTTTGCTGTGGAGGGGCACAGCTGCTCCTAGGATGCTGATCAGAGAGATTTCTCCATGGACCACCTTTACTGAAGACATTATGTGTTCTCAGCTACAACTACATGAGGAAATAGATAGACAAATGGTGTACTTTTTGACAATTTCTCAGTGCAAGCTGAAGATATATTTCCAAAGCCCAAATCAGAACAGATGAGGCTAAAAGAGCATCAAATGGGGCATCCCAGGGCCTTCGGAAGGTCTTTCTTTAGCTAGCAATCGATGCACAACCTGGACAATTTCTTAACCTGCTCAGCAGCAATGAGACTGTGCTCCCTGCCTGAGAAGTACCTGAGGTGCTCCCTCACTGGTTCTTTGTACCTCTTCTTGATGGTTAAGTGAGAAGGAAACCCTATCAGGAGGGGTGAGGAAGGCAAAAACAAGTGCCAGGAGGCTGCCCTTTAGCTACCTGGGAAAGAAATGAGGGAGGCTCCCAAAACAGGACCAAAATTGGCTACAAGAGGTTCTTGGGCATCTCCCCTCACAGGAGGTCAAGGCCTCCAAAATGACACCTGCCACTTGCACAGTCGCAGATCACAGCAGAAACCAATCCACAGGTTCCCAGCTGCTGGGAGCCAGGATGGGAGTTTGGTGCCCATCCCTAGAACTGGAGGGGCTACCTACACCTCCCTGAGTTGTGTCTGTTTCATTCAGTATAATTCAAGCTGGTCAACATCTATAAAGGGACCTCATATAAGTCAGCAACATACTAAGGGCTGGGAATATAAGTTATCAACATGCTAATAGCTGGGAACACAAAGGTCCCCGTCCTCGGTGGGCTCATAGTCTCATGAGGCAAACCCACACTTGAACACCCCCAACCATGGTACAGCAGCATGCGGGATGCACCACACGTTGCAGGAGAAGGGAAAGGAGCCTACCTGGCCAGGCAAAGCTGGAGGAGGGCTTCATCATAGATGGTATTAGTCACTCTCTGATGAAGAAGATTCCACAAAGGACCCATCTCCAGATATTGACTGAGCTGGAATGCTTTGCGTAACTTGGCCTCCCCATCACGAAGTGGTAGCAGAGCTGAGATGCTAGACTGTCTGCCTCTGACTCTTGCCGCCCCTTCCAGTCCTATTTGCAGATGTGAACCTCTCCACTGGTCCAGCCAGAACACTCTGACATCATCTGAATCATGAGCGGCTATGACAATAATGCCAGGTTTGCTAAACCTGCCAGGACCCCAAAGGCCAGGATGAAATTTGAAATTCAAGCTAAGCCTTGGACAAATGTCAGCTGCCCTGCCAAGTGCCAGAGAAGCCTCCCACTGGCCATCCCCACTCGGCAGTTCCACTGGATCACAATTTGTCTTTTGTTTGATTTTTGGTTTTGTCTTCTACGTTTTACTTTAAAACTTTCTGATTTTAAGCCTCTGTGTCTTGGTAATGCAGTAATTTAGAAAATGTAAAGAAGAAGAAAATGATGTCAGTGAAAGCTGAAGCAGTTAAAATGTCAGTAAGCCGGGCAGATTTTAATGTGGGGATGGTGGGAGTCCATGTGACCTATGTGGACAGGGGACAAGTGGCAGGTCGAGCTCACCACCAGCCACCCCCAGGGCCACCGGCTTGGCTGGAGTAAGTGAAATCCAGAAAAGGATGGTGCAGGGAGAAAGAACAGTCCACGGTGCAGAGAGAAAGAACAGTCCAAGGTGCAGGGAGAAAGAACAGTCCATGGTGCAGGGAGAAAGAACAGTCCACGGTGCAGGGAGAAAGAACGGTCCACGGTGCAGGGGGAAAGAACGGTCCACGGTGCAGGGGGAAAGAACAGTCCACGGTGCAGGGGGAAAGAACAGTCCACGGTGCAGAGAGAAAGAACAGTCCACGGTGAAGGGGGAAAGAACAGTCCACAGTGAAGGGGGAAAGAACAGTCCACGGTGCAGGGAGAAAGAACAGTCCACGGTGCAGGGAGAAAGAACAGTCCACGGTGCAGGGAGAAAGAACAGTCCACGGTGCAGGGGGAAAGAACAGTCCACGGTGCAGGGAGAAAGAACAGTCCACGGTGCAGGGAGAAAGAACAGTCCACGGTGCAGGGAGAAAGAACAGTCCACGGTGCAGGGAGAAAGAACAGTCCACGGTGCAGAGAGAAAGAACAGTCCACGGTGCAGAGAGAAAGAACAGTCCACGCTGCAGGGGGAAAGAACAGTCCACGGTGCAGGGAGAAAGAACAGTCCACGGTGCAGAGGGAAAGAACGGTCCACGGTGCAGAGGGAAAGAACGGTCCACGGTGCAGGGAGAAAGAACAGTCCACGGTGCAGGGAGAAAGAACAGTCCACGGTGCAGAGAGAAAGAACAGTCCACGCTGCAGGGGGAAAGAACAGTCCACGGTGCAGGGAGAAAGAACAGTCCACAGTGCAGGGAGAAAGAACAGTCCACGGTGAAGGGGGAAAGAACAGTCCACGGTGCAGAGAGAAAGAACAGTCCACGGTGCAGGGAGAAAGAACAGTCCACGGTGAAGGGGGAAAGAACAGTCCACGGTGCAGAGAGAAAGAACAGTCCATGGTGCAGGGAGAAAGAACAGTCCACGGTGCAGAGAGAAAGAACAGTCCACGGTGCAGGGAGAAAGGACAGTCCATAGCTCCAAATCTCCCTCTCTTTTAGACATATGACTACAGGCTCAGTGGTTGGTCCATTTGACATGTTCACCCTCACTTGTTGACACCTCTTGGTGTAGGTAACACTCTCATCATCCCTGAAGCTGTGGAACACAGTAAATCCGAGAATATTCAGGGGAGCGGAGCAGATTGGAGTTTGACTCCAGGCCCTCCACTTACCAGCTGGTGATCTGGGCTAGTCACTGTGCTTTCCTGCAGGAGTAGCACCAATGTGTTGATAAGGAAATAAGGTAATAATGTAATAAAATAATAAATAGGCGCATAGTGTCTGTTTGGTGTAGAGCAAACCCTCAGAAGTGATGACTGTTGGTGTTTTATTACCACTGTGATCGCACATGAGGGAAATGTGGCCCAGTGGGGCAGGGCTTGACCCAGGGCTGACACCATTTTTCTGGGTCAGGCCATCTCTGCGTTGTGAGAACACTCAGTGTCCCCTGAAAATGTGAGCAGGACAAGGGCCTCAGGGCCACAAGAAACCCTCTAGCAAAGATTTGGAGATGGTATCAGGCGAAACCCGAGGCTCATTGTGAATTGCGAAGCTTCTATCTCGTACAACCAAAGAGTGATAAATACTGAGTGGGTATCAGATCTCTGCAGCTGGAAACCTGGTGGCAAAAAATGCAGGAGTTAAATCCAGTTGGAAGGTCAGTCTCAGCAAAGATCCGAGCTGAATGGAAAGTTTCTGATGAAGTCTCAGATTTTCAATGATTGCTTCATCTTTTACAGCCTCTCTCCCATCCCTGGCCCGGGCACCCTCCCTCCACCCAGGCTAGAACTTCACAGAGACTTCAATCACAAACATCACAAAAGTGTCTCACAAAAATGTCACCTGCTTCCACGGTAAAGGATTTCTCAGAGTGAAAGTCCCGGGGTGCAGGAGTGGCCTGAAGTGGGAGCCCGAATCCTGGGGCTGACTCAGGAGGAAACAGCTCCAATGGGAAGGTCCCTCCCTGATCACTGGCTTCTCACTTTCTGTGGTCACTGCTCACATGGCAGCCACAGGGTGGGGCAAGGAGAGGAGCCTCAGGAAAATTAAAGGGTTAGCGCGTGACTCCAGTCCAGCTCCTTAGTAGCTGTGTGGTCCTGGACAGTCATTTATTCCCTAGGTCTGCACCGTCCAGTGTAGCAGCCACTAGCCACAGGCAGCTATTGCATTTACACTTAATTCAAATAAAAGGCAATACAATTTAAAATCCCATTTCCTGGTGCACTTGCCACACTGCTCAATAGTGTCCTGTGGCTGGTGGCCGCTGTATTGACCCAGCTCCACAGCAAGTGCTATTGGACAGCCCTGGTCTAAATCTTAGTTTCCACCTTTGCAAAATGGGTGCTGCCATTGGCGGAGGGTTAAAGAAGTTTCAGGAGGCCGCTGTGGAGTAGGTACCCAAGGATATTAGTTTTCTTCCTGTCTCTAAACCTCATGCTTGAAATCACAACCTCTTCCTGGGTTTTGGTAAAAACAAAACCAGGGATGTTCTGGAGTGGCTCATCCTGGGTCTTCTGTGGCTCTAGGTGGGTGCTCCTGACCCCAGGACCCCAGGGAATTCAGCCTCCTGTGAGTACACTGGAGAGGGGAGAGGCTCACTGGGTCCTCAGACCCAAAACCCTTGGAGAAGGGACATTCATGACCACAGCAGCCTCTAACCAAACGTGGCGCCCGAAGCTGTGGCACCATCAGGCACCCCAGGCTGGGAGCTGGAGGTGGTTCCTGGGTGTGAGTGGCCCCTCAGTCCCACCTGGGCCTCCTGTTCTCCTCCTTCGACAGAGGCATTTCCATGCTGTGTGACCCTGGTTTTCCCAGCGTGCTCAAACCTATTCCTCTGTACGTGAAGAATACTCGCCTCCCCCTGAAAAGATAGGTGCTGCTCACCCTGCCGTTGAGGGGAGATGGTTTCTCCTGAGAAGGTGGGGAGCTGCCTAAGAAGTCAGTGCCATGGAGGAAGCCCAATGGCCCTAGTGGTGTCCTGTTTGAGCCCTGCTCACTCCGCTGAGGCTGATGCGTCTCCATTCCTGGCCTCTAGAAAGGAAATACTCACTCTGACAAAGCAGGTGGGATCCGAGCTCTCAGAGAGCCTTTCCGTGCTCTGGGGGCCGACTTAGCCAAGCCTGCTGTGCCCCAGGCCATCTGGCATCTCTCACCTTTTGGGCAGGGGCCCCTTCCGCTGCCTGGAGGAGCAATCTGAGCCTGGCCAGCTGCTCCAGCTCACCCAGGAGGTGGCCCAGAAGAAAGGGAGGAGACAGCTTCATGCTTCCCCTGAAACACCCTCCTGCCCTGTCACCCCCACCTCTGCATAACTCCATGTCTCTGCTCTTGGCCTAAGGGATTGAATCCATAAAAATATGCTTTTTAATAGGTCTTACTTCTTGGCAAAAATATCACAGGCTGGGCACGTGTGTATCTACCTGACTGTGTTTGTAACTCAGATAAAAACAAAACACTCCATGAAAATCCCCAAGCAAAACAAATCTCTAATGACATAACTGCAGTGACACATGCACGAAGTCCTGGACGAACCCCCCCACACCCTGCCACTGATGGGGCCCTTCCCAGGTGTTCCTTCAGCTCTGAAGCATCCTGGGCCCCGCGTGCACTTGCGCTGCTGCCGTGCGGCTGGGAAGGGCCCTCTCTGGAGGTTCCTGGTCCTCTGTCACGATGTGTTTGGGAGACACTGTAAACACCCAACATCATGGACCCTGATCCTGTCCTGAGTATAGCCGCCCTCATCTCCGGGTTTGCTCATGGACATTAAAGAACGAGTGTGGAAGTAAGTGACTGAGTACCCCCAGGTGGCGAGGGAGGGAAGGGCAGAGGGAGGGAGGCCCACGGCAAGTGAGGGAGGGCAGCCATGGTCCTGGTGGCAGCAGGAGACACCTCCTCCCCTCCTCCCAAGTCTAGCCCAGCCTCCTCCAGGACCAGGGAGCCGAGGAACCAGTGGCCCCGGTAGCTTCTTGTCATCTCTTCTTCATTGCTGTGGTCAGCTGTTCCCTCCGCCCACACCCAGGGGCCCACTGTGACTAGCAGTTAAACAGTGCTGTAAAACTTACCGAAAGGATTATATTTTGTATCTCGTTGCACCCTAACAGCAGGGGGCACCATGCAACACTCTGCCCCGGCTCCTTTCACCTGCGCCACCTCCCTCTCCTTGTCTTGTGTCAGCTCCCCCTTCTCAGCCAGTCCTCCTCCCGTGGGCTGTCTAGAGCTGGATCTTGACCTCTCCTCGCTCCTGCTATCTGGGTGTGTCCCTTAGGTGCCACAACTTGAATGACCAAATTCACGATGGCTGCCACATCTGTGTCCTCAGCCCCAATTTCTCCCTGAACGCGACATTCTTATAGCCACGCATCCCTTAACAACAGTGCTCTGTTCTGAGAAAGTGTCATTAGGTGATTTTGCCATTGTGTGAACACCGCAGAGACACCCACACACACCTGGATGGCACAGCCCGCTGCACGCCCGGGCCGGATGGCGGAGCCCGCTGCACGCCCGGACTGAACTTCAGAAAGAAAATTAGCTTCCTGTAACTTTTTACTTTATAAATTTGTATGCTTTTAACTTTTTGACTCTTTTGTAATGACTCAGCTTAGAATACAAACACATTGTCCAGCTGTAAAAAATATTTCCTCTTTGTATCCTTATTCTATAAGATTTTTTCTGTTTTCAAATTTTTTTTTAACATTTTAAACTTTGCAGTTAAAAACTAAGACACAGGCTGGGCACAGTGGCTCATGCTGTAATCCCAGCACTTTGGGAGGCCAAGGAGGGCGGATCACTTGAGGCCAGGAGCTTGAGACCAGTCTGGCCAACAGGATGAAACCTCGTCTCCACTAAAAATACAAAAATTAGCCGGATGTGGTGGCAGGCACCTGTAATTCCAGCTACTCGGGAGGCTGAGGCAGGAGAATTGCTTGAACCCGAGAGGCAGAGGTTGCAGTGAGCCAAGATGGTACCATTGCACTCCAGCCTGGGCGACAGAGCAAGACTCTGTCTCGGTAAAAAAAAAAAAAAATCTAAGACACAGACACACACATTAGCCAAGGCCTGCAGAGGGTCAGGACTGTCACTATCACTGTCTTCCACCTCCACATCCTGTCCCACTGGAAGGTCTTCAGGGGCGATAACATGCAGGAGCTGTCATCTCCTGTGATAGCCTTCTTCCAGAATTCCTCCTGAAGGACCTGCCTGAGGCCATTTTACAGTTAACTTATTTTTATAAGTAGAAGGAGCCCACACTCTAAAACCATAACAAGTATAGTATACTAAATATGTAAATCAGTAAACCTTTTAATATCATTATCACTTATTATGTACAGAACATAATTGTGTGTGCTAGACTTTTATAGGCCTGGCAGAGCGGTATGTCTGTTTACACCAGCATCACCACACACATAAAGAAGATTAAATGATCGTATTTATTTAATTACCTACCTGTTTGCTGTCTGTCTCCTCGCCACTGGGATGTGAGACGTGCAGTCAGGGCCCATGTCTGAACGCACAATGCCAGTCCCATGTCTACAGGGGTACCTGGTACAGACTGATGATCCCCACACACTTGTTCACTGACTGAGATGATAACAGCAGACAGGGCAGCAGCTATTTCTGGCCTATGCATTTTCAGATGAGAAGTGGAGAGTCCCAAATAGGTTGGTAGGTTGCAGAGCTGGGGCTCACACTTAGAACCGCTGACTCCCAGCCCAGTGCTCACACTTAGAACCGCTGACTCCCAGCCCAGTGCTCACATCAGCCTCAGGCTGCCGCTTCCTCTACTAAGAGCAGTGGTGCAAATGCAAATTCAAACAGTGCTTTTACAGACATTTTATTGGTATATTTGATTCCCAGAGTTCTAGGTTAGCCGGGGGAGGATTGTGATTTAATTTAGTCAATAAGGAAACCTTGGCTCTCAGCAGTTCTGATCTTGCCAAGACCATATTCACTTTAGGCACCAGGCTTCAGGCTTCCGTGGACCAAGCAGCCATTCTGACTTCTGCCCTGGCCTTTTGGAAGTAAGAAGAAGAGATTCACAGGTCAGAGAGGAAGAGAAATAGAGAAATGGTTCCCAGGACTTCCTCATCCTCCTAGAACATGGGAGGTCCCAGGCTGGGCAAGGGGCAGGGTAAGGAGCTTGTACTTTGTGGGCCATAGGCCGTGGCCCATGAGAGGCCCCCGTGTGTGGGGACAGAGTCATGGGGAGGGTCAGAAGCTGGAGTCTGGGCTCATTTGTGGCCAGAGCAGACCTCAGCGTCTCTGGACCTTGGCTGCCCAGTGTCTGCACTCAGGCCTGACCTCACTTCCTTGTCCTGGGCTTCTAGCCTGTCCCTCTCCCTCCTCCCCACCTCTCAAGCCCTGCAGAGACAGCTCAAAGGCTTCCCCAGACTGGAGCCTGGCCACTTGGCCGGGACCACCCGGTACCCACCTCCCTGGTGACAAAGCCTGCCCTGGTCCCTGACCTGAACGGGGACAGCTGGGAGGAGAAGAGACGCTCGAGGCTGCAGCTTTTACTCTCTGGAATGGAGACCTGCCCTGGGAGATTTTTCTAGGACTCCCAGATCCCTCTTTCCAGACACAAGGGGTCCCCAAGATTGGAAGCCTTACAGCCTCCTCATCAGAACCAGCTGCTTTCCGACCAGCCCTGGGAGAGGGTCTTACAGGCTCTGAATGCAGCATGCCTGCCCTGCCTGGGAGCGGCACAGCCTGCACAGAGTGCTCCACACAGGAGAGCCACTGCCACTCCCCAGCGTGGTGACGCCACATGCCAGAGACTTGGGATGTTCTCCTAGACACCAAATCTGTACACCAAGGGCTATTACCAGGTGAAGAGGGAGCATGCCAGCCTTCCATTCGGATTGGAAGGTAGAGCCTAAAGGTATGTAGCACACATTCTCTAACAAAAAAGAAATACTTTCTATATGCATATACTGTAATTAAAAATGGCAGAATAATTATTCTTTGGTTACTAATGACAAGGAAAAATATATAACTTAAAGCAAAATAAGTTATACAATACTTTGGTTCAATAAATTTATTTCTTAGAATCCTGAACAGTTACCAATCAGAGTATGGTTTGCATGGTAGGAAAAGTACAAATTCACCTGCAGTGTTATCCTGGGGATGGAATCTCCTGGGAGCACCTACAGAGTCCCAGAGCCTGGTGCCCCTAAGCTCAGGTGCTGTGGGGAGCTTTATTTGAGTTTCATTTACGTAAGAGTCCCTGGGACTCTCAGAAGGGGCCCTCTCACTAGGGCTGGGCTGTCAGAAGCACCGGATTTAGCTCTTGCAATGCTCACCCCCAACTCCTGCCACATCTTTGACTTTCATTTGCAAAATAAAAAACTATTTTTCTGCTCCAGGAGGTTTCAATCCAGCAGAAAAAAGAGATTGTCAATTCCCAGCTTCACCTCCCGCTATGCCCCGCAACAAAAAAGGGAAGCAGTGACTCCCCGGGACAGCCTGATGCCATCAGGAGAGTTTTCTCTCTAGAAAGAGAGGCTTTCCTTCTTTATCATTTATATGAAATTGATACGACATTATTTGAGCAATTAAGTTCCATTTGCAGCGTCAAGTTCAACCCAAGGCTGTTCTAAACGTGTCCATCCCATTTCCCCAGAAGCCATCAATAAAATAACACCTGGCTGGATGAACATTTGCCATTTCCATTCTGCGCTGCTGTTCCCTCCTTCCCACATGCCTGACTTGCTGTGTGTCCACATGTGGTGGATAGACCCCCAACTCTGTTGCCCCCTACTCAGTTTTAAGTCCCCTCTATCTCTGTGGCCACTCTGGGGGCTCCACAGCACTGGCTGTACTCCAGTGAGGGCGGCAGAGCCCCAGCTTGTTTTCGGAGAGATGCTGTGTCTAGAATCTCTAGGCAAGCTCTGTTTCCACCACAGGAAGAACAAAAGTCATGGTGCCGCTCTGCAGCGGGGAGGGTGGGTGACGTTCCTAGTCCTGGAGCTCAGCTGGGATTTGGGACCCACTGTGGGCTTCGTAACATTAGATCCACGGACCTCACCTTGGGTGAGATGAGACATACGTACCCCTATTTTAAAAATAAAATAAAATCCATCGGTGATTCTGCCGCACAGTCAAAATTGAAAAGCACTGGAGCATCACTTGGACAACTGGTCAGATCGGAGGATGTGCGTCAAGGAGAGAAGACCACATCCAAGTTGACTCATGGAGCCGCTTGAAGAAAAAGGCAGGGAGCTGTGAATCTGGTTTTGCCTATGAACAAGGAGTCAACAATGTCGGCTTTCTATATTGCAAAATTTTCCCAGCATATACATATTTATGTTTGGATAAGGGCAGGACCCAGAGTAACTGAAAGGTTAATTAATTATGCCTCCATGTGCCATTAGAATTAACACTGCACAGTCATTAGAATTAACACTGCACAGTCCCAGCGTCCCAGGAGTTGTAAGTTACACTGGACGCGTGCTATGCAGTCCCTCCACGTGCAATGCCTGGTGGCATCTGGAGCTCATCTTTAGCTTTATCTGCCACTCAGCTTTCTTTGCATTGCTTAAAATGAACTACTTTATTATATTTATTTTGATCACCGACAATTTTGTGAATTGGACAGCTGCTTCCCAGTGGAATCTAAGTCCTCGAAACTGAAGTCTGCCATTTACACTGGGACTTCCTGCCTCCGTTCTGCATGTCCTGTGGGCCATCGATCCAGGGCACAGACAGCCTTCAGGAGTTGACTCAAGACCACTCTGTTTCTTTCCTAATTAGGGCTAGGGGTGTGCTCTGCAGCCTCTTTCTCCACATTCCAGTGCAGCTGAGTGAGTGCCTAGAGCCAGGCAGGCCCTTTACTGGTCCTGTTCTGTGAGGAGTCCCAATCACCCACAATGTCATTCATAGGGATCCCCCACACCCGGGGACAGGGACCTCGGGTGTGAGGAGGCTCCCTGAGCCCCTGAGCCACTGAGGAATCAGTCAGGGAGCTAAGGTGTCCCACAGACACACTGGGACAGTGTAGGATGAGCTCCTGTCCCGCTGGGGGCAGGTCCTGTAAGCCTAGGGCAGAGGACTGGTGGGGATGAGGACCTCACTGCCCCTGTTGTGCTAAGATCAAGTTTGTCACCCTGCTACATCCTGAAAAAACAGAATTTGGACCTACTTGGGCAAAGCACAGAACCAACCTGTCCCTTTCCTTCCAACTGCATTCACTTTGAAGAGCCAAGAGACAGACGATGAGTAAGATGGGTTCAAATGCACTTCTCCTCCTGCAGACCTGTTCTCATTGCTGCCAGAACCCTGGCCTAGATGAGGGCAGCCTGTGGCCATTTATTTCTCCTCCTGCCTCTAAAGGGGTCACTCTGTCTCCTGTTGTAGATCTTCTCCTGGGGGGAAACTGAAAGCTGTCTTTATTATACCCTGCAGAGCCTCAATCTGCTCTTCTTTAAGACTCCCTTTTTTGTCTGATCTGAGTTTATTTTGCTTCAGTTTAAATCTGCTTTGTCCGGTCCCACACGCACCAAGACTAATAACAGGAGGTGAGCATCTTGTCCCCCTCTTACGGTCATCTTCAATATGCTTATGCCTCATGGGTGCCATTTAGCCTGACTCCCCATGTTCAACACAACACTAAATATTTTAAACATCTGGTCAGCGAGGTTCAAGGTTCAAGAAGAGATCCCCCAAGTCCAGTCTGTTATTAGTACTGCCATGTCCTGCAACTGAGGTCAGTTGAAAACTGCAACTAGCCAGTCCAGATGAACTATGAATGTCTCAGACCCTTCCGGAATGAAAGTTTGTGTCCCCTGCCAGGTAGAGGACTGAGGACCACGGCCAGCCAAGATGCCTGCAGAGGAGAAAGGGAATATGGGTTGGGGGTGGAAGACGTGATCAGGAAGGCCAGCAACAACTCGAGACCTGTAAAAGAGCCGAGGGCGGCAAGCGTGGGAGCATTTCATCCTTCTTCTGTTGAGACTGTGTTCTGTGGGAAAAGAATACTTAGCTTCTAAAGTCAGTTTTTAAATTTTCTAAAACACCTTTGCATTTATTTTCTTGTTTAATCCAAAATAAGTGACTGAGGCAAGAGTCTCAATCAACTGAGCTCTATTCAGCCACAGCTGAGGGCACACCCAGGAAACACCAGCCACGGTTGTGTGTGTGACTGAGGCTCGGTGTTCATGCATTTCCTCTTAAGCGGGGAAGACGCCTAGGGAGAGCAGTGAAGGCAGAAGAATGGGTCATCTCGTCAGTTTCATACCTGGGAAGATGAGCATCATCAGTGCGGAATGGAAAAGACTTTAGTTTTAGGAGCAGGGGCTTGGATTGCAGACCTGAAGTTGCCATTGACATGTCCTTGTTTGATGGGAGGATGTACATCTTGAAACAGTTCCAGGCCAGCAAAGAACAGTTTGTGGGGGCAGTCACCCAGAGACGCCAGAGGTCTTTGCTTTTCTGTGGGGTTTTGTTACAAGATAAAGTGTCCATGTTCTTGGAGTGTTGACCCAAGAACCGAACAAAATGCACACACAAAGTAACAAAAGAATGAAGCAATGAAAGACAAAGCAACAGAAGAACGGAGCGACAAAAGCACAGATTTATTGAGGATAATTCACAGAGCGGGAGCCGGCTCGAGCAAGCAGTCAAGAGCCTCCTTAATTAGGGTTTTTACTAAGCTCGAGGAACCTGGCAACACCCCTCCGTGCCCTTTAGAGGCCTCCAATTGGCTACACCCCATGAAGGATTGGCCTGCGACCCGTCAGAGGCTGCAGTGGAGACCCAGCTTGCAGTCCATCAGAGGCTGCAGTGGAGACCCAGCTTGCAGTCCATCAGAGGCTGCAGTGGAGACCCAGCTTGCAGTCCATCAGAGGCTGCAGTGGAGACCCAGCTTGCAGTCCATCAGAGGCTGCAGTGGAGACCCAGCTTGCAGCCCATCAGAGGCTGGAGTGGAGACCCAACTTGCAGCCCATCAGAGGCTGCAGTGGAGACCCAGCTTGCAGTCCATCAGAGGCTGGAGTGGAGACCCAGCTTGCAGGCCATCAGAGGCTGCAGTGGAGACCCAGCTTGCAGTCCATCAGAGGCTGCAGTGGAGACCCAGCTTGCAGTCCATCAGAGGCTGCAGTGGAGACCCAGCTTGCAGTCCATCAGAGGCTGCAGTGGAGACCCAGCTTGCAGCCCATCAGAGGCTGGAGTGGAGACCCAACTTGCAGCCCATCAGAGGCTGCAGTGGAGACCCAGCTTGCAGTCCATCAGAGGCTGCAGTGGAGACCCAGCTTGCAGGCCATCAGAGGCTGCAGTGGAGACCCAGCTTGCAGTCCATCAGAGGCTGGAGTGGAGACCCAGCTTGCAGTCCATCAGAGGCTGCAGTGGAGACCCAGCTTGTAGTCCATCAGAGGCTGCAGTGGAGACCCAGCTTGCAGTCCATCAGAGGCTGGAGTGGAGACCCAGCTTGCAGTCCATCAGAGGCTGCAGTGGAGACCCAGCTTGCAGGCCATCAGAGGCTGCAGTGGAGACCCAGCTTGCAGTCCATCAGAGGCTGGAGTGGAGACCCAGCTTGCAGTCCATCAGAGGCTGCAGTGGAGACCCAGCTTGCAGTCCATCAGAGGCTGCAGTGGAGACCCAGCTTGCAGTCCATCAGAGGCTGGAGTGGAGACCCAGCTTGCAGTCCATCAGAGGCTGCAGTGGAGACCCAGCTTGCAGGCCATCAGAGGCTGCAGTGGAGACCCAGCTTGCAGTCCATCAGAGGCTGGAGTGGAGACCCAGCTTGCAGTCCATCAGAGGCTGCAGTGGAGACCCAGCTTGCAGTCCATCAGAGGCCAGAGTGGCTTGTTACCATGGGCGGGAGGACGTGGCCTCTATGCAGCCCCTACTGCTCTCCTATTTATACAAACTGGCGGCACCTGCTGTTCTTTTGCTTATGTGAACTGGCTGCATATGCTGAACCCCCGTTTACTCTAACTCCCTGTTCTCCTGCCACAGTTTGTTGAGTGTGGAATGCTTGGACCCCAGCTTGTAAAGTAACCTTTGTTTCTTTGGGAAAATGCTGGTGGTGTTTTGTGACTCGGTCTCTAGAAGTTAGGGGTTCTGAGATTTCTTTTCATTTTCCTTTACACTCCTCATGACCAAAGTGCTGAAAGAGGCAAGCACAATGATGTATTCACCTTATGTCATGGGAGGTCCCCGCTGTAGGGAGTAAGCTCTTTGCACAGTGACAGGAGGCTCATGACCGGTATGTTCCCAGGTCATGGACTTAGGGTCCTCAGTTGGTCTACTACCAGCACAGCTTGGGTTCTGCAGTCCTTCAGTCCCATAATGGGGACCCAGCGGGGTCCTAGTTCTCTTCTGCCAGCCTGGAGCCCAGGACTGGTGGTGGAAAGGGTGCAAAGAGGAGAAAACATGTCCTCTGAATGCCTTCCCGTCATGATTTTCCAGCTAGCCTCCCGTGAATCTCAGCCCAGGGCTGCTGGCTCCCAGCCTGGCCCTGTCTTGCTTACCGTCTGTGTCTGTTCTCTGAAAAATAGCATCCTTGCAGATGTGAAGCCTCAGTTATTCTGATCCCTACTGTTTCTCCAGCCTCTAGAGCAGTAGGCTTTCAGGAAACGGTGGAAGAGCGTTGATTGATGAAAGAATGGAGTGCTACTCACACAGAGAGGTTGTTTCTTATCGCCTGCCCCACAGCCTAGATGAGAATTGCCTGTGAGTCTCCCTCACAGCCCTGGTGACCCTCTTCAAGGCAAGGACTATCATTTCTAATTATATGTTTGTTTCACGTCCCTCCCCACCCTCCGCCCCAGGTGCAAAGTCCTTGGGGGCAGGCACTGCCTCTCCTTTCTCTACCCTGTCCCCAGCATCATAAATGTGGATTGCTGGGCCAGCAGACTGCAGGGCTCAGGATGTGTTTGTGGAAGGAAGGAAGGAAGGAAGGAAGGAAGGAAGGAAGGAAGAAAGGAAGCAAAGAGGGAGGAAGGTGGAGGAGGGAGGACGGAAGAAGCTGTTAGATGTACCTTTGGCAGTCTCAAAAATCTCACATAGTAAATACTTTTGTTTCTGGAAATTGAACATGAAGGATGGGAGACGCCCCCAACACAGACAGTCATTTCACAGTGTCGACTTTTTGACAGCCTGAAGAAGTTTGCAACTCTTAGGTCCATAAGCTGTGAGACATGCCTTGGGCCCAGGAGAAGGACAGGGGAAGGTTCAGTGGTGTTTTGGGCTCTGTTTGGGAACGTTCCCTTGCAACACCGCAGCCTACCCACGCTCCGGCTCTTCAAGCGCTCAGGTTCCAGGCTTTGCCAGCTGCTTCAGAGGAAGACAACAGCAACTGACTGCCTTTCTTTCTGGTTTCACCTTTCAAAGCACAGAATTTATTTTCAAGATCTCACTCCTTAAGTGCAAGTTTGAAGATGGAGGAAAGGAGCTGTGCGTACAGAGTGGGGAGTTTCTCACACTGCCTTTCACAGGCTGCGCTCCCTGAGGTAACACAAGGAACATCCTTGAGACAGTCTCTGTGTGCAGTCAAAATACATAAAAGGCGGTGGCAGTGCAGAATGCACTGTGCATGCACGTGCACACATACATAGGCACACAGATGCACTCATACACGTGTGCATGCAGGTACACATATGCATGCACTACACATATACCCGCATGCACACACGTATGCAAGCATCATGCACATACCATACCCAGAGACACAGAGCATTGAATGCTCTTAATTCAATGCCCAGAGACACAGAGAGATGAAATGATGGGTCTGGGAGAGTGTGGGAGTTTGGCAGAGTGTCAGTTTGGAAAAAACGAAGGGGTTCAGTAACTGTGAGGTAGCAGGAAGCCAGATCTGGAAGGGATGAGAATCCTGCCAGGACGCTTGGGAGGCCAGTGGACAGGACACAATGGCTTCTCTGTCCAAACAGACACATCCAGGACATGCTGACCCATCAATCAGACAGCCTCGCCCTCCCAAGACCCACATAAGGGCTGTGCTAATTTCAGTGCATCTTTGTCTAAGCCTGACCCAGAGGAGGCCGTGTCCATGCCTCAGCACAGAGGCCAGCCCATCTTCTGCTCAGGACCTCTGTTCAGCCTCTCCTACTCCCTCTCCCTGGGATGCTCAGTGTCTCCAGGCCCAGGTGGGACATCACTGCCCAGCGCCTGACACCAACGCCGCCAAACACAATCTCAGACCCACTTTCTTATTCCACAGGCACAACAAACCAGCAATGAAAGAAATTAGACCTATTCAGTGTCAATACAATGACCTTATCATTTGATGTCTCTTTTTTTTTTTCAGTAAAATTGAGTGTGGAATGTAAACCAAAAATAAAACTCTAAGGTTCCCCAGTTATCTGAATAGAATTCTTCCTAGGCCAGGGCCCTCTTAAAATTTAACCTGAGAGACTGGTTCAGGCCATGACAGGGAGTGGGGGTTGGACCTGCCTCATTATACTCTCCAGCATTAAAATCGACACAGACCATAAGTCTGATAAGAAACACTTATAATCTATTCTCTCTAAAGCCTACTACCTGAAGCCTTCATCTTCATAATAAGAACTTTGACCTCCATAATTCCTTATCTTAACTCAGACATTTCCTTTCTATTGATCGCAGGTCTTTACATAAACTTAACCAATAGCCAGTCAGAAAATTTTTAAATCTACCTATAACCTGGACCCTCGCCACCACCCACGCCCCCGCCCTCCCCACACTTCACCTTCCTTGACCAAACCAATGTACTTCTTAAATGTGTGTGATTGAAGTCTCATGTCTCCCTAAAATGCATAAAACCAAGCCACACCCCTACCACCTTGAGCACATGTTCTCAAGATCTCCTGAGGGCTGTGTCATGGGCCATGGTCACTCCTATATGGTTCAGAAAGAATCTCTTCAAATATTTTAGAATTTGGTTCTTTTCATCAACGGGACTAAACAGAATTGACAGCTGAGGTTTGGCAATGGAGCTGGAGAAGTGTATGTGCAAAAAAAAGAGAAAGTGGTACAAATTGTATAATATGAAAGACTTTTCTTTATAGGCACAAAAGATAAAACCATACATTTAGTTCAATGTGTAATCATTTGTGCAGTCTAGAGATTTAATATTGAGGCTGAAAATGAGCATGTCAATCCCAGGCCTTGCTGTGTATTTTTCATAATTTATTTAATAAAATAATATTTTTAAAATCACTCATATTATATTCATCTATAACAAACATAATGAGATTGGTAGAGAGTCATTCAAGTAACATGGGAGATAGATTTTTATTATAAGATTTTGATGCCATTTTAGAACAAAAGGAAGAGAGAGGACAGAGAACACAAGAGAAAGTGAGAGGAGAACACAAGAAATCAGGACACAGAGTGGAAAGGATAGGCAGAGACTGGCAGGCATTTGAAAAGCAAAGACAGGTTCCAGGAAGAGGCAGGAAGAGGTTAGGTCCTTCCAGATCAGGACCATGCCAGGCATACCATCTGTTCTTTATCCCACTTTAAACAATATCTGGCATATACTTTGTGCTAAAAGTATTTGCTGACTTGAATCGAGTCTGAGGTGTAAACCAAAAATAAAATCTCTAAGCCCTCCATCAGACCGAATGAATGGGTCCACCCTCTGGGCCAAGGGAATTACAAAGAAACCGAAAAAACTGAATTCCAGGCCATGAAGGAAGACAGGTCAGACATGCCTCATTATACCCCCTCTTTTTTTGGAGTTTAGGCAAAACTTACCAGCATTAACATTAAAATAGACATCCTTATATGGATGAAACAGACCCTTTGGCAGTAAGATGCCAAATTCCAACTTGACTCTGGTATAGCATCACACGACAGCAGACCCTGAAAGAAACTGACACACTTTACTTCAAAATATATTTATCTGATATATTTTGAAATGGCCCTGCAAAGCCTTTTGTGGGGTAAAGTTTTGCATCTTTAGAATCTCTTTCCCTTTCTAGGTCTTTGCCACGTCTAGAGGAGATTTAATTGAGTTGGACTGTATTTAAAATCTGAAAAGAGACATTGACCATCTATTCTCTCAGAAGAATACTACCTAGAGGCTTCATCTACATAACAAGAACCTTGGCTTCCACAACCTTCCTTTTCTTAACTCAAGCATGTCTTTCTACTGTCTTTAGACAAAGCTAAATTCTTTCAACCAAATGCTGATCAGAAAATCCTTGAATTCACCTATTACCTGTAAGTCCCCACTTTGAAATATTTCACATCTTTGGGCCTACCAATGTATACCTTACATGTGTTACTGGAAAGAGGTCAGGGTCCAGACTCCAAGGGAGGGTTCTTGGATGTTGTGCAAGAAAGAATTCGGGGTGCGTCCATACAGTAAAGTGAAAGCAAAGGAATAAAGAATAGCTACATCATAGGCAGAGCAGCTTCGAGGGCTGCTGGTTGCCCATTTTTATGGTTATTTCTTGATGATATATTAAACAAGGGGTGGATTATTCGTGACTCCCATTTTAGGCCATATAGGGTAACTTCCTGATATTGCCATGGCATTTGTAAACTGTCCTGGTGCTAGTGGGAGTGTAGCAGTGAAGACCAGAGATCACTCTCGTTGCCATCTTGGTTTTCGGGGGTTTTCACCAGCTTCTTTACTGCAACCTGTGTTATCAGCAAGGTCTGTATGACCTGCATCTCCGGCCAACCTCCTATCTCATCTTGTGAAGTTAAGAATACCTAACCTCCTGGGAATGCAGCCCAGTAGGTCTCACTCTTATTTTACCATGCCCCTATTCAGATGGAGTCTCTCTGGTTCAAACACCTCTGACACATGTATTGATTTATGTCTTTGTCTGTAACTTTTGTCTCCACAAAAAGTATAAACCAAGCTGTAATCCAACCACCTCACTTTCTCCAGACCTTCTAAGACTGTTCCCTTGACCATGGTCACTCATATTGGTTAAGAATAAATCTCTAAATATTTTTCAGAGTTTGGCTTTTTCATCAACAGAGGAATCAGATGAGATGGAGGGGGGGAGTTAAGCTGTATATGGATATATAGACATGAGGGAGAATGAGGAAATCAAAGTAGATGACAGCAAATGGGGAGTTGAGGAATAGAAAAAGATCAATGGAGTGAGAGAGGAGAGGGAGAATGAGGAAGAGAGGGAAAGAAGAGGGAAGAAAAGAACTTCAGAGCCTGTGTGCCTGGTAAAGTGATTCACAAAGTAGAACAGTCCCCCAAAACTGAGGTTAGCTCAGGCCCCATGGAGTACTCAGAACCTGGCTGTGGGAACATGTTTACTATTAGGTTAGACCAGGAACCAGGGTCATTCCCATCAAGCCTCAGAATAACCTGAAATAAATGTTTCTCTAGCTTAGACACAGGGCCAGGACAGGATCTCTGCATTTTATAGCTCTGGAATATCCACCTGGGATAATTATGCATAGAAACTGTTTTCCAGAAACTTTAGGCCAGATCATGGGAAGAGAACTGATCACCGATAAACAGAGTAGGTCAATGCCCCATGGCCCACGTGGTGAGGTCTGCCCTACTCTGCGTAGATGAAACCATGTTGGGGCTCAGGATTATATAGGTATTAACAAGGGAGCTCCAGGGTTGGCACCACAGTGAAGACAGATGACAATTGGACAGCCCTTCTTTATAATCTAATGATTGGGGGCCAGGGACAGGTATATATCAAATGTAGTGGTGAGCTAAATAATAGCTTACACAGGTATCAGGTCCTAATCTCTGGAATGTGTAGTTGTTCCCCGATGTAGAGAAAGGGTCTTTGGGAATGTGTTTAAGGATTCTGTGGTGGAGCAATAGCTCTGATTATCGAGGTGTACCTTAAATGGAATCACAAGTGCTACTGTAAGAGAGAGACAGAGGGTGGCTTAACTGGCAGAAGATGTGAAACTGAAGGAGTGCAGAGAACTTCACCCCAAAATAGTGGTCCCTGATGTAATGTGCATTTTTAATTAAAGACCTTCAGAGATCAACAGAGGCTGGAGGAGAATTTTCTCTGTCTACATAGAGACCAGAGGGAGTATCCAAGGAGAACAACTGTCTTTCCTTCCTCTCTCTGTTAGCTCATTATCTATTACAGAAAACAGGACCAAGAGTGTAACCACTCCAGGACAGACTTTCACAAGATAATGTCTGTCTCTCAGTCTCAGTCAATTTTCAAAGAGCATCATTTACAAGTGAATCCCTGTTCCCTGATCTATTTATTCTCTTCTTTAATCATGTATCACCCTGTAATTACCTACATTCCCATCTCCTCTTCCCCTCTGAAATAGGGCTATACAAGTATCTGGGCCCCATTGAATATGGGACAATCACTCTGTGGCTCTCCCCCAAGCACCTATTAATAAATGTTCATGCCTTTCCTCCAATTAATCTGCCTTTTGTCAGTTTATTTACCAGCAAGCCTTCAGAGGGTGAAGGGGACGTGTTGCCTTGGCCCCGGCACGACTACAGAGGCACAGATTGCAGTGAGGCAGCTGCAGCCGAGTGCTGGCAGCCACCTGAAGTCAGGAGAGCCAAGGGCCGGTGCTCCCCAAAGCCTCCAGAAGGAGTGCAGCTCTCCCCAAATACCTCAATTTTAGCCCCGTGAAGGTGCTTGGAACTCAGGCCAGCTCTACTGTGGGAATTGTTTTAAACCACCACGTTGGTAGTAATTTGTTACAACAGCCACAGAAAAAATACAGACGCTCACCAGGTCTAAGTCCGTAACAAGTGCTTCCCATGGATTCCATAATTGTTGGCATGACTGAGATTGTAGCTTCTAGTATCCCCATTACTTATTTTAAGAAAACATAGGATAAAAATATGCTGTATTACTTACCCAAGGTACCTAGTAGGGGGCCTAGAGTGGGACAAATCGAGTGTGCAAGTGAGTGTGCAAGTGAAACGGCCTCATTGTCTGGGGCGATACCCTGGAAATCACTGTCTCATGGCTGAGAAACTAAAGGGTACAGACACACGAAGAGTGAGGTTGAGAGTGGATGTTTAACAGGTGAAAGGAGGAGGACGGCTCCCTGCAGCAGAGAAGGGTCCCGAAGAAATGAGCTGCTGGAGCCGTGGTGAAATGTAGGAGGTTTTATAGATGTCTGGTGAGGGGGTGGTATTTGACTTACATAGAGCACAAAAGATTGGCTGGACCAGGTGTGCCATTTGCATGGGGTGTGAAAAACTGGTTAGGACTAGGTGTGCCATTTGCATAGGGTGCGAATTTTTGGCCACCCCCATCCTAATCACTCATTAAGCAGGCAGGTCCTCTGCTGTGGCAGCACCATGTTGCCCATTCCTTTACTGTACACACAGTGACAAAAAAAGGGAAGATGGAGCCTCAACGTTGGACGTGCCTGACCCCCAGGTAGCCATTTTCTATTGGCACAGCTGCTGGCATTTCCCATGCAAGCTTCCAGCTTGCTTGTCTATGTTTGCAGCTCAACTTTTCAGGCTGCCCTTTGTTAGAAAAAAAAATAATTTCTTGGGCTGCTTTTTGTTAAAAGGGAAGCTCTGTCAAAGACTCTTTTACCCTCACTATCTGCCTAAATAATTTCTTTCTACCTCCTGTATCACAAGGCAACTCTCTCCACGTCTCTTTATGTCCCAGCACCCAGAAAGGTGCCCAGCAAATGAGGAGTTGCTTGAAAAATATGTGTTCAGTAAATTAGCAAATTAATATAAAGAGCATAATATGGAAAAATAAGTGTTTCAGGGCTCCTAAGGGGTACAGGGGCCAAGGGAAACATCTACTTTGCCCTCTGAAGGTTTGCTGAAAATTGACTGGCAGAAGACAGATTAATTGGAGAAGAGGTATACACATTTTTAACATGCACTGGAGAGAATCACAGAGTGATTACCCTAACCCCCAGTGGGGACAGAGGCTTATAAACCCTTTTTCACAAAGGAGGGAGGAGATGAGGAATGCAGACAATGCTATTCAGGAGCAGTAAATGATTATTAGGAAGAAAAGGTGTGGAATTTAGAGACAGAAATTAACTTGTAAATAATACTTTTTGGAATTTGAATGACCCCAAGAGGCAGGCATTATCTTGTGAAAGAGACCATCCAGATATGGTAACATTTCTGTCTGAAATGAGATTTCAGGAATGGGCTAGATGGCAATTGTGGTTTTTTGGGAAGAAGATTTCTTAGTCAGATAAGGAAATTACAGAGAGAGAGTCCCTTCCTGCCCCAAGACAGTTTTAGGGGGACCATGATTCTGAGGCTTATTTATGAGGTCTTTTAATGTTTAAAAGCACTCACCATGCCCAGGTGTCATATATCAGGGAACCACTTCTGCACCCCAAAAGTCCTCTGTCTAAAATGTCCCTCAAAGTTTCACACACTAAAATCTAAGTTGTTGGGTGTGAAGATAATATTTGAGTTAATAGCTGAGTAGCAAAAATTATCATTAAACTGGTGTTCTATTTCTACGAGTAGACCAGTCCAATTAAACAGCTGTGTCTCATTTCAGGAAATGGCGTTGCAGATGGGCTCCCAAACAGCAGAAAAACAAAGGTTAATATTTGGAGCAGTCTATAAACGGATTTCTTTAGAGTCTGGAGAGCAGTCAGTTGAGGTATCCAGCTGTTCAACTAGAGGCATCTTTAGTTACTGTGGAAGGAGGCATTGGCGATCTGACAGATTTTGTGATCTGTAATTTGTATGTCACAAGGTTATTTATGCATAAACTTCAGCTTGCAAGGCCTCGGTAAAAAGGTATTATCAATTTCAGTGAGCTTAAAAAATAGGAGAAAAATTTGTCTGAAAGCCTGTAACCAGAAAAAAAAATAGGATTTAGTTTAAATTGTGGGCAAATAGCAAAACTGAAAAAAAAAAAAAAGATCAGAGCTAGAAACTAATAAGTGTACCATAGTTTTCTTCTGAAACATAAATTTTCCCTTTCCCGTCCCACAATTAATTTAGGCAAAGATAAATTTAAGCAAAGAAAAAGTAAATATGGAAGAAAAATAAATCTAGGGACCCCAAAATCACTACGCCAAAGGGAAATTCAAGCTGGGAAACTTGTCATGCAAACCTGCTTCCCAGTCTATGTAGTCTACTCCTAAATAAGATAGCTACAAAAATTTTGAAAAGCTACATACCTCCCTTACAATTTTCCCACGAAGAAAAATTCCTTTAGACAAAGCACAAACAGATGTCAAAGTTATCCCTCTGCTCACATGGGACACGCGCATCTGAGTGCTTCCTTTGTTCTGTTGCTTTACTAAGCCAGACTAAGGCATAAGCGACTATTTCTGTAAATTGTGTATTCAGTGAAAGCCTAATCAGAAACTCAAAAGAATGCAACCATTTGTCTCTTATCTACCTCTGACCTGGAAGCCCTCTTTTGGTTTTAAGTTGTCCCTCTTTTCTGGACCAAACCAATGTACATCGTGCATATAATGATTGAGTCTCATGTCTCCCTAAAATGTAGAAAACCAAGCTGTGCCCCAACCACCTTAGGCACATGTTGTCAAGATCTCCCGAGGCTGTGTCACTGGTATGTCCTTAACCTTGGCAAAATAAACTTTCTAAATGGACTGAAACTTGTCTCAGACACTTTTTGGTTTACAGTAGGACCAATTTATTTGCAAAATAAAGTCTTAGACTTGTTATACTTGGCCTGAGTATTTGACTAAAGTACAGCCAGAATTGTACTTGGCCATCTGAGCACTTTTTAAATTGACTTGACTGAAACTTTTTTTATAAGGAATTTCAGGTTCAATCTTTAAAAGCCTCTTAAGATTGGAAGCCAGGCCAGCAATTCACCATCAGATTTTGCCTGTAATACTTGTATGAATTGGGTAAATCCCTCTTTTTTGAGGTCCCCAAAATATCCTGAAGTTCCTGGGCTTGTCAGAAAATGGTATTCTTTACTTACTGCAAGGCTATAAACCTTGTAATATGGTTTGGCTTTGTGTCCCCACCTAAATCTTCTTGAATTGTACTCCCGTAATTCTCATATGTTGTGGGGGGGTTGCGGGGGCAGGGACCGGGTGGGAGATAATTTGAATCATGGGAGCGGTTTCCCCCAGACTGTTCTCGTGGTAGTGAATAAGTCTCACAAAATCTGATTTTTTCAGGGGTTTTCACTTTTTCATCATCCTCATTTTCCCTTGGTGCCACCATGTAAGAAGTGCCTTTCGCCTCCTGCCATGATTCTGAGGCCTTCCCAGCCATGTGGAACTGTAAGTCCAGTTAAACAACTTTTTCCTCTTAGTTGCAGGTATGTCTTTATCAGCAGCATAAAAATGGACTCATACACCTTGTAGGAGAACCATGTAGACAACGTATCAGGCCAGTTCTTCCAAAGGTTTAACAGCTTCTTAGTTCCTCAAAGCAATCTGGTCAATCTGAAAATATGACATCTCAGTCAAAGCTTTGGTAATGGAAGCTATATTCCTAATTGCCCTATCATAAAGAGAGCAAATTCTTATTGAAGTTATGCTAATGCTATATTGACATAAAATACAAATACCCACAAATAGTTTTCAAATTCTGTAGGGATCAGGTAGAAAGAAAGGTAAATGTTCCCATTTTGCTCACAACAATATATTTTACCCAATTGTTGTAAGCTGTAAATGGCTTAAAAGAAAGGAAGAAAAAAAAAACTTTGTCTTGACTCTGAAAAGCAAAAACTAAAAAGAATCAGCAATATTTCAAATAAAAAGAAGTCACAACAATTGTTTTGGTCTTTCATCAGTTCAGTCTCATGTAATTAATTTTGTTCTACTTGATGTTGGGTTAGTAATCTTCATGAACTCATTCGTTTACTAGAGTTTTGTAAGTTTTTACCTAATCCAATGGTATAATCTCCAAAATTATCAAAAATCTACATTCAAGAGTACTTGTTGTGGTCTTTTTCATGAATTTTCTTGTAGAAGAAGTAAATTTTTGGCTATAGCCAACTATAAACCACTTTTTGAAATGAATCAAAGTAAAGTGATATTGTCTATGAATGACAAAAGACTTAGAATAGCCATGGCTAAAGACACAATTGACAAGGAAATTTGATTATTTCTGTGGCTGACAGAAACTTATGAATGCCAAGTGACGTCCCCCTCCACTCTTCCAGTGGTTATTTATAGAATACAGTCTGAAGTTATCTCCCTGGCTCTGAAGGCCAGCCCTTTGCTCAGAAGTGGCAACATGGGGCAGAATTGAGTGATCCTTCTCTGGAACATGCATTTGTAACGGTGAATAGAATACGTGACAGAACGCAAAACCTGGAGGCAAATGTAAAGAAATCAAGGGCGAAGGTGAGAGCAATGAGCGGATGAGACTATGTGAGACGACAGGTGCAGAAAAGCTCTGCTTCTGGGGCAGGGGATGAACTGGGTTGACAGGTACTAGTGTTAATTAAGTTCTGGAGCCTCTTTAGCTCATAGATGAAGGACAGCAAGTCAAAAATTAAGGTGGCTGGCCACGGTGGCTCATGCCTGTAATCACTTTGAGAAGCTGAGGCGGGTGCGTCGCTTGAGGTCAGGAGTTTGAGACCAGCCTGGCCAACATGGGGACACCCCATCTCTACTAAAAATACCAAAATTAACCAAGTGTGGTGGTATGTGCCTGTAGTTCTGGCTACTTGGGAGGCTGAGGCAGAATAACTGCTTAATCCTGGGAGGCAGAGGTTGCACTGAGCCAAGATGGTGACACTGCACTCCAGCCTAGGCGACAGAGTGAGACTCCATCTCAAAAAGATAATAATAATAAAATAAGGTGAACCTAACTTCAAAATTTGTCTTCCCCAATGAAACATACTCACATCGTCAATTTTTCCTCATTTTTCATTTTCCTTCTCAAAATTCCCCTTTCATACAATATACTAAAATAGAATAGTTATTTGTATGAGTTCTAAAATCAGACTTCCTGGGATTAATCCCTGCTTATTTCATTATTATATGTGTAACCTGAGGCCGTTTGCTTAAATTCTCCAATCTGGTTTTTTTTTTCAGTTATAATTGTTTCCTCCTGTTATTGTTAAAATAATTTGAAATAATGCACATACAGATTTAGAATGTTGGTAGGCCTATAATACTCCATAGATGACTGTTGCTATTATTGTTACTAAGATTACAATTATCTTTAATCACTGGGCCCCCCATGAGGCTCTTTTGGGTTTTCCAATGAATAGGAAAATGTGAAAGTTGTGAGGACTTATCTCAAGCCAGCAGGTCCTGTATGGTTTTGAAGACTGCTGGTGAACCAGTTATTTTGTCAGTAATTCTAATTCCAGGTATTTGTTTTTCTTCTGTGCACAAAAGCACCCAACTCCTGTGGGATCATAGCAAGGCAAATATGAGAACAACAATGCTAAAAACTTCTCTGTAGCCAGATAGATCTTTTTCTTTTTCTAAATATTTCCTGAGCTCAGAATGAAGCCTTCAGGGAATTTCTCAGACTCTTTTACTTATACTATTTTACTAACAAGCTTGTGAATTAAGTAGAACAAATAATTTTTTTTAATGAGAAAACCAATGTACACAGAAGCTAGATGTATTGAAATAATTTAATTTCACTCATTTGTTTAAAGGACGTAAAATCATCTAGACATGGATTCCATATCTGCCCTCTCTGAACATTCAAGGTCCTAGAGCAGGAAGTTTTATCTCACTGGTGCAGTGAAATTATCTTGAAAGCACTGTGTATTCTGTAGAAGGGGGCAAGAATTCTATACACAGCTATCTCCTTTTGAAACTGAGAGGAACTTTTTTCTCAACATTGAGGCATGGCCAGGGAGCACATTCCTGATATCTGGGCTAAGCTTCAAACTAAATCCCAGCAGGGGAGGCTGCAGAAAAAGGAGGGACTCAAGGATGCCTGCTGGGCAGGTGCCTTCTCTTCTTGCTCCTCTCCCACTCTCTCCTTCCCTCCAGCTTTCAGAGCCCAGACAGGGCCCTGGCCTGCTCAGTCCCCAAGCTTTCCGAGGGTAAAGGGTAAAGGGGCTGCAGGATCAGCCCCCTCTCCAGGTGGAGGCAGCAGTGAGGCCTGGCCACTGATGAATCCTCCTAACAATGAGCTCGGACAGGTGGACACTTTAATGACTCTGCCCAGATTTGTGGCTGACACCCCGGCAGAGGAAGAGAGAATGATTAGAGGCCTCTGTCACAGGGAGAAATCATGCACATGGCCAGAGGGGCAGCTGGTTCAACTAGACCATAAGCTTGTCACGGGGATTAGTGGCTCCTCGGGGATGGCATGTGATTGGCAGCTACTGGGGGGAGAGCAGAGGAAATAGGGGAGGGGTCGTGCAGAGCTGCAGAGAAAATGTCCAGGCACCGCTGTGCTCTGTAGCAGTCCCCACTGTGCTTGCAGCTCTTCCCTCAGGAAGGCTAGGCTGGTTACACTGTCAAGAGAGTGGCTTTAGCTTTTTGGGTTTCTAGGGAGAGAAATTCTCCACCATTTGCAGAATCTATGAATCTGCTTCAAACAGGTGACATTTGCTATTAGGGGTGGATGATAAAGGGTGGATTTTCAGTCTAGTAATGACTCTCCAGGAGGAAATTCCCCTACTTCTCTGGGGAACCTAGTCTATTAATGCTGGAAAGCCTGAAGTACTTGTCAAGTCTCTCCCAGAAAGTGAGACCGTATGCAGAGAGGTGGAGGACAACTTTCCTAATCCTGAGCACTTGATCCAGTTGAGAAAGAGTAGGAACACATGGGAAACTTGGGAATTGCAAAAGAGGAAAACTGAGAATTATGAGGAGGGGTGGGACCATCACACATGAGGAGGGCATTTCCTGGCTCAAGCCACAGCTCCACTTCTGCATAACCCTGGACAATTACGTAGCACCTCAGTGCCTTGGTTGTCATCTTTGAAACATAGGCATAATATGCTTGTGGTTGCGAAGATATAATGACATGAGTGGACCGGAGTATGTACCTAATGCACACTCAACAATGTCTAACTATTTAATAGGAGAAAGATGCTGCCCGTATATTTTAGGGTGGAAGAATAAGATAAAAATTCACAAAGGGTAGCCCCATACCTCAACCCCACTTAAGACATTGAAATATTAATAGTTCCTGTCTAATAGTTTTATTTTCTAGTGAGATGTCACCTCAGTTTGTCTGACGATTCTGGGGATGTGAAGGGAATACAAAGGGATGAAAAAAGAGAAGAATGCATGACATAGATATTTAGGAAAGTGGAGAAGTGAACATATTTGAGATACATGATGGGATGGCTAAGCAGTGTTAGGGTAGAAAAGTATAGGGAGACAGAAAGGCATGGTCAGTCTCTTCCAAGGTTGGTGTATGGCAAAATAACTACAATGGAGTAAGAATGGGGCAAAGAAGTTGAATTTACATGTAAGGACCACAGATTTAAGGTACTTAGTGAAGAAAATGAACTCCAATGAGACTGGATGGATGGATGAATGGATGGATGGATGGATGGATGGATGGATGGATGGATGGATGGATTAACAGATGGACGGATGGATGGATGGATGGATGGATGGATGGATGGATTAACAGATGGACGGATGGATGGATGGATGGATGGATGGATAGATGGATAGGTAGTCAGATGGATGGATAAATGTATGTATGGATGGACGAATAGATGGATGGATGAATGGGCGAACACATGGATGAATGAATGGATGGATGGATAGATAGGTGGATGGATGGATGGATGGACGGATGGATGAACACACACAGATAGCCATGAGCAATACATGACAGTTCCTGATGAGAGTGAATAGATTTTGCAGCCAGGCTACTAGAGTTTGTGGGCTGGAAGGAAAGGCCATGGTTAGAGTGGGCTCCTTGAATTCATGTTTGAGATGCAACAGATGATAGAGTTAAGGGCAGAACCATGGGTCTAGGTGTAGAGTTGAAAACAGGTCCCTAGAGATTAGAAAATTGGGACTGAGAGGCCAGGGATCTATAGGGCACATGGATACGAAGACCTCAAGAAGACGGAGAAGCAGGAAGGAGAGGGGCCTGTGAATAGGTGTTGAGGTCTTCATGGAGTCAGGATGGAGGGCCAAGAAGCCAGGGTGACTGCTCTTGGAGGGAGGGCCCTTGGAGGAAGGGCAAGGGGCCTCCAGAAGGCTGGGTGGCAGTGGCCTCAGAGGAAGGAGGGACACACATGTCCACTAAGAGGAGCTACCATGTCCCTTGTCCCTGTCCCACTGCTGCCAGCCACTGCTCTCCTCACATGGCTGCTGTTTTTGATTTCCTGTTTATTGTGCTTTATATTCTAGTGCTATGTTGGTTTCAGGAAACACTTCATTTAACAAAAATGCAAATATATTCATTTTGCTGCCTTACTTGCAAATATAGTTTTCCCGTTAAAGTCAGCTTTGTCTTAATATTCTTACAAATCTAAAAGAAGCTATCTCTTAAACATTTATTATTAATTTATGTATATTTTTTCTATTAAATTTTAGAAGATTTGGTATTTGTGTTTTTTCTTTTTTGTAATTGACTGTCAAGAAACAAACTTCTAATGCTAGAGGATGAGACCCTGCTGCTCTCTGTCTTAATGATTCTGGGTTCCTTATAACCAAAACATTCATTGAACTTCAATGTGAGACTTGTAAGATTGACTGAGGGAAACATTTTTTCTGCAGGGAAGATTTATGGCAACCTGTAATCCAATTCTCAGGGCCCCCTTGACAGGAGAGCATCTTTCCTGTTTATCTTGTGGAGGCCAGAACCTTCACTGCATGGTCTGCAGGCTGTGAGAAAGGAATATCTTTTGGCAGTGGTCCCAGCCTAGGTGATATATGCTACCTTTTATGAGCTGCTGAACTGTGAAATCCAAGAGCAAAGGGACCATGGCTCTTTTTAACCTTTTCAGCTACAGCACTTGGAACACAGTGATAGTAATTATAGCTGTAACATATTGAGCATTTCTTATGTGTAAGGACACTGAATAAGCACTTTGCATACTTTTACATTCTTTTTCTGTGTGCTGAACATGAAATCTGCCCCCTTAATTTTTAAGTATACAATATAGTGTTGTTAACTTTAGGCATGAGGCCACATAGCAGATCTCTAGAACCTATTCATCTTGCATAACTAAACTTTATACCTGTTAAACAGTAATCCCCCTTTCCCCTCTGCTAAGCCCCTGGCTAATCACCATTCTACTCTCTGATTCTATGAGTTTGAGTGTTTCAGATACCTCGCATAAGTGGGATTGTGCAGTGCCTGTCCTGTGACTGGCTTGTTTCACTTAGCATAATGTCCTCCAGGTTTATTCATGTTTTCCCACATGTCAAAATGTCCTTCTTTTTAAAGGTTGAATAATATTCCATTATATGTACAGTCATGATTCACTTAACCATGGGAATATGTTCTGAGAAACGTGTTGTTAGGTGATTTTGTCATTCTGGGAACATCACAAACCTAGATGGCATGGCCTATTATACACCTAGGCTAGATGGTGTGGCCTATTATACATCTAGGCTAGATGGTGTGGCCTATGGCCTAGGCTACAAACCTGCAGTGTATGTTACTGTACTGAATGCTGTAGGCAATTGTAGCACAATGGTAAGTATTTGTGTGTCTAAACATACCTAAATGTAGAAAAGGTACAGTAAAAATACAGTATAGAATAGAAAAATAGTACACCTGTACAGGACACTTAGTATAAATAGAGTGTGCAGAACAGGAAGTTGCTCTGGGTCACAAGCCAATGAGCTTGTGTGAGTGAATGTGAAGGCCTAGGATGTTACTGTACACTACTGTAAACTATAAACACTGCACACTCAGGCTACACCAAATTTATAATAAGTATTCTTCCTTCTTTAATAATCAGTTAACCTTAGCTGATTGTAATGTTTTTACTTTATAAGCTTTAAAAAATCTTTCAACTCTTTTATAGTAATATTTAGCTTAAAGCACACATTGAACACCTATCTTTCTTTATATATTTATTCTATACGCTTTGTTTCCATTTTTTATTTATTTTTACTTTTTAAGACTTTTTGTTAAAAACCGAGACACACACATATCAGCCTAGGCTTACTTAGGGTCAGGATCGTCACTGTTGCTGTCTTCCACCTCCACACCCTGTCCCACTGGAACATCTTCAGGGGCAGTAACAGGCATGGAGCTGCCATCTCCTGTGATAGCGATGCCTTCTTCTGGAAACCTCTTGATGGACCTGCCTGAGACAGTTTTGCAGTTACCTTTTTTTATATACAAGTATAAAAAGGATACTCTAAAATATTGGTAAAACAATATAATAGCATAAATATGTAAACAGATGCATTATCATTACCAAGTATTGTGTACTGTACATATTGTATGTGCTAGAGTTTCCCACAGCTGGAAGTGATGCAGGTTTGTTTACACCAGGGTCACCACAAACAGAAGGGGAATGTGCTGTGCTGTGATGACGATGTCATGAAGTGACACGGGCTTTTTAGCTCGATTATATTCTAATGGAACCACCAACGTGTGTGTGAACCACCATTGACCAAAACATTGTTATTCGGCACACCACTGACCACACCACGTTTTCTTTATCCCTTCATTCATCAGTGGGCATTTAGGTTGTTCCCATATCTTGGCTGCTGCAAATAATTTCATACATTTACATTTAATTCTCACATGAGCCTCTGAGGCAGGTACCACAATGACCATTGGGTCTGAGATGACACAACTGACGCAAAGAATATTTTGAAGAACTGCTCACACCTCACAGCTAGGAAGGGCAGAGCCAGGATTTGAACCCAGAAATGAAGCTGGGGCGTGACTTTCCACGTCTGGCTCCAGACCCAGTTCCTCCCCGCATTCTATTCAAGAGCAGATCAAACGCCCACATGAGAGGCTAAAGATGACGCTGTGTAGGAGAGGAAATAGGAGCCCCTCTCTGTGCTCCTCCTTCCTTGCCTGCCTTTCTGGGGAGTCCTGCTTGGAGTGGGGGTTGTCTGCACAGATCCGTGAACCTGGTTTTCTCATTCAGGGAGATCAGAGTGTGTGTCTGCTAGCAGCCAGAATGTCTGGGCCTCTGAATAATTCAAGTGCCTCTTTTCAACGACAGTCACCCAGAGGACAAGCTGATTGCACTTTGGATGACCCCTGTATGTCTGGGTTCCTGGACATGATGAATGTCCTCATTCTGGTCTTCTCTGGGGAAATACATACATACATACATACCGTGTTTGGCAGAGGCCTCTGTGTAAAGTCTCAGTTTAGAGTTAGTTTTAAAGAAAAGCAGAAATGCTTCTCCCTAAGCCTGAGAGACCCCCACTGCACAGGCAACAGGAGCCATCTCTCCTTCCTCCTTCTCCCCTCTGCTGTCACTACTTTGCCCTGACACCCTGCCTAGCCCCATGGACATGCATTAGTCTCTCTCTTCCTATCAACTATGCAAGGCCCTTCAAGCCCCACTTTTGCTTTCAGAGGGCTTCATGTCCCCAGAGGCTGAGGAGCTTGCTTGTTTATCTCTTTTTCTAGCTGTACCTGGTCTGAAAAGGGAGACCGCATGCACCTTACTGCACCCCCTTCCCACCCCATCCCTCCTCTGCATAAGGAAATGGCCCAGGAACCTCTGCCTGCATCATCTGTGTCCCGCTCTGAGACAGTGCGTGCCTCGCTCATAGACCTTCCCCACTCCCGGGGCTGCTGGAGCCCAGCTCTTGGGCCTTCTTGGGACCACCTTCTTCCCTGAAGCCTGGTGCAAAGGAGGTAAGACACCAGCCTCAGACTGTCTCCGCCAAAGAAAGCTCTGCTTCTGTCCCTAGGAAACAGCAATGGCCTTTGTTTTTGGCTGCCCCTACCCATCAGACACCCCTCTGCAAAAGCCTTCCTTCCACTGAGCAAAATCCACATTCAACAATAATAACTATTATTGAACAAAATCCACATTCAACAATAATAACTAATATTGAATGTGTTATTCAACAATAATAACTAAGAAATACATGGTGTGCTTGCCATGGGCCAACTGTTTTCTCCAGCATCATCTCATTTAGTGCTCACACAGAATTACCACAGGGCACTGGCTCCAGGACCCCTGGGGATACCAAATCCTCATAGAAAGGATTGCTTAAGCTCTGTATAGAAATGGCATCCTACATTACTTGCAGATAAGCTATGCACAGCCTGCCGTGTATGTTACATCATCTCTAGAGTACTCATCAGAGCTGACATGATGTAAATGCTATGTCAATAGTTGTTATGCTGTATTTTAAAATTTGTATATTTTTTTTCATAGAGACAAGGTCTCACTCAGAATCCGATTCTGTCCTCCAGCCTGGAGTATGTGGTGCAATCCCAGATCTCTGCAGGCTTGAGCTCCTGGGCTCAAGCGATCCTCCTGCCTCAGCCTCTCAAGTAGATGGAACTACAGGTGTGAGCCATAGCACTCGGCTTGTATCAACATGTTATTGTTATATTGTTACTTTCTATATTCATTTTTTGAATATTTTTGATTTGCGGTTGGTTGAATACACCGATGTGAAAACCCATAAATACCGAGGGCCGATTGTACGGGTGATGGTCCTGAAGTGAGCCTGGAACTTAAGATCTCTGCTAAAAGCCAATCACTAGTATAACGTGAGGCAAAGGAAGGAACATGAGTTTTGCAGCTCGGAGTACTGGCTGGCTGCCAGAGCCACCACTCACCAGACTGGGACCTTTGGGCAAGGGCACAGATTCAGGGAATAGAAAACTCACCGATTTTTAACAGTATTATCAAATACAAGAAATTAGATAAGTGTTGAAGACAGATGGAGCAGAAAGTAGATACTGAGGTAACCTAGGCATTCAGAACTTAACGAAACAGCTGCTTTCCTTAGTCTTCAGAAAACAAAACAGAAAAGGCATTACAAAATCCAGGAGTTCAGAGACGGGCACCACCTGTCAAAGCTTTGAGAGTCTCAAGCAGCCAACTATCAGACCGCTGGAGCGCCTTACCTGTGCTGAGGCTGGGGCCTCTGAGGGGACACTCGGCCTCTTGGATCTTAAATTGCCAAGTGTCACTAGTGCCCTGATTGGTGTCCTGAGCCCAGTGCTAAGGAAAAGGAGCCGTAATTATGCACTGCAGCAGCAAAATTAAAACTAGGGTGCAGACACAGGAAGAGAGCCCCATCCAGCCTCAGCCTCCGATCACTGCCCAGCACCTCACTTTGGCATGACCTAACTGGAGACAGCCAGCCAGGGGTCTAGAAAAGTGTAGTTTGCAGACTCTCAGCCCCAGCATCATAGAGCAGAGAATGCCAGGGTGGCCTGGGGGGAAAGGCACCTGATGAGCACAGCTGGCTTCTTTTTTTGTTTGTGGCATGGGAATAATGCCTTGCTTGTAAGGATTGGAGCATCTAGCACAATGCCTGGCCTGTGATATCATCCAGAGCAGCTAGCATCACGACCATATGGCTGACAGTGCTTACACTGGAGTAGCTATTTACAGTTTTCACACATGGTCACGGCTATTTTCACATTTAATCCTCAGAACCCTCCTGGCAGGACGCACAGATAAAAGTACTAATGCTCAGATGGGTTATAATGATGGTGTCCTCCCTGGGACCCTGGACCCAGACACTGGGCAATAGGGTTTCCCAGTGTGAGTGACAAATGAGGAAGGGCCAGACCTCTCTAGGGTAAAGTGTGGGGCAGCCTCAGTCTTCAGAGCCTGCTTTCACTAAGGACACCACCCCTATTGCCCCCAAATTAGGACACTCCCCTTTGAATAAACCAGTTACATATATCTGAGGAAAAGGAAGATATTGAATGATTATGACCTTTTAAAATAAATAAACAAAAAATAAATGCATCTCCAAATATTTAAAGAAAGAGCATTTCATATAGGTACCTTGTCAGATTTCTGCATAAAACCATGGCCCGGGTAAGTTTTGTTGCAGAAGTGGAGAACAGATCTGGAACCTGCCTGAGGTCAGCCTGGGAGTGGTGATTCCACAGTGGGGTCCACAGTGCAGCCCGAGCCCAGGGGCATCCAGTCTCCTGAATGAACTCCAGGGTCTCCCAGTGGAAGGGACAAGCTCTGCCACTTTCTCCATGAGGTCAGCTTGCACGGAGAGACTCTTAGAATCCCAAGCTTGGTCTGGGTTTTCTTGAATCTAAGCCTAAGTGAGGCATAATTTGCAGGTTTCGCTGCTTGTTAATCAGTTTATTTTCTCCTGCAACTTTCTAAATGTAGCTATGGCACAGCAGCCCTGGAATGACAACCGGAGACTTTGTGCTTGCAAAAGCTTATCCTTCTTTGCTGGGAGTTCTGGGATAACGTGTAAGTGTGTGCATTTTGGGGCGGAAAGAGGGCAGAGGGCAGAAGGCATTTATGAGTTTCCCCCTCCTCTCATCTCTCTTAGATGTCTGTGTGTTATCTTTTCTTGGCAGAGGTCGGATCAGAAAACGCCATATGCTAGTTCACAGGGAATTTCCAAAGAGCAGCTAGCTCCAGTTGGTTGCTAAGAGACAGCTCCACAGCTGGACTTTGGCTGCAAAATTTGAACAAAAAAAGAAGAGCACAAATGAGCTTGCCAGGTAACAGAATCTGCGATGACTTCCCGTCCTGTTTGCTGGCATCTGTGCTTCCAGAAGCAATAAAGCATCACTTTCCTGCTTGTGATTTACATGAGGAGAAACAGGCAGACACTCTTCTCCAAGGGGTTTCCTGACCAGCCTTGAATCTGCTAGCCAGAGCCTAGCAGGACTCTGAGACAATGAGATTCCTGATGCTGGTAATGAATGAAGGACAATGAGATTCCTGATGCTGGTAATGCATGAAGAAAGATCAGAGTTATAAGTGGACTATGCTTCCATCCTCCCAAGAGTTCTCCTGGGGTTAGTTTAAAGACAGGGGATTAACTCTATTAAAAGTAGATTTGGCAAAAAGCTGAAATCAAACACATGCTTATGAATAGGGAACGGGTGAAATAAGTCATGGTACATCCACAGAATGGAGTATTACTTAGCTATAAATAGACATGAAGAATCATCCACAGAATGGAGTACTACTTAGCTATAAATAGACATGAAGAATACTTTTATGTTTAAAAAGTATTCATGTTGCTTTTTCTCCAGGATGAAATTTTAAGTTAAAAAAATTGAAATTGGCCGGGCGTGGTGGCTCACGTCTGTAATCCCAGCACTTTGGGAGGCTGAGGCGGGTGGATCACGAGGTCAGGAGATTGAGACCATCCTTGCTAACACGGTGAAACCCCATCTCTATTAAAAACAAAACAATACAAAACAAAAAAATTAGCCGGGCATGGTGGCGGGCGCCTGTAGTCCCAGCTACTCGGGAGGCTGAGGCAGGAGAATGGCATGAACCTGGCGGAGCGGAGATTGCAGTGAGCCGAGATCGCGCCACTGCACTCCAGCCTGGGCAACAGAGCAAGACTCCATCTCCAAAAAAAAAAAGTTGAAATTATGTGTACAATAGGTTACTATGTCTTTGAGAAAAATTTGGGTGATAAAAACAAATAAATTTTCTCATTTTTAAAAGGTCACAAATCATATTTTAAAAATTGTTTACCTATGAGTCAAGGAAGAGGATATTTTGCAAAGCACCTAGAAAAGCTCGTTTGAACTGAAAAGAGAGTACAGCACAGGCTCAGGACTGCTCACTGGGTGCAGACACACAGAACAGAACCCAGTGGCACTGCCAAGGCTTTGACATTGGGAATGACATTGAAGCCACAACCACGGAAGGTTTCAGAACGTGCGGCCTGAACTCAACCTTGCTGCTTGCCTGCCGAAGCAAGAACACCAGGATTCTCCACGGGATTTAAATGAGACCTACAGTGTCATAGCATAATATTCAAATACCCAGGATATGATCCATCTTATCTGATCTAGAAAGAAACAGGAAAAGTCTCAACCTATATCAGAAAAAAAAACAATAAACATGACAACACTGAGGAGACACAGATTTCGAATTATCTGATAAAGATTTAAAGCAGTTAATTAAATGTTTCAACAAGCAGTAATGAATACTCTTGAAATAAATGGGAAATAGGAAGTAATTATAATGTTATAACTTCTAGTTTATTATAACACCTAACAAATTTACATCTAACAAAAATAGCATCTAACAAATTTCTGTGCTATTAAATTACCTTATACTCAGTTCATATTCAAATTTTCTATTTTGTCTCATTTTCTTACAGTGAATTTATTTATATCAGAATATTAAGTCAACACATTTTATTCTCTCATGTTACTTTTTTTTTTTGAGATGGAGTCTTGCTCTGTTGCCCAGGCTGGAGTGCAGTGGCATGATCTCGGCTCACTGCAATCTCTGCCTCTCAGGTTCATGCCATTCTCCTGCCTCAGCCTCCTGAGTACCTGGGACTACAGGTGCCCGCCACCACGCCCAGCTAACTTTTTTTGTATTTTTAGTAGAGATGGAGTTTCACCGTGTTAGCCAGGATGGTCTTGATCTCCTGACCTCGTGATCCGCCCGCCTCGGCCTACCAAAGTGCTGGGATTACAGGCGTGAGCCACTGTGCCCGTCCCTTAATTCTCTTTTATTTTGTAACATCCCATCCTTCCTTTTTGAAGCTACTGATTTCTTGGATAAATTACTAGGTCATTTGCTCTCTGAAGTGTCCCATGTTGTGAATATAACTACTTGCTTCATTGCGGTTTTGTTTAAGTGGTTATATTAGCCTTATAAACTGGTAATTAAGCCTAGAGTCTTGGTTAGATTCAGGTTTTATTTCAAAGGCAAGATATGTTATAGGTGAGACTGGGTACTTCTACTGCACAGCCTCATGAGTCAGACAAGATGCAGCTGCCCCACAATCCATGACATAAGATTGGTCAGTGGTTCAAGTGGTGTCTACATAATTTCTCAATTAAAATATGCCTACCTTCCTCAGGGCTTTAGCTTCCACTGTTGATCACTGCCTAGATTCACCACTTTATTAATGGCTCAGAAGATATTGCTTTCTAAAATTCTGCTATGTTTATCAACATCTGGAGTAATGAGTTTAGCACCTGCTACCTCCAGTAAGTACTGAACAATATGACTTTAAATTATCTTTTGAATGCATAGATTTTTATATATTTGATTGTTTCAGTCTGTGTCCATTAGTATTTTTTTGATGCTCAATTTGTTAATTTTAGGCTAAGGGGAATTCTATTACTAGGCCCCTCCATCTTTCTCACCTGGCATCTCCTATTTTATGTGACAAAAATATGTCCCAGAATCATTTTGTACATTTACGTGCCTGGAATTGGTCATTACTCAAAAAAAGCCCTGGCTTATTTTAGTGAGAAGTAGTACTTAGAGACCAGAATCGAGGTCCTGGGAGTACATGATTTTATTTAGTCTTCATAATGAGTCTGAAATCTAGTTACTGTAATCATCCCATTTTTATTACAGATTCTGAGACTCAGAGAAGTCAATAAACATACTCAATGTTACAAAATAATTTGGTGGTGTTGTATGGCAACTTCTTGGCTTCATTCAGGAAGGAATTCAAGAGTGAGCTGGTGGTAGAAGAAAACAGCTTTATTATTATTATTATTATGCTTTAAGTTCTGAGATACATGTGTAGAATGTGCAGGTTTGTTACATAGGGATTCATGTGCCATGGTGGTTTGCTGCACCCGTCAACCCATCAGCTACATTAGATATCTCTCCTAATGCTATCCCTCCACTAGCCCCCTACCCACCGAAAAGCCCCAGTGTGTGATGTTCCTCTTCTGGTGTCCATGTATACTCACTGTTCAACTCCCACTTATGAATGAGAGCGTGTGGTGTTTGGTTTTCTGTTCCTGTGTTAGTTGGCTGAGAATGATGGTTTCCAGCTTCATCCATGTCTCTGCAAAGGGCATCAACTCATCCTTTTTCATGGCTGCATAGTATTCCATGGTGTGTATGTGCCACATTTTCTTTATCCAGTCTATCATTGATGGGCATTTGGGTTGGTTCCAAGTCTTTGCTATTGTGACTAGTGCTGCAGTAAACATATGAGTGCATGTGTCTTTATAGTAGAATGATTTATAATCTTTTGGGTATATACCCAGTAATGGGATTGCTAGGTCAAATGATATTTCTAGTTCTAGATCCTTGAGGAATTGCCACACTGACTTCCACAATGGTTGAACTAATTTACACTACCGCCAACAGTGTAGAAGTGTTCCTATTTCTCCACATCCTCTCCAGCATCTGTAGTTTCCTGACTTTTTAATGATTGCCATTCTAACTGGCATGATATGGTATCTCATTGTGGTTTTGATTTGCGTTTCTCTAATGACCAGTAATAATGAGCTTTTTTTCATATGTTTGTTAGCTGCATAAATGTCTTCTTTTGAGAAGTGTCTGTTCATATCCTTCACCCACTTTTTGATGGGGTTGTTTGTTTGTTTCTTGCAAATTTGTTTAAGTTCCTTGTAGATTCTAGATATTAGCCCTTTGTCAGATGGATAGAGTACAAAAATTGTCTCTCATTCTGTAGGTTGCCTGATCATGCTGATGACAGTTTATTTTGCTGTGCAGAAGCTCTTTAGTTCAATTAGATCCGATATGTCAATTTTGGCTTTTGTTGCCATTGTTTTTGGTGTTTTAGTCATGAAGTCTTTGCCAATGCCTATGTCCTGAATGGTATTGCCTAGGTTTTCTTCTAGGGTTTTTATGGTTTTAGGTCTTACATTTAAGTCTTTAATCTATCTTGAGTTAATTTTTGTATAAGGTGTAAGGAAGGGGTCCAGTTTCAGTTTTCTGCATATGGCTAGCCAGTTTATTAAATATTAATAAACACCATTTATTAAATAGGGAATCCTTTCCCCATTGCTTGTTTTTGTCAGGTTTGTCAAAGATCAGATGGTTGTAGATGTGTGGCATTATTTCTGAGGCCTCTGTTCTGTTCCATTGGTCTATGTATCTGTTTTGGTACAAGTACCATGCTGTTTTGGTTACTGTAGCCTTGTAGTATAGTTTGAAGTCAGATAGCATGATGCCTCCAGCTTTTTTCTTTGTCCTTAGGATTGTCTTGGCTATATGGGCTCTTTTTTGGTTCCACATGAAATTTAAATTAGTTTTTTCTAATTCTGTAAAGAAAGTCAATGGTAGCTTGATGGGGATGGCATTGAATCTATAAATTACTTTGAGCAGTATGGTCATTTTCACAATATTGATTCTTCCTATCCATTAGTATGGAATGTTTTTCCATTTGTTTGTGTTCTCTGTTATTTCCTTGAGCAGTGGTTTGTGGTTCTCCTTGAAGAGGTCCTTTACATCTCTTGTAAATTGTATTCCTAGGTATTTTATTCTATTTTAGCAATTGTGAATGGGAGTTCACTCATGGTTTGGCTCTCTGTCTATTATTGGTGTATAAGAATGCTTGTGATTTTTGCACATTGGTTTTGTATCCTGAGACTTTGCTAAAGTTTCTTATCAGCTTAAGGAGATTCTGGGCTGAGATGATGGGGTTTTCTAAATATACAATCATGTCATCCGCAAACAGAGACAATTTGACTTCCTCTCTTCCTATTTGAATACCCTTTATTTATTTCTCTTGCCTGATTTCCCTGGCCAGTACTTCTAATACTATGTTGAATAGGAGTGATGAGAGAGGACATCCTTGCCTTGTGTCGGTTTTCAAAGGGAATGCTTCCAGCTTTTGCCCATTCAGTATGATATTGCATATGGGTTTGTCATAAATAGCTCTTATTATTTTGAGATATGTTCCATCAATACCCAGTTTATTGAGAGTTTTTAGCATGAAGAGGTGTTGAATTTTATCGAAGGCCTTTTCTACATCTATTGAGATAATAATGTGGTTTTTGTCATTGGTTCTGTTTGTGTGATAAAGTATGTTTATTGATTTGTGTATGTTGAACCAGCCTTGCATCCCAGGGATGAAGCTGACTTGATTGTGGTGGATAAGCTTTTTGATGTGCTGCTGGATTCAGTTTGCCAGTATTTTATTGAGGATTTTCACATTGATGTTCATCAGGGATATTGGCCTGAAATTTTCTTTTTTTATTGTGTCTCTGCCAGGTTTTGGTATCAGAATGATGCTGGCCTCAAAATGGATAAAGAGTCAAGACCCATCATTGTGCTATACTTGGGAGACCCATCTCACGTGCAGAGACACACATAGGCTCACAATAAAGGGACGGAGGAATATTTACCAAGCAAATGGAAAGCAAAAAAAAGCAGATGTTGCCATCCTAGTCTCTGATAAAACACACTTGAAACCAACAAAGATCAAAAAAGACAAAGAAGGGCATTACATAATGGTAAAGGGATCAACACAACAAGAAGAGCTAACTATCCTAAATATATATGCAACCACTACAGCAGCACCCAGGTTCATAAAGCAAGTTCTTAGAGACCTACAAAGAGACTTAGACTTCCACACAATAATAGTGGGAGACCTTAACACCCCACTGTCAATATTAGACAGATCAACGAGACAGAAAATTAACAAGGATATTCAGGACTTGAACTCAGCTCTGGATCAAGTGGATGTAATAGACATCTACAGAACTCTCTACTGCAAATCAACAGAATACACATTCTTCTCAGCACCACATCACACTTATTCTAAAATTGACCACACAATTGGAAGTAAAACACTCCTCAGCAAATGCAAAAGAATGGAAATTATAATAGTCTCTCAGACCACAGTGCAATCAAATTAGAACTCAAAACCACACAACTACATGGAAACTGAACAACCTGCTCCTGAATGACTACTGGGTAAATAACAAAATTAAGGCAGAAATAAATAAGTTCTTTGAAACCAGTGAGAACAAAGACACAAAATACCAGAATCTCTCCTAAAGCAGTGTTTACAGGGAAATTTATAGCATTAAATGCCCACAGGAGAAAGTGGGAAAGATCTATAATCAACATCCTAACATCACAAGTAAAAGAACTAGAGAAGCAAGAGTAAACAAATTCAAAAGCTAGCAGAAGAAAAGAAATAACTAAGATCAGAGCAGAACTGAGGAAGATAGAGACACAAAAAACCCCTCAAAAAAATCAATGAATCCAAGAGCTGGTTTTTTGAAAAGATTAACAAAATAGACCACTAACCAGACTAATAAAGAAGAAAAGAGAGAAGAATCTAATAGACACGATAAAAAATGATAAAAGGGATATCACCATTTATCCCACAAAAATACAAACTACCCTCAGAGAATACTATAAAAAACACCTCTATGCAAAGAAACTAGAAAATCTAGAAGGAATGGATAAATTCCTGGACACATACACCCTCCTAAGACTAAACCAGGAAGATGTCGAATCTCTGAATAGACCAAAAACAAGTTCTGAAATTGAGGCAGTAATTAATAGCCTTCCAACCAAAAAAAGCCCAGGACCAGATGGATTCACAGTCGAGTTCTACCAGAGGTACAAAGAGGAACTGGTACCATTCCGTTTTGTTTTTGTTTTGTTTTGTTTTGTTTTGTTTTCAGACGGAATCTTGCTCTTGTTGCCCAAGCTGGAGTGCAATGGTACAATCTTGGCTCACTTCAACCTCCATCTCCATGGTTCAAGTGATTCTCCTGCCTCAGCCTCCTGAGTAGCTGGGATTACAGGCGTGTGCCACCATGCACAGGTAATTTTTATATTTTTAGCAGAGACAAAGTTTCACCATGTTGGCCAGGCTGGTCTTGAACTTCTGACCTCAAGTGATCCACCTGCCTCTGCCTCCCAAAGTGCTGGGATTACAGGTGTGAGCCACCGTGCCTCACTGGGAAACAGCTTTATTTTGTCAGTGGCAGAGTTACAGCTCTGTGACTGCTGCTCCTATGGAACAGGGCTGCTGAGTAGCAGCCTAGGGGCACTTTTGCAGTCATATTTATACACACTTTTATTGACATGCTAATGAAGGGGCAGCTTACTCTGAAATAGTTTGAAAATGGACAGTAACTTCTGGATGTTCCCATGACAAGGGATGGTAACTTCCAGATGTAGCCATGGCAATGGCAAACTGTCCTGGTGCTGGTGGACATGTCTTATGGAAAAGAGCTTTCAATACCTCTCTCTGGTTTTTATCAGCCTTAAATCTGGTCCAGAGTTGATCCTAGCTCAATGGCAGAACTCAAAACTCTTACAGGTGCTATGGCAGTTGCAATATATAAACTGGTTGAAAATAAATAAAACGGTTTAAGTGTATTATGAGGTGACCAAGACTTAATGGGTTGGATGGCAAGAGAGAGCTGGTTACTGGCATAAACGATACAGATGGGGAAGGTTTGAGAAGAGTGGGCCACAGCTGTTGGCAAAATGACCTGCCCAGGTGAGAGGGAGAGAGCAGCAGTAGCCAAAGGTGAAAGGCTTTGGAGTCTTAGAATGATCTCCACAAGCAGAGCCTGAGATATGGACTTCTGGGAGATTACCCTGGAGGTCCCAGGAAGGTGAAGAGAGAGAGCAGAGAGTAAGACATCGTCACACTCCACCCAGCCAGTGCCCCCAAGCCTTTCTTCTCCACCCTCCACACTTCACCCAGCCAGCATCCCCAGCCTTCTGCATCCTTCACACTCCACACAACCAGCACCCTCAGCCTTCTCCATCCTTCGCACACCACCCAGCCAGCACCCCCAGCCTTTCTTCTCCATCCTCCACCCTCCACCCAGCCAGCACCCTCAGCCTTCTCCATCCTCCACGCTCCACCCAGCCAGTGCCCCCACAGCCTCCTCCATCTCCTTTTTTTCTTCACTCTATCTCTTCCCAATGTCTTACTACCACTTCCAACACTCCTCTTCACACAGGAAGGAAGGAAGGAAGGAAGGAAGGAAGGAAGGAAGGAAGGAAGGAAGGAAGGAGGGAGGGAGGGAGGGAGGGAGGGAGGGAGGGAGGGAAGGAAGGAAAGAAGGAAGGAAGGGAGGGAGGGAGGGATGGAGGGGAGAGAAAAAAAGAAAGTTAAGAAAGAAGAATAGAAAAGAATAAAAAAATGATGAAGTCACAAGCCCACTGAGATTGTTCTTTCTGGCAAAATCCCACTGTGTCTGCTGGTGTGTGATGCTGTGTGTGTGTGTTTATGGGTGGGTGGATGTGTGGGTGTGCATGTCCAGGTGTCCTTGCTGTATCTGCTTTTCTTAGGAACAATTATCAACCCTATGTGGCCTTCACTAGACCTTTCAAACACCCAAGACAGCACACAGTGGCTATGTAATAATGAACAATAATTAATAATAATAACAATGATGATGTTCAGTGCTGCTGACTAATTCAGACTTCTCCAGGGGGAAGAAGCACCGTTGCTATTTTTGGAGAGAACAGAACTGAAGAACTGCATGAAAATTTGCATTTTTTAACTAATTTATTGAGTTTCCATTTATGACTTTCTTTAAATGTGACATGAATGAATTGCTTTATTTTCTAAAAGAACACTACCAAATGAGAACACTTATTTATACATTTTAACAGCACCCAATAAAAGTTACCATTGTGTTTCATAATCACATTATGACTATTTGAGAAATGTTTTTCCACGTGGATGAATGACGAAAGGCAGCTTTGGGTTGACTTGTTAATTCATCTTTCTTCATATCCTCCAAGGTCATAAATATCTACGATCTATTACCTGGCACTGGTTGTCCAGTATCCGTAGGAACCTCAGCATTATTTTGATGGCATGGCTTTACTTTGTCTTGGTGGATCCTGTACTCACTGTTATTGCTGAACTCAAATTGCTTCAAGGTTCCAGATAAACCTCTTAATACCATGAATAAGTAGTTTATTCAAGGAAGCAGCTCTTGGTGGTTCTTGGATCTTTGGGAGGCAGGCTCTTTTGACAGATGTGCCCCTTCTTTCCCTTCTGAGGTCTTCATTTCCTAAGCCCCCACGGCAGGACAGACAGCACCGATTCCTGCATCCATTCTCCACCCAGGTGGGCTCCCCTCTGCCCTGTGGAAGTTGACAAGCTGCCCTTCAAAGCAGTCTGACAGAGGAGGATCTGTCGGGGGTAAAAGTGGCAGAGCTGGTCAGCTCAGCAAGTTTCTACTCTGTCTGAAAATCCCTCACCAGGAGTTTTTACGCATTTATTTCTTTATTCACTTGTGTATTCCTACATTGTATAAATAGTTACTTGTCAGGCATTGTTCTTGGTGTTCAAATCAAGGCAATAATGTTACTTTTGCTGTTAAAAATGATAATACCAAAACATTGTCCATAAAATAAATAAATTAAAAATCAGACTTTATTAAAACAAAATTTTGGTCCTTACAAAACACTGTTAAGAAAATAGCAAGAAGACATATTTGAAGAAAAATAAAATATTTTCCAAGAATATATCCAACAAAAGACTTTTATTTAAAATACATAAATAACTGTTAAAACTCAACAACAAAAATATAGGCAACCCAATTTTTTAAATGAGCCAAACAACTGAATAGACACTTCATGAAAGAATGTATATGGACAGCAGATAAGCATAATAAAACATGCTTAACATCATTTGTCATATAAGAAATAAAAGTTAAAATTAAAATGAGACACACCAAGCACGTATTATGTTCTTTTTAAATTTAAAAAGCTGATAACACCTCATTTGTTACTGGTGGGAAATTTAAAATAGCATAGCCACTTTGGAAGACAGCATGACTATTTCTTATAAAATTAAACACACACTTATAGATCAAGCTTTACTCTTCCTGGATATTTACCCAAGTGAACTGAAAATGTTTGTTCACACAAAAACCATATGTGAATGTTAATAACAGCTTTATTCATAAATTTCAAAACTGAAAACACCCAAGATGTTCTTCAAAAGGTGAATGGATGAACAGATCCTAGTGTACGAATAATATGCAGTATTAATCAGCAACACAAGGAGGCAATGGTTGATTTATGCAGCAACATAGAAGAGTCCTAATTGGAGTTTACTCAGTAAAATAATCCACACTCCTAAAGGTACAATTATTGTACGATTACATTTATGTGGGGCTTGGGAAAAGGTGGAACTGTAAGAATGGAAAACAGAGCAATGGTTGACAGTAGTGGAGGGAGTAGGATATGGTTTACTCTAACGGGCCACACAGGAGACTTGGGGGTTACAGAACTATTTTAGCATGACTTACTGACACGTGTGCACACATGGGTTGGTATACATGCATGCATTTCCTAACTCTACACACTTAGAGGGTCTAGAAGCAGTAACACCCCAGTAGCAATGAGCACACCCAGCATCCAGATCTTGGTTTCTGAATACCCTCCTCCAGTTAAAAAGAAACAAGGGTCTTTGGAGAAATGGTTAACTGTATGAATGGACCATGGAAAATTGCACAAGATGACTTAGCGTAGGTGATAATGCCAGAAGCAAAGAGGCACTAACAACAAGAGTTAGTGTGAACATGGCAGAAATTTGAATTAAGCTTGTAGTTTAATAATATTGTACCATTGTTAATTCCTTAGTTTTCACAAATATCCTGTGAACCCTGAAAATTTGAGACAGGTCTCAGTTGATCTAGAAAGTTCATTTTGCCAAGTTTGAGGATGCACCTGTGACAGCCTCAGGAAGTCCTGACGACACATGCCCAAGGTGGTCGGGGCACAGCTTGGTTTTACACATTTAGGGACACATGAGACATCAGTCAACATGTAAGAAGTACATTGTTCGGTCTGGAAAGGCGGGGAGGCTGGAAGCAGGGAGGGAGCTTCCAGGTCACAGATAGGTGAGACACAAATGGTTACATTCTTCTGAGTTTCTGATTAGCCTCTCCAAAGGAGGCAAATCAGATGTGCATCGATCTCAGTGAGCAGAGGAGTGACTTGGAGATCTCAGGAAATTCTGTCCTCCATTTGGACGACAGAATTTCCTGAGGTCTCCAAGTAGGACGAAGTTTTAAAACGGTGGTTAGCCTCAGCTGCCTCCTCCATGTTCCTGTGCAGGGTTCCCCTCTCTCAGCAGCAGGTAAGAAAGCTGAGCCCTCTCAGTGCTGGGAAGTCTACCCCTTCCTCCTGTCTGGCCACACGGTGAGGTCAGTAACACAGATGTGAAGAGCCCCTGACGTTCCACGGGCTCTGCAGCTGGCCTTCACTTGACCCCAGGTCCTTCTCCCTGCTGACACAGATGAAACTCCCTCCTTCACACTGAGGCCTGGTGTGTTGATATTGACTGCACAGAGAGATACGTGTCTGTTGGCTAATTTTGCCAATGGTCTCACCCAGCCCTGATTCTGTCTATAGTCCCTCTGCAGCCACTCACTGTCCAACCCCAGCTCCACAGCAAACATCCACCTTTCCTTGTCCACCTCACCTTCATCTATCATTCTCTCTACTAAAACTTGAGCAAGAACAGACAGGTATTCAAAGACCTCTGGGGTGGCGGGGGAGAGAGAGAGAGAGAGAGGCAGAGACTGAAATAGAGAGACAGAAAGACAGAGAGACACAAACACAGAGTAAGAGAGACAGACAGAGGGAAGTGGTGATGGGCAGGCCTCACTGCAGCCGTAGCCACTTCCTTTCCCCAGGGCTGAGTGACCTGCCCTCACCCTCAGCTCAGTACCTCCCACTGTTCCATGATTCAGTCTGATCTGAGACAAAGGGGGTTTGCGTTTTTTTAAAGCAATTTTTTTCTCATGACGAAAGCAACAGATTGTCATTGTAGAATATATATTCAGTGCAGATAAGCAAAAAAAAGTATAAATCATACATAATACCATAACCAAGAAACCATCATTTTGGCACTCCTAGCTTATCAACTTTTCCAGAAGATGCCCTAAGAATAAAATTCCCACATTCAAATATGATGGAGAGACATGGTGCATGCTGGGGTCTTGGGGAGGCCCTGGGTAGGGACCCACTGGTCTGCACTCTCACAGAACCTCACTTATAATTCATTTTAACAAAACACACGTATGTATAAATAAACACACACATATATACATATATACCATATTTTAACCAACTAGATAATGCTCCATCACAGGCTCATTAACTGGTCAGAGCAGAGGGTCTTTGTGTGATGGCACCGCGAAAACCTTACCCGATGAGGGAAGACACCCCTGCCCCCTGAAGCACACACATGAACACACACACACACACACACACACACGCACACATACACACACACACACACACACACACACACACACACACACACAAGAGAGGCATTAACAGAAGACAGGGCTTTCCATTCCAGGTAGGTACAAAGAAGATATGTTGATAACACATTATAAGGGTGTCCCAGAGCCCTCCTCATTAGATGCTGCAACACTGAGAACAGAGTTTCTGCTTCCTGTCTCTCGAGATTGTTTTGCTTATTTCCTGGGGATTTCGCTAGTTATGATTATAGTCAAAGGATCAGAGAGTTGAAATGGTGCTCAAAGATTGTCATTTTAGGCCATGCATTTTCAATGAGAGAAATTGGTTGTTGGAGGAGATGAAAAATTTTAGATATTACAACGGATTGGGTCTCTCTAAAGGGCCACAGTACATAGACAGATACATAATATATATCAGTGGTTTAAAATTTTATGAGGAGAGCAGTAGAAGTAATTAGGAAAATATAGGCCTAAAAAGGCTCTTTAGGGCAGTGATTATAAAAGAAAAATAAAAAGGTTAAGAAACACCCTTCTAGACCACTAGCTCTAAATGTTATATGCAATCAGAATTTCCTGGAGACATTGATAAAATGCAGATATATGAGTTTATGCCTACAGATTCTGATGAATTAATCTAAAGTATGGCCTGGGTATCAATTATTTTTAAACATTGCCAGTGATTCTGAAACCCATCCAAGGCTGAGAACCATTGGTCTAGATTTTTGCTGTGGACAATGTGGTAACTGGACCAGCAGCAGCAACAGCCACTGGGAGTTTGTCATAAGTTTTAGATGTAAACCCCACTCTGTGCCTGCTGAATCAGAATATGCATTTAAAGACGATTGTCAGGTGATTCATATGTACGGGATATGTTGAGAGCATTGAAGTGGACCATGGTTATGAACCTGTTTGACCACCAAAATCACCAATAACCTAACTATACAGCAGCCATAGCCCACTCCAGAGCCCTCACACCAGAATCGCTGGTCTTGGGGGTGATGGCTCCGCTGCTTCTACACATTTCCATACATGATTCTGATGCAGAGTGCTGGATAAAATCTAAGGACTGGATCCAAAAACACAATAGTAATCAGAAGAGAAATAAAATGACTTATCCAGGAGTTTTAGCCACCTCCTATTCTCCCGATTGTTGAGGGAGGAATTATGGCTGTGGTTACAGGTGTGGCCAAACATATGTGGCCTAGCAGTGGACAGATGAGACTGACAGCCATTGACTAGTAACACATACTCACAGCCAGGCAGGAGGACACACGACCCATGCAGGGCCACATGGGGGTTGTACATAGTGAACAAGGAGGGAGGCAGGCTTTGTAGTAGCAAGAGGGTGGGGTGCCCTTGATTCCTGTAGGAAAGTGCGACTGGCTTGTTCAAATAATGCTGTGGGCTGGCAGGGAATTAAATACTGCTACTCAGGAGTATGCAAGGACTGCTAATTGGTCTTCCTGATAAGGTGGGTTGTTTAACTAGGAGACCTTACCTGCATGAGCAGAGCAGGGTGGTGGTGGCAGGTGATATGGGCTCATGCTATGCAAGGCCCTCCCAGTTCCAGATGTCAAGGCAGGACATACTCTTTATTGAAACTTAATATCAGGCCTTACACTACCATTGGCCCCTTGATGCCCTGACATCAATTTAAACTCTGGTGTTTATAGATATCACAGGGCAAACCCCAAAGTTGGGGTTCAGCCTGGGAGGCCACATGGGTTCTTGGCTTCACACAGGAAGGAATTAAAGAGTGAGCCAACCGTAAAGTGAAAGCAGGTTTATTAAGAAAGTAAAAAATAAAAGGATGGCTACTCCATAGGCAGAGCAGCCCTGAGGGCAGCTAGTTGGCTATTTTTATGGTTATTTCTTGATCATATGCTAAACAAGGGGTGAATTATTCATGAATTTTCTGGGAAAAGGGTGGGCAATTTCCGGGACTGAAGGTTCTTTCCCCTTTTCAACCATATAAGGTAATGTTGCCATGTAGCCACAGCATTTGTAAATTGTCATGCACTGTTGGGAGTTTCCCGTAGCATGCTAATGTATTATAATTAGTGTATGATAAGCATAACCAGAGGTCGCTTTCCTTGACATCTTGGTTTTGGCAGGTTTGGACCCACTTCTTTACCACGTCTCATTTTACCAGCAGGCTCTTGGTGAACCTGCAAAACCAGTCCTGCTGAGCTCCTACCTCATTCAGGCTCCTGGAAAGTAGAAGTATCTCCCTAGGGAGTGAAATGGGTACTAGGCCAGGAGGGTGAGGGCCACATGTTGGGATAGTTGTCAAAAACATGAACCTTTGAGGTGTCTCCCATTATGGCCAATAAGGGAAATTGAGAGAACTGTGAGGCATTGGTGCAGTGAATGCTTGTCCCCAGGAAGCAGGAATGTGATTCGAGACTAGTCAATGCTCTTGGCAGTAGTGACACCCAGCAATAGACCCATTTGCTACTTTTTACCTTAATAGGAGTTCTTTGGAGAGTCCATTATGTCTCAGTTAAGCCAACTGTTCAGGGCCTGTAGGGGAGGTGAAAATTCCAACAAATGGCTTTTTCAAGAGTTCGGCGTTAGGCACTCTGAGGAGTGAAATGAGAGCCTTGGTCACTGCCAGTAAAGTGTAGAATTCCATGGGGATGAGAAGTGTCCTGGTGAGGCCTTGTTCTGCCACCCTTAGCATCTGTAGAGGCACCCATTATCTTCATTTATACTGTGGTATCTGTGATACAAGAGATCACAGTGTTCTTTACCCCAAAGGAAACAACTCTTAAGCAACGGGCCAAAAGTTTATAACTCAGAAACGGAACAGCCAAAGACTGGCAGATGGGCTTCTCAGTCTCAAGAGGGTGGAGAGTCCCTGGTTTCCAGGGAAGGACTATTTGGCTTGTCTGAGTAACTGTGCAGGCTGGCAGGGGGCCTAATGCCTCCTCTCAGGTATAAACAAAAACTGTGCCTAGTCCCTGTATAAGGAGGCCTGTTTGACTAGGAGGCCCTATTGACAGAGTCAGAGTGGGGCGGGAACTGCATTAGAATCTTCAAAGCTGCCATGGTTTCACCAAATGTCAAGGCAGCACATCATGTAGGGCTTTAGTTTTAGGCCTTATGCCACACCGAGATCAAACACAGGCCTAAAGATTGACACATTGAAAGTAGTGGCAAAGCTACAATTACTTTTGCTCCAGCCTAATACATTATGCTATTCTCCCACTGCCTGTCTCATAGCCTTGAAGTAGAAAGTCTCCTAGAACATATCGTCAGGCCAGATCCAGAGAAGACAGTGGAAAACACAGTGAATTCATAGTAGAAGTTGCCCACTATGTCAGGTTAACTATATATTCGATTAGAGCCCTGCAATGTTTCCTCGTTGAGGTAAATTACACTAATGCTTTTATTGGTTGTTTGTTTACTGAGGTAAAATTCATACTACATAAAGAACAATTTTAAAGTGTTAAATTCAATGATGTTTAGCACATTTGCAAGGTTGTGCCATCATACCTTTGTCTAGTTCCAAAATATTTTCATGGTCTTTTTAAAAGAGAAGTCCTTTACCCTTAAATACTCACTTTCCATTTTTCCTTCCTTCCCAGACATCAGCAACCACTAATTAGTTCTCTGTACAGATTTAACTGTTCTAGATATTTTAGATAAATGAAATAATACAGTACTTGATTTTTTTGGTCTAATTTTCTGCACATTAGGCTCAAATAATGAACACATGATGAAAATTACGCTAAGTGAAAAGTTGTAGCATGTATCAAATACTTCATTACTTTTTGTGGCTGAATAATATTCCATTATATGAATAAACCAGATTTGTTTATACATTCATGCATTTTATTTTATGTTATTTTATTGAAATCTCTCTCTGTTATCTGGGCTGGAATGCCCTGGCACAATCATAGCTCTCTGGAGCCTTGAACTCCTGGGCTCTAGCAATCCTCCCCTCTCAGGCTCCTGAGTAGCTGGGGCTATAGGTGTGTGCCACCATGCCCAGATAATTTTAAAACATTTTTGTAGATATGAGATTTTGCTATGTTTTCCACACTAGTGTCAAACACCTGGCCTCAAGCAACCCTCCTGCCTTGGCTTCTCAGAGTTCTGGAATTACAAGTATGAGCTACTGTGCCCAGCCCCATTCATGCATTTTAATCAAAGTTTGTAAGTAGCATTTCTAAATGGCAGAATACACAGAAGGCCCCTCACTTCAGCAGGAGGGGGAGGTCAGAGCATGCAGAGTCTCCAATTTTTACCAACACTGCACTCTAACCAAAGAAGGTAGCAGCCTGGGCATGGTTATGTGGGCAAATGAATACTTTGCCTCTCATCTCTGTCCTCGGCACCATCATCCTTTCTGACCCACCCCTAAACCTGAAGAAACTCAGTTTTTCGGAGATGTTCAAAACCTATTCTCTAACCTTCATTGTGGATCTCCTCACCCCAGAAAGTTTTCTAGGCCTTGGTCTGAGGGCTGAGGTCCAGCTGGGCTTTTTAATCAGCAGATTTTTTCTGGAGGCCCTGATTGCTATATTGAAATTCTCTTCATCCACAGCCAGAGAAAACAATGAGTCAAACAATGAGTCTTGCTCAGAATCAGTTATTTTGAACTGTTCATTGACATTCTCATGAAAACATCCCTCAGCCCGGCCCACTTCTCCCAGAAATGCACCCCAATATCTTCAAGGCACTGGAGCTTTTCCACTCAGGTGACAGACCTGTTCCACTCTTTGGGTCCATTGGAGGGAGGCAGATGATGGAAGAGAGAAGGGAGCATCATGCCAGTTATTACTTTAAGAGACACTTAATGAGACTGTTGCATGAGTGATGGGCTGTACAAAACAAGATGTTTAAAGCTATTTGGATTTCAATTGAAAGTGTGAAAAATACGTGTTTTGTGAGAGGTGTTGTTGCCTGATGTGAAAATGTAAGATGTTTTCCTACTCAGACTAAACATATAAATGGATGAAGAAAGGCTCTAATAAGGTTATGCACGTTGAAGTGATTTTTGTCATGGAGCTATGTGCAGATGTTGTATGTAGGAGTGGACAGTGATATTATTGGTATCACTCCAGTCTATAGAGCTTATACACAGTGTTTTAAATCCATTTATAAATATATCAAACAAAATGCATCTTGTGTCAGGAGGTAGAAGGTAATGCTTCTTTATATTTACAGTTAAATCTGAAGTATAGAGAAGGCAAAAATCTTCCATTTCTTACCAAATCAGGATAAAAAACAAGGGATCCTAAATCCTGACGTGGTGAGTTTCTATTTTGCATTGCTTTGCCTGAATAGGTGACTTAGCTTGTTTTTAAAATAGAAGCAACTTGGAATGGAAAATGGCCTTTCTTTGAAAACATACATATTTTATAGAAAAGCAGATATGGATTCAGAAAACAAGCCAGAAATCTTACAGTGGAAAGTATGTATGTGTGTGTGGTGGAGAAGGAGGTAGGGGAGAATAAAATTTGTATTTAATGAACCAGGTTTTATTCCTATTCTATCACCATGGCAGTCAATGTACTTAGCTCACTAATTAGGCGATCGCAAACACTTTTTTTATTTACTTTACTATAGGGCCTGGAAAACTCAATACTATTTTCCTAAGCCTTTTTGACAGTAGGGGTAGTGATATGTCATTTTTCAGACTAATTAATTATATGTGATTACTGTGGGGGAAGTCTAGAACATTTATTTTCTTTCCAAATAGAAGAAACAGTTGAAACTAATGAAATTTTTTTATTTTTCTGCTTTGATTACAGATATAATTTTGAGTTGGACGTGCCATGTTGTTCATGGCAAAGTCATAAGCATAAAACAAAGGCCAACAGAACAAAGAAAGACCATCACTCCATCACTCACACCAGCTAGCTCTAAAATAACACCATCAGCTGCCTATCCCTAGGTTATGCATTTTGAGAAAATACTACCTCCTAATTTACAGCTGTATGTATGTTGAAATTCTAGAGCCGATTACATAATTTGCAAATTGGACTTGCAACTAAATTTCTCAGATATGGTGTTAAAATGGGAAAGAGTCCATTTCAGAGAGCCCAATAGAGTTGACAGGATAATTAGCTAAGAAATGTGCACAAGGTCGTGGCTGAGGCTGATATAGAGGAGACCTTTCTCTACCTTCTTCTCCATCACCAATACCTCCTCCTCCTTCCTGGGATACTGTCATACCCATAGCATTGCTAAATGTAGCAAAAAATTCTTTCCTGGGCAGATCTCAAGGTTAGGCATAGATTTGCACTTGGGCTGGATGAATGAGTGAAAGACAAATAGACTTTCAAGTTCCAAATAAGAAAAATGAATTGGATATTTGCCTGTAGAACTCATCAATCATATTTTCCTAGACTCTTCCTTCACCTTAATTATTCTGGCACCCTGCTTAGGTCTTTCACCTGAGCACTTAACTGAAGAATACTTTAAAGCTCAGCTGGGTGCCACCAACCCTCCTCAGGTTGTGTGTGCATGTGAAAATATGTATATGCCTGCTAAAGCTTAATTTTTTTCTTTTTCTAGAAGTATTTATATTTGAATAGGAGATTCCTGAAGCTATAAGGCCTTTAAAGTGTGACAGAGCAGATATTTTGTAGATATGGTTTCCAGTATTCTGACGGATGGTAAATGACGCCATTTATATGTCTTACTTTACAGGAAGTAAAAGAAAGGCAGATACTCTGCATGCATTTTCAATGTGCTTGAGCTAATAAGAAGCAGTATTTAAGTAAGAAACCAGCTTGTGTACTCTTGTCTTTAATGCAGGTGTAGTGATTCATTAACAGCCTTGATTATGAAGATTTTAAGTGATGCTGATGGCCTAAACTTTTATGATTTTTGCCTTGATTATTTATAGGTTATAAAGAGAACAGGCTCTTTGAAGCAGAAAAAAACACTGCTTCCAAGAGCCAAGACTCATTTGCTGATTTTTCAAGGCTAATCATTTAACTCTTGCTTAATTACATACCAGGGTCAGGAAGAGAGCCGTTTTCAGCACTGGACAGCGACAAGCAGGGCTAGCTACGTAGCACCTCAGTGAAGAAAGATCTAAGTCTAGAGAGAAAAACTGAGTTTACTCAGGTTGGAGAAAAGAGAAAACAAGATTAAAACAAGAGTGGATCTTTAAAAATAAATATTATTAACTTTTTTTTTTTTTTTGAGACGGAGTCTGGCTCTGTCGCCCAGGCTGGAGTGCGGTGGCGCGATCTCGGCTCACTGCAAGCTCCGCCTCCCGGGTTCACGCCATTCTCCTGCCTCAGCCTCCCGAGTAGCTGGGATTACAGGCGCCCGCCACCATGCCCGGCTAATTTTTTTTTTTTTTTTGTATTTTTAGTAGAGACGGGGTTTCACTGTGTTAGCCAGGATGGTCTCGATCTCCTGACCTCGTGATCCGCCGGTCTCGGCCTCCCAAAGTGCTGGGATTAAAGGCGTGAGCCACGGCGCCCGGCCTATTAACTTTTTTTCTTTAGCAATTGAGTAGGAATTTTCTTGTTTTAATGTAAATCAATTATTTTCAGCTATGTCACCACCATAAAATCAAAGCTAGAGTGCACAGATTTCATGCCCTCAGCTTTTTTCTTGATTCTTTCCATGGTTTTTTATGGAATTGAAGCTAACCCCTTTTGTCTCTTCTCCTCCCCCAGTGCAATGGAAGCACTAGTCTCAGGTAGGAAATCTCACCCAAGTGGAGAAAAGTGGAGCCCCAGAAAGGGGTGGTGTGTGCTGTATCTCACCATTTTCTTAAGTGTTTCCTCCCACTGCTGATCAAACCCTAATTATTGTTGAGACCGTGTGTGTGCCTTTCTCTAAGTATATTTATTCTGATGTGAAGTCATTTCTAGGAGCATAGCTGATATCGTTGAAACTGTTTGCTGAGTGCATTATCTTTTTTTTGCAAAGCATTATGACAGTCTCTATCCAAATCAGCATTTTGCCTGATTCCATTAAGCAGTGGCCTAGGAAAAACAAAACAGGAAGCTCAGGCATGCTTATGCATGCTGGCACATGCTTGTGTGTATATATACAAACATAGTATACATATATTTATATATTAGATGCCATGACATCTAGAAGGGATGTAACCCAGGGATTGGCTGGCTATTGATGTACATATAATCAGGAATATTTTGATCTGTTAAGTTTATTTATATCTTAACTTTTTCCATTTTTACAATAAAATCATTTACATGAAGGTTGATACTGAAAAAGGAAATGAATATAATGAGTATCAGAACTAAAGAAACGAACAGGCAGTGTCGCGCATCAGCTTAGCTGAGAAATATATCCTTGCTGTAATTAAACATCAAACTTGTCTCTGAACTTCCTCAATAGAAGCAAGTGCCAGAGGCTCTGCTCGCAGTGCCCCTCTGAGGGGCTTGCAGTCGCTGTCTGTGTGGAGGATTTGGGCACTTCAACATGGAGAGCCGCTCCTTCCTCCACTGCCCTGCCCAGGAGTGACAAGAACTTGCTTACGGCAGACTGTAGTGAGCAAAACTGAATCGCAAGGACAAAGAGCCCAACACATTTTCCTGAAGTTTAACTGTTTTCTAGAGAATAAAAGCAGGAAAGAACAGTTTTAGATTTGAGTATTTTCAGATTAAAAATACTTTGTTATGAGTGGTGACATAGGGAGAATAGTGCTTTACCGAATACTCCTTATCTGTTATCTCTTCATCAGGCATTATTTATATGATATATGATATCAACTCTTCCCAACAAGCCTAAAGAAATTCCACTATCATCACAGAGCAAAGAAAACTGAGTCTCTAGAAAGGCTGAAGAATTTGCTGACGGTCACCCAAGTAGTAAGAACCAGAGCCGGGATTTAAACTCAGATCCAATCAAATTCCTACAGTTTCATTTATTGAAGTGCAGAGCATTGTGTGTGCCGTAACGATGGGGCATAGTCTCACTGCTGATGGTGGCACAGGCATCTGGGATATCACGTAGAGATCCAACCCGTGTGCCGTAGCAATGGGGCTTAGTCTCACTGCTGATGGTGGCACAGGCATCTGGGATATCACGTAGAGATCCAACCCGTGTGCCGTAACAATGGGGCTTAGTCTCACTGCTGATGGTGGCACAGGCATCTGGGGTATCACGTAGAGATCCAACCCCTGTAACATCAAGGCCTCATAGTCAAAAGAGAAGACTATGTGAGGCAGAGCCCGTTCAAACAGAGGTCTTGTAAGAGAAGTGCTGCAGGCCCAGGGAATCTGTTGTGTCCAGGGAATTTTAAACCCATACAAGGACAGCCTGGCTGTTCCATTTTCTACGAAGCTGGGGAATAGTACTGAGTTCCTCAGATCATTCTTCTCCTTACTCTTTCCCATAATTTCAGAATCATGCAAGAGTCAAGAGATTTCACACTTTCCAGCACCCACATCTTTATCTATATTTATATTTATATGTCTATATATCTATATCTACATTTACATCTATCCATATATCTCAGATCTATCTACATATCTACCTATCATCTAATCTATCTATTACCTATCTATCTCTTATCTATCTATCTGTCAGTCCTCTATCTATCATCGATCTATCTTAAATATGTTGAGAGATAGAGACACTTACTCTCCAGGTTCTCTGCAGAGCCCTGACTACTAAGGGAAGTTACCAAATACGATGAGGGACAGGACGCATATTTGTGAGGGCAGAGGAGCATCTTATTTCCCAAGTGGAGTGTGGAGCCCCACGGAGCTCTAAGTGAGCCAGTGTTTCAAACCTCCCCAATGCGCTGTGTTCAACGGCTCCCAAGGAGGCATTGTCTCTACGTCTGGCCTGCACTACCACAACAAGGCCTGAGGCTTTGCATCAGAAAGGGCGTCCAAACCAGGAAGGCTGCGAAAGGAAAAGGGAGATGCCTTTTCTTGGGATTGCTGGGATTAAACCAGCTTAGAATCTGGATTTAAGTATAAAGGCCACATGGCTGCTCTCTCTGCAAGGTTTGAATTTGCTCCAAACTGAGAAGTGGACGTGCCTCCCGGAGCAGGTTTATCTTGAAAAGGAGAAACAACTGGGGTTAAGCTGAGTCTCTCAGGAGGCCAAGAGTACTTCCTTTCTGGGTGGGGCTTGTGTTGTGTTGGCCCCCAGGCAGGGGTTCAAATGGCATCTCACTTCCCCATCTCTCCAGCGTGTGGGCTGGCATCCACGGTCCTTCCTGCTTCTCTGCTCATCATGGGGAATTGACTCAATTCAGAACATTGGCCAGTAATTGTCTCAGAAGGTGACAAGGGCAGCCTGTGCAGTGGCTCAGGAAATGGGAAGAGGCCTCATTTCCTGCATTTGGATGGATGGACTCAGCCTGAATTCTGTTTGGAGTGGAGTTTGACAGATGCTTATAATAACTGTCTCTTACACTACACAAAATCAGCAACTGTCTGTGCAGGAGACTGGCTGTGTTCCATTTGCTAGAAAAGAAGCCAGAGAAAATAGCCCTAAAAATCAGCATGGAGGGTTTGGATTAGCCAGTTGAGGTCTTTTCTGATGTGGGTAGACCGGGAAAGCCTTTTTCAGGAAGAGGGAGCACCTCCTGCTTGGTGCCTCCGGAGTTTGTCACACCTGATATTATAAAAGGTCTTGTCGGAAAGGACCAGGAATGAAGCTCCCATGCAGCGCATGGCAGGCACATCCTGGATCCATGCAAGGTGATTTATGTGTGGTCACTTTCCTGCATCTGGCAACAACCCTGAGAGACGATGCAGGTGATAACCTCCGAGATGACTGCACAAGCTCGCATAATCATACACACAGAAAGATTAATGGTTCACACTCACAGGGCCCTTGTGATTTGCCAGGAAATTCTCTAAGCAGGAATGGGCAGGACAGAAGTGTTGACCTTCAAGCCCAAGTGAGAGCTGCTACTTATCTTTCCCTGAACCCAGTGCCCCCCTACTGGATGTATGCCTTGGACAGAAAATAAAATCTGCAGGTGAACTGAAAGTTAGTTCCAAACAGCCCTACCTAGGGACCCCTCTCCTTGGCAAACAGAAAAAGGAATACTTCTCCTTGTTCTGCAAGAACATCCCTTGTCCTTCGGTGAGACACTCAGAGACCAGCAGGCAGGAGGTGAGGCCAGTGTCTCCAGCCCAAGCAGCAGGAGTGAGTGTTGACAGTCTGGGGTTGAGGAGCAGTACACATGCATCGGTTGGAGCTGCTTTCAGCAGCTGATGAAATAATCACTGGCCAACAGTAACTTAGACAAATAGCACTTTCTATTTTTCACATAATGAAAAATCAGAAGGTAAGTGACAGCTCAGTGGTGTCAGACCTAAATATCTGCAGTTCCTATGACTTCTTCCACTTTGCTTGTCATATGGTTGCCAGAGCCCTGGACATTACATCCTCATTCAAGGCAGAGAGAAGTTGAGGGAGGAGGAGGGTTTTTTCTTTATCAAAAAGGCAAATGTTCCCTGGCATCTCATGACTAAGGGTTGGGTCGCATGGTGAAACTGAGCTGTAAGGCTGAGTGGGTCACTCCCTAGGCTTCGTAGTGGAAAGTCACTAGAGGGAGAGGAGGCTGAGAATAGACACTGGTCAGTCAACTAGGAAACCTAGAGACTCTCAGGAAAGTGCCAAGAAAATAAATTTTACAAAGGGATGAGCTCCTGTTAGCTAAGGGAAGATAGGAGGGGAAAGTTGAGTTATCTCAATTTAGACATGAATGTGACCTTACTTGCCTCCCCTCTGCTACAGAGACTTTGGGCTCTTTCCAAAAAGCCAGTTCTCATCTTCCTTAAGGGTGAGCTCTTCCAATGCACTAAAAGGGACAGCCCATCCCTGCCTCCCTTCCCTCATTTCTTCCTACTCATTGATGCACCCATGCTAAAATCACCTTCTCCTGGCAGGCAGGGCTCTGCATCAGCCCACTGGTTGGTCTTCTTGTGTCTAGACTTGTCCACATGAGCCTGCCCTCTGTATGATATCCAACTGGATCTCACTGAAATGCAAATTTGACCGTGTTACCCTGGTGCTTCAAATCCCTCAATGCCCCACCCTGATCTCCTTGAGGGCAAAGTCTAAGCTCACAGGCACAGTGCACATGCCCCCTGGACAAGGTCTCCCCGATACCCACTTTCCCTCCAGTCTTGGCACTCACCATGGCACAGGCTCCCTTCATGCCGCAGATCTGCATGTTGTTTTGCAAACACCCATGCAGGCAGGACCATGCTGAGAGCCAGGATCTGGTGTTGGCCCAGCTGGGTTTGAAACCTAGCCCTGTCTTACTAGCAAGATGAGTGAGGGCAAGTATTCTACCTCTCTGTGCTGTAGGTTTTGCAACTCTTACCAGGAGACAATGTTTTCTCCATAGGCTGTTTTAAGGATTAAATGTGTTTAGTCACCTAAGGCAGCAGTCCCCAACCGTTTTGGCACTAGGGACCGGTTTCATGGAAGACAATTTTTCCATGGACAGGAGGGTGTTTTTGGATGAAACTTTTCCACCTCAGATCATCAGGCATTCATTCTCAAAATAATCACATAGCCTAGATCCCTCACATGTGCAGTCACTCCTATGAGAATCTAATGCCGTGGCCGACTTGACAGGAGGCTGACCTCAGGTCTAATGCTCGCTTACCCGCAGGTCACCTCCTGCTGTGCGGCCCAGTTCTTAACAGGCCTCTGACCAGTACCAGTCTGCAGCCCAGAGTTGGGGACCCCTAACCTAAGGCACTTAGAGAAAGCATGGCAAGTTTTCATTGGCAAGCACCCCCTGTGGCTGACACCTTTCTGCACTGCAGGCCCTGGCTAACAAGGCTGAAGAGTGCATTTGGGCTCAGTTGGACCAGGACTTGAATCCCAGGAGCACCTGGTACCAATAAAGTAATATTGAGCTTCAGTGTCATCAGCCATAAAATGTGAATAATAATAATTCCCATCTCATGGGGTGGTGGTGGGAATAAAATGAGAACATGTATTTAAGCACTCAGCATGGTGCCTGGCTCACAGCAAGGACTCAATAAACATTAACTGTCCCATTCCTATCAATGCCATGGGGACTCCACTCACGTGCCTTTTTCAGGAGGATTTCCCTCTCTGCAATGGCTGCTTCCCTTTGCCTGTGCTGAGAGAGCCCTCTAGTGCAGCCCTTGTCACATTCCAATGGAAATGGGCTGCCCGTTCCTCTCTCCTACCAGAGCGAGACCCTAAATACTCCCAGCGCAGAGACCTGAATCTTCTATCGTGGTGGATTTGGCCATATCTTGTGTCATAAAATAGGTGTTCTGCTGAACCAAAAGGAATTTCTCCATTAAGAGCAACTTAATTAAATCTTCTGATCAAGTGAGGTTCTTCATATTACAAGGTAGAAATGTCAGGAAAAAAAAAACCTTAGTGATGCCTCTGTCTCTTTGCTTACAGACCTTAAAACAACCAAACAAGCAAACAACAACAACAAAAAAACCCAGAAAGTTGTTTGGCATAAGAGAATGGACAGAATTCTGTGTAATTCTTAGAATCAATGCCAATTAATAGACTGTGACTGTGCTGAGAAATCATATGTAAAACACACTTACAAAGGGTTTTAGAATTTACTTGAAAATTGCCCAACTGTTTTAGTTGGTTTTTGGAAAACCACCACATAGAGTTAGTGAAAATCTGGAACTATCTTTTTTTTTTTTACAAACACAACATAATATTTATACTGAAATGCATTTTCCTTCAAAAGCCTTCTCCCTATGAAGGCCGCTCTTATAATCATGTGGGAACCAGCCCCTTTGGCACTGCCTTCAGCAGCACATTTGGTCTTGTCTTCAGGCACAGTTTAACTTTTTATGGGGTGTTTGATTTTGGGAAATAATCAAAATCTTCTGGTGCCAAATCAGACAAGGTAAGGAATCAGGATGCCAGACAGACAAGATGAAGGGCCAGATGTGGCCACAGAGTGATGGGGCTGGGTTCTGTGTGCAGTTCTTAAAACAGATATGGGAGGCTTGTGTGAAAGAAAGTCTGGGATGACTGGTTGAGTAGGGAAGGAGATTGACTGCAGATGTACTGAGTCAGAAGCCTGGACCTGCCATCCATGAGCTGTATGACTTTAGGAAGCCCCATTTCTTCATCTTAACAGTGGGAATAACATCACCCTCCTGCAGCATCATATCATGAGTTAGAAATAAACATGTATACATGTGTAGCATGTCTTGGTGCTAAACACAAGTAATTATTAATTTAAAAAAGTTATGAGTGGCACCATTGGAATTAAGTATATAATCTTCCAAAAGGGTGATTCTTAAAGATAGCATGTACCTAGCTATAACATTCATTTATTCATCGACTCTATTTTTCAACAAATGTACATTGAGTACTTATTTCAGACCTAGTACTGTTTTAGGTTAGGATATAATAAAATTATGAAACTAACAAATCCTTTGTCCTTCTATAAACAAAATAATATAAAATAGTGTATCAACAAAATGATATTAACAAACCTAAAATATAATAAGGAGAATTAAGAAGAACAGTAAGAGAGCTGCTATTTTTATATAGGGTGGTCAGGGAAAGCCTCCTTAGGCAAGGAAAACCTGAGCACATTCAGGGAACAAGCAGAGACGAACCATGTGGACCTCTGGAAGAAGAGAGTTTCAGGTTAAGAAAAGAATGGGGACAAAAGTTTTGAATATGTTGTGTTGTAATAAATGGATGGATGCATGAATAGATGGATGCATGAATAGATGAATGCATGGTTGGATGGATAGATGAATGGATGGATGGATGGATGGATGGATGGATGGATGGATGCATGGATGAATGGATGGATGGACGGATGGATGCATGGATGGATGGATGGATGGATAGATGGATGCATGGATGGATGCATGAATGGATGAATAGATTCATGGATAGATTTATGGATGGATGGATGGATGGATGGATGGATGGATGGATGGATGGTTGGAGGCATGGATGGTTGGAGGCATGGATGGATGCGTGCATGGATGCACAAATGAATAGATCCACAGATGGATGGATGCATGCATCGATGGATGGATGGATGGTTGGAGACATGGGTGGTTGAGGCATGGATGAATGAATGAATAGATGGATAGATCAATGGATGGGTACATGGATGAATGGATGCATAGATGGATGGAGGGATCATGAATGAGGAGTTAGAGAGACAGAAAAATTATTTAAAGGAAGGGGATCACACCGTGTATGCACACCCTAAAAGGGCTGGTTCTGCACTCAGGTGCTCTCTGGGACTGTGGAATGCTAGACCACGCTGCACTGTTTCTGCTGCCTCAAATGGAATGAATTTACTATAGGGCAGTTGCTAATTCTCATCACTGTTCTCCAAAACAGTGGACATGACAAATCTTCTCATTTTTTTAAGTCTCACACATTTCACTGTGTGGAGGACCAGCAATCTAAATGTCAATGTCCTAGTGGCCACACTTTTCTAGTATTTCCAATGTGCTTCTCCAAGCCCCAAAGGATCAAGGCTTGAAAGAGGCATTCACCTCACTTGGTCATCCAGCTCTAGAGACGATGAAGACGGTCCCAGCCCACCTCCCACTCAGATGGCAAGCCACTTGTCTAGAGAGCACAGGGAAGTGTTGGAGAGAAGAACATATTCTGTAACCACAACCAATGAAACCACACAATAGCACAACAGGGCCTGCACTGAAGACAAAAGTAACTGTTGACTTGGCATTTATTTCTATTTAAGCATTTGGAAAACACAGACCCCAAAGGAAGCACCCGTGTGCGAGTTAGGAACATAAATTTGATTTATTTATTTATCTTGAGATAGGGTCTTTCTCTGTTGCCCCGGCTGGAGTGCAGTGGTGCAATCTTCCACACCCGGCTAATTTTTGTATTTTTTGTAGAGACAGGGTTTCACCATATTTCCCAGGCTGGTCTCGAACTCCTGACCTCAAGCCATCCACCGGCCTCGGCCTTACAAAGTGCTGGGATTACAGTCATGAGCCACCGCGTCCAACCTCAAATGTCTTTTAGAGCAGGAACTGGCAGTGGTGTGGAAGCCAGGGAAGCATGTGGAGGCTGTGAGAACTGCAGGGGTGGGTGCAATATGGACTTTGGGTGTCAGGACCCTGCTATGGTGCAGAACTGACAAGCGGCCGACACTCAGCAAATGGCCAGGAAGGCTCCCTGCAGTGTCACAGCCAGGCATTCTGAGCTCCAGGAATACAGAGGTACAGAGACGTGTGGGGGAAGCAAAGAAGAGCAGCTGCTAGAGCATTCGTTCTGCCTCCACACCTCACCCGCAAATCCAGCCTGTGGGTTTGGTATCGTCTGGGGCCACGGGCTGGGGTGGACCTGGCGATAAATATCTCCCCTGCCTTTTCCAGAGATGTAACTGGAACAGGTGTTGGATGTGCTCTGTGAAATTTACATGACCACCCCTATCCGTCCCTAACAATCCCCTCAGAGAGTTATTGCATCATTGGATAACGAGTCTCTGACCTCACTTGGCTCGCAGTGTAGACCTCTTGGCTCACTGCCAGGAGGAAGGAACAGGGTGCTGAAGGGAGTGCACTGGCACCAGAGGCCCAGTACTGAGCACAGCAGACAGAAGGAGGAACCCGACCATGCCACCGGGGCCGACAAGGGACTCATGGAAGCTGCTTCTTGGCCCTCCCTCCTGGGTGAGGATCTCGAACCCTCAGATGGGCTCTGGCCTGTGCCTGCAGGCCTCCCTCTGTGACGTCTGTAGGACCTACACCCCACCCTGCAGGGGTTGCCCCTGGACTTCCATAGCTGGGTCTCAGGAGTGGGAAGTGGAGTCACCAGCTTGCAGCCATCTGGGAAGTGTTCCTATTGAGGGGTGGCGTGCAAGAGAGCCATCCCCTTCAGCTGTGGAAACTGAGGCACAGGAGACTAATGTTGTCAGGTTCCAGTGAGCATCTGTTGTACTTTGCAGTAGCAGACAAATGGGGTATCCACTGAGGAGAATTTTGGAACAGCCAGTGGCTTGGTTATTAAGGGGTGTGGGTGAGTTGGACTGGGGGCTGTTGCTTTATGTGACCCCAGCAACACCTTAGCAGAACCCGGCTGGGCCACTTTTCTCCATGAAGCTGCTCGCACAGCACAGGCCTTAGAGGGGGCACAGTGTAGTTTCAGCTGCCCATTCAAGAAGGACCCCCTGCTGCGGGCCTGAGGAGCCTGGAGAACAAACCTCCGGAATGTACCCCACTTCCTGGCTCATGGCCTGCTCAGCCCCCGCCCCTCCCACCCCCGGCACTGGTGGCTGGGTTCGGCTTCTCCATCTTGGATGTGGTGCCTCTCTCCACTCACCTTGCCAATGACAGAGTGATCGTCCTAAAGCCCAGCACTGGCCTTGCCACTGTGCCCAGAACCCACCATGTCCTCCACTGTCCAAAGCCATTCAGGCCCCTTCCAGTCTGTTCCAATTGCATCCCTTCTTCCCCAGACCACAGCCAGAGCCCAAGCCTTACTTTCCCAATGCCTGATGGGAACGCCCACCCACTGCCAGGCTGAACAGGGGCCATGTACTCTGGTCTATTCTGGGTTGTCCCCACAACTTTATTTTGCATTTCCTCATCACCACTGCCAAACCCCCAAACTCTCCGTTTCATATTCTTAGGTAACCATAAAGTGCAATCTTTCCTAGATGGTTCTGATATAATTGTTAATAGCATCCTTTTCATTCACAAAAATGTCCAACTTAGGCAACAGATTCTATGGGCGTTCTACAGACACACCCTTGGCCAGTGGCCCCCTCAGGCCGGTGAGCAAAGGGGAGCCCTGCTCTGTGTCCTACCCCACTCCCAAGGCCCAGCTGAGTGCCTTCCCTATCACTCCCTTCGCCGCCCACAGCTGTGATCTCCCCATTGATGACCCCATGGTGCTGGGTGGCAGGGGTGAGAGCACATGGTTGATCGTTCTTCTGAAGTGCATGTGAAAGGCTGTGTAAGATTATGGAGCATCTTTCTGGGTCCCACCCTATTTTCCAAGAATCAGTCACCAAAAAAAGTGCTCTGTGGCCACTCAACCAGGCCAGGAGGCCCCAGGTCCAAACAGGGCCTTCAGCTGAGGGCAGGCATGGCTTCAGTCATCAGGCCCTTCCTAGGCTGCAAGATCGGACAATGTCACAGAGCTAGGGCAATGTCCACCCCAGCTCCTCATGGTCCACCAGAGCAAGTGTCTCCAAGCCTGTGGATGCTGCTGAAAGTCCCAACCTTTCTGTCTGCTCCTGAAGGCAGGCAGGGCCAGGGCAGCCTTGCCGATGCACCGGGGGCAGAGCTGAGGCAGGCATTTGGGCTTGATTAAGCCCCAGACCTGCAGAGTCCCACCCAGTGCTCTGTGATTCTCTAGAGGGATCCTGAAGGAGCCAATGGTGGCATCAGAACTGCCCAGGTCCTTCAGGCCACAATGAACCTTTGGAAGCCTTACAGGCTGCTTGTTGTGCTGGAGTCAGACGAGGTGCTGGCATCTAGGGATGGGAAAAGAGAAGCGAAAGAGGACAGTTTTCAGTACTGGTTCACTGCCTTCCTGGTTTGCCCGGGACCCAGTACTCTCCCCAGCTCCACCTCCGCAAAGGTCACTCACTGCATTTCTGTCCAAGAGGCTTTTGCCACAGGCTTTAGTTTTCACTGAGGGCTTATTCCCAAAAAGAGAATCTCAAATGCCTGGGGAGGCAGCTATGGGAGAGAAGCACTTGCCAAAGACTGCTCAAGTCTCCCTAACGGCCCTTGAGCCTAGACATAAGAAGGCCAGGCTGCTGGGTGAGTCAGCCCTACCTGTGGCAGATGCCAATGGCTCCTCTGTGCCCAGGAGACCTGGGCAGTAGGAGGGAGGTCTCCCACCAGCTCCCACCCCAGGCTTATGTCCCAGACAAGACAGGAGGCAATGAAACTGCCTGGGTGTGACTCCTGCCAGCCTCTTCCTCAGGAAGGGGAATTTAGCAGGCTTGGATCTGGCAGAAAATGACTTCCCAGGCTCCTTGCACACCTTTCCCTCCACACAGGAAGCCCAAGTGGAGCTGGGAACTGAGGCAGAGACAGGTCTGGTGGGCCACGCTGGGAGCCACAGCCCTTATCCCCAGGGCTGCAGTGTGGGGGTCTAGGTCCTGGAGCAGGGAGGGGGCTGTGGCTCTGAATATCCTTGTGCAGGATCTGGTGCTCAGCTGAGATCCAGAAAATGCTTCCCTGTCTGCTAACCCAAGCCCGTCTTGTATCCAGGGCCCCTTGCCATGTCTTTCCTTCGTGGAAATGTCCAAAGCAGGCCAGGTGAAGCTAAGAAGAGAAGAGTACCTGAGTTGGCATTTCCCCATCACCAGGTGTGTCCTGAGTCGGCATCTCCCCGTCACCAGGCGTGTCCTGAGTCGGCATCTCCCCGTCACCAGGTGTGTCCTGAGTCGGCATCTCCCCGTCACCAGGCGTGTCCTGAGTCGGCATCTCCCCGTCACCAGGTGTGTCCTGAGTCGGCATCTCCCCGTCACCAGGTGTGTCCTGAGTCGGCATTTCCCCATCACCAGATGTGTCCTGAGTCGGCATCTCCCCGTCACCAGGTGTGTCCTGAGTGTGTCCTGAGTCGGCATTTCCCCGTCACCAGGTGTGTTCTGAGTTGGCATCTCCCCATCACCAGGTGTGTCCTGAGTCGGCATCTCCCCGTCACCAGGTGTGTCCTGAGTCGGCATCTCCCCGTCACCAGGTGTGTCCTGAGTCGGCATTTCCCCGTCACCAGGTGTGTCCTGAGTGTGTCCTGAGTCGGCATCTCCCCGTCACCAGATGTGTTCTGAGTCGGCATCTCCCCGTCACCAGGTGTGTCCTGAGTCGGCATCTCCCCGTCACCAGGTGTGTCCTGAGTCGGCATTTCCCCATCACCAGATGTGTCCTGAGTCGGCATCTCCCCGTCACCAGGTGTGTCCTGAGTGTGTCCTGAGTCGGCATTTCCCCGTCACCAGGTGTGTTCTGAGTTGGCATCTCCCCATCACCAGGTGTGTCCTGAGTCGGCATCTCCCCGTCACCAGGTGTGTCCTGAGTCGGCATCTCCCCGTCACCAGGTGTGTCCTGAGTCGGCATTTCCCCGTCACCAGGTGTGTCCTGAGTGTGTCCTGAGTCGGCATCTCCCCCTCACCAGGTGTGTTCTGAGTTGGCATCTCCCCATCACCAGGTGTGTCCTGAGTCGGCATCTCCCCGTCACCAGGTGTGTCCTGAGTCGGCATCTCCCCGTCACCAGGTGTGTCCTGAGTGTGTCCTGAGTCGGCATTTCCCCGTCACCAGGCGTGTCCTGAGTCGGCATCTCCCCGTCACCAGATGTGTTCTGAGTCGGCGTCTCCCCGTCACCAGGTGTGTCCTGAGTCGGCATTTCCCCGTCACCAGGTGTGTCCTGAGTGTGTCCTGAGTCGGCATCTCCCCCTCACCAGATGTGTTCTGAGTCGGCATCTCCCCATCACCAGGTGTGTCCTGAGTCGGCATCTCCCCGTCACCAGGTGTGTCCTGAGTCGGCATCTCCCCGTCACCAGGTGTGTCCTGAGTGTGTCCTGAGTCGGCATTTCCCCGTCACCAGGCATGTCCTGAGTCGGCATCTCCCCGTCACCAGATGTGTTCTGAGTCGGCATCTCCCCATCACCAGGTGTGTCCTGAGTCGGCATTTCCCCGTCACCAGGTGTGTCCTGAGTGTGTCCTGAGTCGGCATCTCCCCCTCACCAGATGTGTTCTGAGTCGGCATCTCCCCATCACCAGGTGTGTCCTGAGTCGGCATCTCCCCGTCACCAGGTGTGTCCTGAGTCGGCATCTCCCCGTCACCAGGTGTGTCCTGAGTGTGTCCTGAGTCGGCATTTCCCCATCACCAGGCGTGTCCTGAGTTGGCATCTCCCCGTCACCAGGTGTGTCCTGAGTGTGTCCTGAGTCGGCATCTCCCCCTCACCAGATGTGTTCTGAGTCGGCATCTCCCCATCACCAGGTGTGTCCTGAGTCGGCATCTCCCCGTCACCAGGCATGTCCTGAGTCGGCATCTCCCCGTCACCAGATGTGTTCTGAGTCGGCATCTCCCCATCACCAGGTGTGTCCTGAGTCGGCATCTCCCCGTCACCAGGTGTGTCCTGAGTCGGCATCTCCCCGTCACCAGGCATGTCCTGAGTCGGCATCTCCCCGTCACCAGATGTGTTCTGAGTCGGCATCTCCCCATCACCAGGTGTGTCCTGAGTCGGCATTTCCCCGTCACCAGGTGTGTCCTGAGTGTGTCCTGAGTCGGCATCTCCCCCTCACCAGGTGTGTTCTGAGTTGGCATCTCCCCATCACCAAGTGTGTCCTGAGTCGGCATCTCCCCGTCACCAGGTGTGTCCTGAGTGTGTCCTGAGTCGGCATCTCCCCCTCACCAGGTGTGTTCTGAGTTGGCATCTCCCCATCACCAGGTGTGTCCTGAGTCGGCATTTCCCCATCACCAGGTGTGTCCTGAGTGTGTCCTGAGTCGGCATTTCCCCGTCACCAGGTGTGTCCGGAGTCGGCATTTCTCCGTCACCAGGTGTGTCCTGAGTGTGTCCTGAGTTGGCATCTCCCCCTCACCAGGCGTGTCCTGAGTTGGCATCTCCCCATCACCAGGTGTGTCCTGAGTGTGTCCTGAGCCGGCATCTCCCCGTCACCAGGTGTGTCCTGAGTGTGTCCTGAGTTGGCATCTCCCCCTCACCAGGCGTGTCCTGAGTTGGCATCTCCCCCTCACCAGGTGTGTTCTGAGTTGGCATCTCCCCATCACCAGGTGTGTCCTGAGTCGGCATCTCCCCGTCACCAGGTGTGTCCTGAGTGTGTCCTGAGTCGGCATCTCCCCCTCACCAGGTGTGTTCTGAGTTGGCATCTCCCCATCACCAGGTGTGTCCTGAGTCGGCATTTCCCCATCACCAGGTGTGTCCTGAGTGTGTCCTGAGTCGGCATTTCCCCGTCACCAGGTGTGTCCGGAGTCGGCATTTCTCCGTCACCAGGTGTGTCCTGAGTGTGTCCTGAGTTGGCATCTCCCCCTCACCAGGCGTGTCCTGAGTTGGCATTTCCCCATCACCAGGTGTGTCCTGAGTGTGTCCTGAGCCGGCATCTCCCCATCACCAGGTGTGTTTTCAAGCTCTGCTCGGCTTGCTTTTCTCATCAGCTGCTCCTGGGCCCGCCTGCTCACACTGCAAGATGCAGCTCTCCCAGAAACCCAAAGGGACTTAAGGATGATGAGGAGGAGCTCCAGAAGAAACTTAATTCACAGCTATAAGACTGGGAAAAAAAAGAACTGAGCAGAAAGGGCACTTGAATTAAGCATTTCATGAAAATGAGAATACTGCATGTGGATTATTCAGCTGCAGTGTCCTCATGGCCCATCTCAAAGCCCTGGAAGCTCATCTCATCTTAGCCAAGCCCTGACCCAGGGCCTGTGGCTCTCAGTGTCCCTGAGTCCAATACTGCAGAGGCACCTCCAGGACACTGCTGGGCACCAGAGGATCTCGAGCCCACAGGTGGCCCCTGCTGTGCTTCTCACATGGCCCTGGGCACATCTGCCAGGCCCCCAGCATGGCCCCTCTGTCCCAAGCCCACAGTGACCCTAACATTACCAGTCCCATGGTGGCTGAGATGGCAAGAGTGTAGGGTTTTCACAGAAAGTACAGGATGGCAGGTTTTTTAGTGTGTGTCTCATGCAATGATTGAAATACATGTATACAAAAACTAATTATCTAAAATTGAAATTAAATTGGGTGCCCTCTGTTTGTGTTTGATAAATCTGGCCACGCTGCAGGTGCAGGGACTTGCTCCTGAGCACTCACTGCTGCTCATCTGCCTCTGCCAGAAGTCTGTCCCCATGAGACAGCCCTGAACTTCTCCCCCAACCCCATGCTCACCTCAGCCTTGGATGGCAGCAAGTAGAGTACAAGTGGCTTGCTTTGCATGGGAGCAACTTCCGCTACTGGCATCTGAAAAGGCTCTGCTGCTGGTGGACCAGGGAGAAGGGAAGCTGCCCTCAATCTATTAAGCGGGACTAAACCAGACTGGCAGAGTTACCTGTTACCATGGACACAGAACAATCAGTGTTTTTCCCAAAAAGACAGGATTCAAAAAATATTATCAGTGGAGTACACTGCTTTTGTTACATGGGGTGTTTGAATGAATTGTGAAGACACCGCAATAGCATTTTGCAGGTGAGTAAGCAGAAGCCTGGGTCGCCTGGCTGCAGCACTAAGCACTCTGCCAGTCCACACTGCTCCCTGAGTCTCCCTGCAGGGCCTGGTCAGGTGGGAGGCGACCATCGCAGCCAGCAGAACTCTACCACAAAGCTCTATGAATGCTTCTAGATCCTAGGTCGTCTGACTCTTGTCTCCTGAGATCCCTCTGGAAAGTCACCTGTGTTCTTCCCTCTCTGCCGCCACTGCCAGTGGCTTCTGACTTTGGCTACCGAAATGCAATGCCTGTGGCTTAGAATCTCCCTCCATGCTTCAGTGAATGTGCATCTTCTCTGAGTTTGTTATTGTTTCCTGTTCAATACGCTCAGCAATGAGAAAAAAATCAGAGCATTCAAAGAAAGGAAAGCTGCAAAGGCTCACAGCAAGCGCTGTGTCTGGTGTTCACAGACCTGGGATGGAGAGTCCCCTCCCTGATCTTTCCTCCCCCTGGATGTTGTTTTTATTTTTCTGGAGAGCTGCCATCACCCCCTCCCGCAGCCCTTGTGTACAGAATTCTCTCTTAATTCCCACACCTAGGCCAAGAGGACCCTCCCACTCCCTGGAGCTCAGTCCCTGCCTGACCCTGTGACCTGTGAGAAGTGGACATCCAGGTGGGCAGTGGTCCCCAGGTAGGTGCAGGGACCACAGCGGGGTCAGGAGAAGAGGACAGGGAGTGTCCGGCTCCTTAGGAAGGGGCAGATGGGCCTGTGGCAAGCAGGGGCTGCTGGCTGCAGGAAGTGACATATGCAGGTTGCCATACAGGGTCCGGACTCTCAGCGACGCACAGAGAATCCCAGGGAATGAACCTGAGAAGGATTCTGTCTGTAAAAGAAGAGACCTGGCACCTTCCCATTGGCAGCAGCTGACTTTAAATCTTGGTCTCCCTGCCATTTAATTAGCATGTCTTTTTGAGTACCAGACAAGTGTCTAACAACCTAGGGGAAGAGAGATGTGGGTATAAAGTTAACATTAGAAGGTTGAAAAGCCTTAGACATGAACTGGGATTCCCAGGACTCTTGTTCAAAATTAACCACCAACACTCACTGAAGGGGGTTGGGGCTGCAACCTTCAGAGGTGAACTCACTTTTTGGCATTTCCACAGGCAAACACGTAAATGAAGAAAAGCCCTGAGCTTTGTAAAGGTCCCTTCCACTCTGTTTCACTAGAAGCATTCCTAGGATGATGGAGCTCACCATTGGGCTGGAGTGCTGAAGCCCACGCTTGAAAGAGCTGATTACTCTGCGGGGAGCCCCCGTCCTCAGGGCTACTGTTTTGGCTACAGGGCACTGTGCCAGCCTCACCACCTCTGAAGCTCTGGGGCCTGGTGAGATTTGGGAAAGCCTCAAGCATCTCCTCCCCAATTCCACTTGATCTCATCCTTTGAATGAGATCAGAATGGCTTTACAGCCCCATCAGTGATCAGAAAAGTGGAGTCACGGATTAACTATTATCAAGAAGTAAGAAGCAGTGGCAGATGATCAATACTGTTCCTGCTCTCCCAGCGCAGACCGACTTTACTGGGCTTTTTTTCTTTTTCTTAAAGAAGCTGCAGATCCATCTGGACAAGATGAAAAATTGATGCTTTCCCTGTACTCTAAATGGAGGCAGCTTTGTTCTCTCCCTTGGGCTAACTCTGAGTACCTGCTGTTCACAGAAGCCTCCAAAAACACAAGCTAATGAGGCCCTACGCACTTTGCTTCACTGATGGGGCACCTGCTTTACCTCTTCATTTACAGGTTGATGGAGATGGGAAGATAGCATACTTACCCTTTTTGTCCACGCAGGAACGTGGGAGCTCTGTTCTATTCTGTAGGTACCTATTCAAGTCTATACATGAAAAGGTGACAATGTGACAAGCCTGGTGGCTTTGACCAACACTGGCCCTCACCTTAGCTTCACTTTGACCCTCCAGGCCAGCCTCCAGCTATTTCAGCTCCCCAAGTGCCAGATCTCAGAGACAGCTTGGTTGCTACAGAGAGACACTGACATCTGGTCTCTGCCTCCTGGTTCAGAAGGAGGGAGGGGAAAAGGATGGCAGGTAAAGTACAGCACAGAGATTGACATACTGGGTTTAAGGCTCAGTCAAACCCTGGTTAGAGTTTACCAGCTGTGAGACACAGGGTAAATCACTCAACCTCTCTGAGTCTCCATTCCTTCCTCTATAAAGAACAGTGAATTGTTTCCACTTAGAGAGTTGATTAGTGAGATACTCTATGCAAAGCCTGGGTTGCAGTGTCTGGCATAGTGAGTGTTCACAGCATTGCTGTCATTGCTGTGCTGCTGTCATTCTCTTAATGTAGAGCCAGGATGCACCTGTAATACAAGCACGGACCGGGGCAGGGCCATGGCACAGAGGAGGTGAGGGACGTCTGAACGGGGGGAGGTGATCATGGAGCACAGCAGCTCCTAGAGCTGCGGGGGTGGGGACGGCGGCAATCTGTATGTCTGCCCCACGAAGAGAGAACAGAACTCATCTCTGAGTGCCATGTCCGGTGTCACTGCCTGGGGAGGTGATGATAAGCAGGCTTTGAGTTTGAACCTGGTAAGGTTACTGAGACACACAATGTTTTTGGCCACCATCTTTTTTTTCCTAACCCCTTCTCTTCTCGTGGTAAAACCTTTAGCCTTAGTCTCCTCCAAAAAATATAAAACCCATGAGCGTCTCATGGGTTTCTAAACCTTTCAGAGGTATCAGCCTGGAGGGCAGGCAAAAGTGCAGTCCTTTTAATAATGTGCTGTGTGGCCTGACATGGAGCTGAGCCTTCAGAACTGTGGGAAAGGAGGCTGCATCCCACCCACACGGAGCTCCATCCCACAAGTGCTTCCCCAGGGCCTGGAGGCTCCCCAGGAGAAAGACCACTCAACCTAAGAAGACAGCCTCATGTGGAAGATTTTTCAAGAGCTTCATTAGAAAGTCTTGTGATTACTAAGCCAGAAAGCTCCCCCGCTTCAACACACACACACCCACATACACCTTTAATCATGCTGCAATGAAAAGTCAGAGGAGAAGATTTCAGAGGTTTAGCTCTGAGATGCCTTTAACCGTCTCAGGCGAAAGGGTCTGGGGTCAGGTATGTTTACCCTCCACCCCCACCGTCTCAGGCGAAAGGGTCTGGGGTCAGGTATGTTTACCCTCCACCCCCACCGTCTCAGGCGAAAGGGTCTGGGGTCAGGTATGTTTACCCTCCACCCCCACCGTCTCAGGCGAAAGGGTCTGGGGTCAGGTATGTTTACCCTCCACCCCCACCGTCTCAGGCGAAAGGGTCTGGGGTCAGGTATGTTTACCCTCCACCCCCACCGTCTCAGGCGAAAGGGTTTGGGGTCAGGTATGTTTACCCTCCACTGACTTTTCAACTTCCGGCTCCTTCATTGCTCCAAAATCCTAACTACAGCAGGGAAAAAACACACAGAGAGGCCGCAGCACAGAATGAAGTGACATGAAAGATTAAACTACACGCCTGACCACACATGAACCATGGCAGCATGGCACAGACACAGTGAGAGACACGAACATGGGGTCAAGCCCATGCACACGGTGACCACGGGAACTCCCAGCTTGGTGGCTCCCATTATCCCAAGGGCCTGCACCGAAGCGGGTGAAACCCACAAGGGCCCTGCACCTATGTCCACTGAGGCATAACCTGTGAACCAAGTCCCACATGGGGGGGGTGGGGCCCCCAGAGTACACTCAGAGCCACCTGGGAGCATCAGGGAATACACCCACTTGGGTGACCAGAGCTTGGTTGAAGACCCAGCTGTGCTGTAACCAGCAGTGAGGCTGGATTTTCACCCCAATCTTCAGGCTGCAAAGCCGACATGCATTCCACAGTGGCAACCCACCTCCTGCTTTGGCCTGGAGCTACTCTGCATCTGGAAGCTGATGGACAGTGAGAGTTAGCCTCATCGGTGATAGGAAAAAATGAGCCCAGAGTCCCCCTGGGGGTGCCTGTGGGGCTGAGAGAGGCTCTGGAGGGAGGTGGATGAAGTCCAGATCTGGAATTCTGCACTCCAGCCTCCTGAGCTACCAGGACTCTGGACTGCTGACCCTGCCCTCAGCAGGAGTTGAAGCAGTAGGACCACCCATGGTTCTGCCTGAGGTCACCCTCTGTTCTTGGTGGCCCTGGCAATCAGAGTCCCAGGCACTGGTCACCTTTCATTCACTCATTTATTTATTTAAGACAAAGTCTTGCTCTGTGGCCAAGGCTGGAGTGTAGTGGCACCATCTCGGCTCACTGCAACCTCCACTTCCTGGGTTCAAGCAATTCTCCTGCCTCAGCTTCCCAAGTAGCTGAGGTTACAGGCACGCACCACCACATCCAGGTAATTTTTGTATTTTTAGTAGAGACAGGGTTTCGCCATGTTGGCCAGGCTGGTCTTGAACTCCAGACCTCAGGTGATTCACCTGCCTCAGCTTCCCAAAGGGCTGTGATTACAGGCATGAGCGACTGGGCCCGGCCACCTTTCTTCTATTCACAGTCTGCCCCTCGTTTTATTGCTTGATTGTTTAACTTACATCTGCCGGGCGAAGAGTCAGAGCCCTGGCATTGGGAAGTGGTCAACTCGTGGGTTGGTAAAAATAATTTACCAACAATAGTATAGGTTTGAAAAAGGAAAGTTTATTAGAAAGGAATCACACTGCAAAAGGGTGCAGTGGGGTGCCTCATTGAGAGAGGACTGAGCGTGCCGCAGTGAATTTTCCTTAGGAGCATTTATGGAGCTTAAGAGGGGAGCTTGAGGGTAATTTGGGACACATTAGCCACATAGGTTATAATAATGATTACATTTGTAGACATTTTGGTGCCTTAATGTAAGCAAGCATTGCAAAATGAGTTTCCACATGGCATTTCAGAGATGTATGGACATTTTAGTTACTTATAAAAGTTGAACGAGGCCTGGAACCAGATGCCAACTTTAGATACTAGAGAAGTTTAATTATTATTCCCAGGGAAGGAGTTTTGCCTCCGGATGGCCTGTTTGATGGTCACCAGGGGGTCTTTGCTCCCTTCCAAATTCCGCAAATTAGGAGTTTTTTACTCCATTCTCTGTTCAGTGGTCACCAGGTGACTTTTACTCTCCTCAGCAACTGCCACCCTTTCTAGATTGTAAATCTTCCCGAAAGCAGGGATCATATCTGTAGTAGTCCATTCTCACACCACTATAAAAAACTGCCCAAGACTGGGTAATTTATTAAGGAAAGAGGTTTAATTGACTCACAGTTCCCCATGACTGGGGAAGCCTCAGAAAACTTACAACTATGGTGGAAGGGGAAGCAAATATGTCCTTGTTCTCATCGTGGCAGGAGAGAGAAGTGCCAGCAGGGGAAATGCCAGACATTTATAAAACCATTAGATCTCATGAGGACTCACCCACTATCATGAGAACAGCATGGGGGAAACCACACCCATGATCCAATTATCTCCACCTGGTCCCACCCTTGACATGTTGGGATTATTACATTTCAAGGTGAGATTTGAGGGGGGACACAGAGCCAAACCATATCAATATCTGAGCCACCTCTGTATCATTCACACGCATTGCCCCATCGACCCTTAGGACACCCCTTTGAGGCTGGGTTAGCATCTGTCCCCAGGGATAATAGGAGGCCTCAGAAAGCACACATGGCAGCACCGGACAGACCTGGAGCTGGTTCCAGCTCCTCCACTCCTTAGCTGTGTCTCTTTGTGCAGATTAGTGAAACTCTAAACTCCTCTTTTCTCTTGGGGGTCAGGCGCTGATGTGGAAAGGAGACACAGCAAAGGCTCAGAGTAACTACATGAGCGACTGTTGTCATGTCCTCACTGATATCACAGGAGGAAACAGGCTTAGTGGAAGGCTTGTCCTGTCTTGCTGCCCAGCAAGGCAGTGGGGGGACCCGGTGCTCAGGGACTCAAATTCATTCCTCTAAGAAAAGTGTGAAGAGGGTAAACAAATTCAAAGACACTCTATGTAGTCTGTTCTTCATGATCAGATGAGAAAACACCATGAACGGCGTGTTTCTAAGCTTAGCGAAGAGCAACGTGGAATGAACCCCAGGGGTGAAGGAGAAGTCCTAGGAGGCCCCAGGCAGCCTTCACAAGAGCAACTGGAGGCTTGATGTCCAGCAGATTCCTTTGTCCATGGTGACCTCTCCCTCCTGTCTCCTGACCACTGCCTCAGCCCTGCCTGTTCAAACACCTAGAGGAAGTGGCTATTTTTCCTGCGTGAAGTCTCCTGGGGAAAAGTCTTTGAATCCTAGTGCCTGGGGGAATGAGAGCATCTAAAGTGACAGCATCAAGGCCCAGAAGGCCAACTCAGGGATGACGTCTGGGAGGAAATCAGTTAAACCTCACCCCTCTGCTGCTCTGAACCTCCTGCAACCTGGACATTGGGGTGGCACCCAGAGCACTGGCTTAGCTGTGAAGACAGGAGTGTGCACTCCAGCGCTGCCTTTTCCTAATAACTGGGTGATCTTGCAGAGTTACTTTGAATCTCTAAGCCTTGATACCCTCCTCTGTAAAAAAATACAGTTTGAGGGATTAAAGCTGAATACTTTTTTAAAGTACCTGCCACAGTGAAGTGATCAACAGAATGAACTTCCTTCCCCTTTTCCTTTTCCCCTCAGAACTCCCCCCTCATAATTATGGATTCTCCACATCTTCAGGGCAGAGATCTGAAACAGTGGAGGTTGAGGTGGTAGGGGAGTTCAGTCTAGGTTTTCTGTAGCTATAAAAGATGGGTACCATGGTCCTGTTTCCCCCAAACTGATGTTGAAACCTAATGCCCTCCAAAGTGATGAGTTTAAGAGTTGTGGCTTTTTGGAATTGACTAGGTCATGGAGGTGGAAATTTCATGGATGGGATGAGTGACCTCTTCAGAGAGGCCCAAGAGAGACCCTTCATCCTTTCTAGTATGTGAGGACACAGTAAGAAGGCACCATCGATGAACTAGGGAGTGAATCCTCCCCAGACACCGAATTTGCTGGTGACTTGGTCATAGATTTGCCGCCTCCATAACAGTGAGCAATAAATTTCTGTTGTTTATAAACCTCCCAGCTTATGGTATTTTGTTATAGCATCCAGAGCAGACGAAGACAGTGGGTGACTCTTGCCACAGGAGTGTAAAGGTCTCGTCAGTGTAGTGGAGGAGAGGGGTCTCTCTCAGCCCATGGCCTGCTCTGATTACTGAAGCAAGGACCCTTATGCCCTCAACACCATTTACAAGATGGCTCCAAGGCTGCACCTGCCAGGACACATGGCCCCTGCTGGGTACGTAGAGAAAGCTGACATGTGCAAACATCACTCACTTCTCTTCCACTCTTGCTCTCTGTTCTCTCATTGTATTGATCAATTCATGTTCTAGATCCTACCAGTGCCAAAATCACCTTTTCTGTTCCCCTTGCTCCACTTTAACTTGTTTGAAAAGAGATAGCTCCTCCCCACCATTGGACAATAATTGCTTTACCTGGGATTGAGTAGAAAGGCAGTGTGAGCTTGCCTTGGAAGTCAAAGCCACTTAGAAACCTGAGCCTGGAGGTGCATCACACACAGGTCCAGAGTTTTCTCTTCTGGGCTATTATGGAGAAATGGCCATCCTGGAGGAAGAAGAAGCTGTCTCCCAGGGACTTCCAGGCCTTGGCGGCCCAGGGAGTCTCACTCAGCAGGCCCAGGCTCAGCTAAGACATCCCATTCTCAAAGCCCTGGGGACAGAGGCAGCTCCCTCTCCCCAGAATTGTCTCCCCGGTCTCTGAATCCTGGCAGGAAGGGGGAAGAGCCTCAGCATTTTGTAAGAAGAGAAGGGCAGGCTTATGGTTCAGCCACTGGGTTATAGACACTGTCCTGGGCTTCCGCCCCTGAGGATACCTGAACTTACAGCTGAGCATCCTCTCCTGGAGTTCTGAGTAGCTTCTTGCTTTCTGGAACTCCTTCCTGGCTGTGCCACCCACTCAGTTCCCATTTCAAGGAGTCCCTTGTGGTTGACATTTGAATACTACCTTGCAGGAGTCAGCATTATTTCACACCTTCAGCACGGATCATCTCTTTCCTGCTTGAAATGCCTTCCTCTCCAGGATTCCAGGATCCCACACACTCCACCTCTAGTTCTCTCAGTCTCTTACCAGGTTCCCCTTCTCTGCCCCTTCTCTCTAGGAAGTGTTCCTTTTGCAAAATAATGACCACATCTGTAGCTTCAGCCCTGACTTCACTCCTGGACTCTAGGTTCATTTATCTATCTGCCTCTACCTCCTCTGCAAGCATCTCAAATTGAGAAGATCCACAAAAATTGTTGAATTCACACATCCAAAAACTGTTTTGCCCGTCTTCCTTGTTTTTGTAAATGGCATCATCATGGGCTCATTCCTGAGACTAATGCCCTAGGAGTCATTCATGGTTCTTCTCTTTCCCTGGAAACACTGGTCTGGCCCATAGGAGATTCTCCTGAATTCTACCTTCTAAGTCTTTTCCTAATCCAGTCATCTTCCCTGTCTCCACTGTGACCAGTGCCATTCAGCATGCCATCATTTCTTGCCTGGACAAGGCAACAACCTCTTATCTAGCCTTTCTTTCTTCCCTCTGAAATAAAAATTTATTATTCCCTCAGAAGACAGAGTAATTTTCTGAAATGTGCATCAGATTGCATGATTCCAGTGCACACTGAACGTGGTTCTACATGACAGCCGGTCTCCCGAGTTATCCAGCTCACTTCCACACCTCACTGTGTCCCAGCACACTCATCCTTGCCTTCTTTCAACATCTCAGGGATGTTTCTCTGCCTAGAGTCCTCCCCGCAGGGCTGCACACATAGCCACCCATCTCCCATCACTCAGGCTGGAGAATTACCCACTCAGAAAGGCCTCCAAAGACATTACAGTCAGAACCTCATGTTTCCTCCCACCTCGGTCTCTCTCTCTTTATACTCTATTTAGATTTATATTATCTTTCTCTTTTTTCCCTTCTTTTCTGCTTTTTTTTTTTTGAGATGGGGTCTTGCTATGTTGCACAGGCTAGAGTGCAGTGGCTACTTACAGGCGTAAGCATAGCTCACTATAGCCTCGAACTCCTGTGCTCGACTAATCCTCCTGCCTCAGCCCCCTGAGCCCACGGACACATGCCATGGTGCCTGGCAAATATTTAGATTTTTTCACAGCACATTTTACTATCTGAAATTAGCTCAACATTTTCGTTATTTACTTATTTATTGTCTTTCTCCCTGGCAGTAAACCATAGGAACATGTTCTCTGAAGTATGCCCATAAAAAATTGTGTATTTGCCTAGCCCCAGCTACTCAGGATATTGAGGTGGGAGAATGACTTGAGCCCAGGAGTTTGAGATCAGCTTGACCCATATAGCAAGGCCCCATCTCAAAAAGTATATATTGCATGTATTGGAAAATTATTATAAAATTATTTATTGTATACATTGCATGTATATATTTTGTGTATTGTATGCATATGTAAGATGTGCATAACTAACATTTATTATTTTAACCATTTTTAAGTGCACAGTTCAGTGGCATTAAGTACATCCACACTGTTTTCCAAACATCTCCATCTTCCATCCCAAAACTTTTCCATTAACTGAAACCCTGCACTCATTAAACACTAACTATTCCCCTAATCCAGACCCTGGCAACTGCCATTCTACTTTTGGCCTCTATAAACAGGACTACTCTAGGCACCTCACATATGTAAACTCATACGTTATTTGACGTTTTGTGATTGGTTTATCACAAAATAAATGTGGAATTACAAACCAAAATATGGTATATGTATATGTGTGTATATTTACTCATGGATTCGATTTACCAGAAACCGTTATTTTTATATGCCATGGCTTCCAGTTACTCTTTGGGGTCCTTTTATTTAGATTTGAAGGAGTCCCTTTAACATTCTTTTTAGGGCAGGTCTTGTGGCGATGCACCTTCCACCATTTGTGTTTCTGGGAATGTCTTTATTGTGCCATCATTTTTGAAGGGCAGTTTGTTCATATATACAATCCTTAGTTGAGAGTTGAGTGTTTCCTTGTTTGTTTTCTCAGCATTCTAAGTATGTCCTCTGACTGTCTTCTGGTCTGTAAAGTTTCTACTGAGAAATTCCCCGATAGTCTACTTGGGAATCCCTCTTACATGGCAAGTCACTTTCCTCTTGCTCCTTTCAAGACTGTCTATTTTACTTGGTTTTAGGCAGTTTAACTATAATATGACTCAGTACGGGTCTCTTAGGGTGATTCTATTTGGACTCGTCAAGCTTCCTGAATTTGTAGATTCAAGGATTTCTTGGGAAGTTTTCAACCATTATTATTTTATAAAAATAATCTCTGTCTTTCTCTCTCAGTATCTCTCCTCTCTGAGACTTCCACAATGCATGTATTGGTTCACTTGTCAGCGCCTTATAAGTCCCTGAGCTCCTTTTACTTTATTTATTGTTTCTGTTGTTCCTCAGACTCGTAATTTAAACGACCTGTCTTCAAGTTTATCGGTTCTTTCTTCTCACTCTTTGAATCTGCTGTCGAACAGCTCTAGTATATTTTCCAATTTGGTTACCATATTTTTCAGCTCTAGAATTTCTGTTTGCTTCTTTTTTTATAATTTTGGTTAATTTCTTATCATTTTAATGTATATTTGTATATTGCTTTTCTTATTTTCTTTAGTTGTTCATCTGTGTTTTTCTTTAACTCTTTTAGCATATTTCAGTGTTGTTTTACTTTTTTTATCTAGGAAGCCTGATGTGTGTGTTTCTTCAAAGACAGTTTCTGAAAACTTATTTTGTTTTGCAAATGGTTGATGTTTTTCTGTACCTTTGTGTGCCTTGTAATCTTTTGTTAAAAACTGGGCATCTGAAGAATGAGGTACCTCTCTCAGTCTTTACAGACGGATGTGGCGTACTTTTGCTAATTGGTGAAAGATGTCCTAAGTCTGGATCCGCCTGGGATAAAGCCTTATGGTCTTTTTAGGTATTTTCTGGGCATGTGTCCTCCCTGGGCGTGTGTGTGTGTGTCTGTGTGTGTGTGTGTCTGTGCGTGTGTGTGTGTGCATTGTCTTCTTTTCTTCCCTCAATTTCTCCCATATAAACAGCCGCTTTTACATGTGTCAATGAGCCTCATTCAGCTTCTCTCAGGCTCAGGCCTGAGATGTTCTATTGCATTTCTCTGCCCATGTTCCTTTGCCCCAGGAGTCCACAGTCGGCAGCCTCCCCACCAGTTCTCCCATGCCTCAGTGTTTGCCATTGCTTTTCAAGGCTTCCAGCAGCCTGAGAGCCAAGCCATGGCACCATTCTCCACCTGAGCTCCCAGCCAGGCAAAACAGAAACAAGTCTCTTGGGCAGCCACATACGGAGTAGAATATTACAGATAAATGCTGTCCTTTTTCTTCCAGCCTGAGGGAGGGAACTGGGAATTGTGCTGCAAGATGCCAAGGATGGGTAGAGCGAGGGTGAATATAAATTTCACAGCATTTCCTGCTGGCTTAAATGTAACTTTTTCTTAATTTGATGTTTTCTTAGTTGTTGTAGATGCTGGATTTGTTTTCAGAGCTCCTATAAAGTTGTTGTAGTCCATCTCTAGTTGCTTTCCTAATATTTCCATGGGGAAACAAGCGTTTGAAGCTTCCAGTCCACTATCTTGCTGATATCACTCCTGGCAAGCCCATTTTTAAAATTATGGAACTAAGACTCAGAAAAGCTGGTAAGTGACAGCACTTTGACTAAAATCTGTGAATGTGAATCTTTAGACTAGTGTTTCTTCTACACGGCTGACCTCAAGCTGTCCTTCTAATAATCAGAGTGATAATAACGACGTGCATACAAAGCGCCGGCTTTGTGGCCGGGCGCGGTGGCTCACGCTTGTAATCCCAGCACTTTTGGAGGCCGAGATGGGCTGATCACAAGGTCAGGAGATCGAGACCATCCTGGCTAACATGGTGAAACCTCGTCTCTACTAAAAATACAAAAAAATTAGCCGGGCGTGGTGGCGGGTGCCTGTAGTCCCAGCTACTCTGGAGGCTGAGACAGAAGAATGGCGTGAACCCGGGAGGTGGAGCTTGCAGTGAGCCGAGGTCAGGCCACTGCACTCCAGTCTGGGTGACAGAGCAAGACTCCGTCTAAAAAAAAAAAAAAAAAAAAACAAAACTGGCTTTGTTTTCTTGTAAGGCATCTAGAGTTCCTGTTTAGGGTAGTTGGGAGAGAGGGAAACTGTCCCATTTGCTAGATGAAGAAACTGGATTATTTGTCCAAAGTCACAAACAAATTAGTGGAAAACTCATATTAGTTTATCTGCCTCCATATGGCCATTTTGGCCTCTGCCCCACACTTTCAGAGGCTTGGAAGGTGCAGGTGGGAAGATGAGGAAAAACATATCAGAGAGGGATATTCTGCAGGGCAGGTACCTCACCTTCCCTTACCCCTGAAGGTGCCTGCCATGCAAAAGCCACAGGCCATGGCCTGTGAGGGTTCCCTGGAATTAAGCAATAAAGGGAAGAGTCATGGGGAGGGTCAGAAGCCTGAATTCCAGGTCCCCCTGTGAGCCCCAGCCTCTCTGTACCTTGGTTGTGCAGTATCTGCACTGAGGCCTGACCCCATCTCCTTGTCTAGGACTGCTGGCCTGTTCCTCTCCCTCCTCTTTACCCTCCCAGGCTCTGTAGGGACAGCTTTAAGGCTGCCCTGAACCTGGATCCAGTCCCACAGCCAGGACTTCCCTGTGCCCACCTCCTTGGTGACAAAAACCTACCCTGGCTGCTGGCCTGGTTGGGGACAGTGGGAGGAGAAGAGGCCGCCCAGCGCTGCAGCTTTTATTCTCTGAAGCCAGAGATCCACCCTAGGAGATTTTATCAGGACTTCTGCTCCCAGATCCCTCCTTCTACAGACACCCTGATCCCCAGGATCTAAAGCCGCCTCCTTGGAACTCTCTTCTCAGTCAATGCCCTGTCTCCTGAGTGGGTCCCAGTCCTCCCTGCTTCCTGCCACGCCCTGGGAGGTTCCAGCCCTCCTGCACATGCCCACAGCTGTGGAGTTGTGCAGGCACAGCCCCTGGGATGTGGCCTCATCGTAGTGTGCAAGGAGGGCCTGCAGTGAAAACCTGCACACTTCTGCACCAGGACGCTGGAGTCTGCCGTCCTCCCCTGGGCTGGGGATGGGGAAGCAGCACCTAAGGCTTCCTCACAGGTGACAAGCCTGCGGCCTGTGTGGAGGCCACCAGGTGAAGTTAACTACAGGAGTGGTTAACTGTACAGTCTCTAAAGCCAAGTTATTGTTGGGTGTGGAAAACAGAGAATAGGAGCACACAGCTGAGGCTCTGCAGTGATCACTAATTTTCAAAAAATAATTGGAAAATTTTCTCTAGTTGCTAATTGTTCAAGAAACTTAGATCATGATGAAAATAAATACAAAATCTGAACTACAGTATAATGGTTTCTAACAATCTTGAACTTGGATTTGGTTTTCGGAGTAAAGGAACAAGGGAAAGTGCAGATTAACCTGGGAGGTTATCTGGGCAGCAAAACCCTCTCGGGAGCACATGCAGAGTCCAAGGGTGGAGGAATCTGAAGCGCTTTTGGTATGAAATTCCTTTATAAGCAATTTTCTTCGGTCCTCTCAGAAGGGACCTCTAACTGTATTCTTTTAGCGTGTCAGAAATGATGCACCTAGCTGCTTCCTCAGAGTCTTGTGATTGGCATCTGAAGTGGAGGGTGATCTTGTGTGACTGAGCCCCCAACCTGTGGAATCAGCTGCTGTCTCAAGGTAGATAGTGTCAGAATTGAATTGAATTGGAAGAAACTCAGTTGTATCTGCTGGGGAATCTGTAGGATTGCTTGGTGGGGAAACTCCCCACAAATCTTGGTGACGGGAGGTCACAGAAGTATTGCGTGTTGATGGTTGAGTGAGGAGATGGGAAAAGTGCGCTTTGGCTGTCTTCTCCCTGTCTCTCCTTAGAGGGTTTGTCGGCTGTACACCGATCTCCCAGCAGCTTCTGTGTCTTTTCTCCCTCAGATGTTCTCTCCTGTGCCCTCCACCCTCACTGAGATGTAAACAAGCTGCCTCATGCTGTCTTGTCTTGTTGGAAGCCCGGGGCTTGACACCAGATATTTATCGTCTCAGGATGTGTGCACCCCACAGTTCTCTACCCCAAAAGTCTTTTTCTTACTTTGTTAAACAGCATGATTTTCAGGCATTGCTGAAAATAATTGACTTTCAAAAAATATCAAGACTCATCTTAAGATCTGGATTTTGCAGTGCCTTTATTACTTCATGTGTCTTCTGCTTATTCTCATGTGAAATTGTATTCTAGGTACTAATTAATTATGCCAAGGCTTTCTTCCCTTTCTGGATAACTTGCAGTGTTTGGGATGCTAACTGCATGGTGTCCTTACTGTTTTGTCAAACATCAGCCCCTTTATTGCCTCGGTCCATCAAACAAGCCCATGGTCCTTTATTTATTTTCCAAGCCTGGTTTTCCTGCAGGGATAAGCACTGACCCTGATGGTCCCTCTAAGGTCACGTGTGTGGCTGTGAAGAAGCTCAGTGGAGCAAGTGCCAGACGGAGGCAACACAGCCCAGTCCAGACCCCTGCCGGCCCTGTCCACAGCCTCTCTGTCTCAACTCCTGACTGAAGGAAAGGACAGAATGCCCCAAAGGTCAAGACAAAGCTTTATTTTCAGAATAATAACTTTTATTATATATAACATATTATTGTTATATTAAATATTTGTGCTGTCATCTTTTACAGTTTTAATGCTTTTTATTTGACATTTATTTTCTACTCATATTCCCTCTGCTTTAATATTTTCTCTGATTGAATGTCTATACCTAGTAGAAATCATTCTATTTGTTATTCATATTACTTTATCATGATATACTATTGCATTATAATAATGTTATACATTTATTATCGTATCATCATTTTCAGAAAAGTTCTTAAGCTTATAGTATAATTCTACCACATATAAATGATTCACCATGTATTATCACTTGTTGTTATTTAAAACTATGCATATAAATGTTATAAAAAGTAAAGATTCATTTAAAGTTTCCGGATATCCTGAGAATTTCTGGAAATTTCAATTCTTATCCCCGATCCCTGGTGATTAATTGTTCAGAGAGTGGAAAGGTTATGTGTATGTGGTGGGGGTGTCAATTCTGGGTAATGTAGAAAATGTAACAATGCTAATCAAGGGAAGTATTAAAACCAGGCTATTGGTAAAACATAGTAGGATGGCCAAGAAATGTTGAGGTAGATAATCATAAATTTATAGTCATATGGGTCTGCCACATTGTGAGGTTTATTTTTCTCAAGCAATTTTTAGTTATGGTAGTGTATATATAAAAAAGACTTGGTCCTGTTTTTCCAGGAAGAGCTTAGTGAAATAACTACAATAAAATGACATTGCCCAAGACAATTGAGTTTACTCATAAGGAAATACAAAGTAAAAATGGATTTAAAATAAATTTAAATAAACAATGAAGTAAATCTCAGGGAGTGTATATAGATATAGATAGAAAGTTGGAAAATTCAAGTCTTCATTAGATTGAATAATTATGGACTTGAAGGATGAAGCTGTAGTAGAAATTGGCCACTTGAATTCATTTGAGGAATGGGACTATCCCTGGAGATGGATTGCTGGAAGCCCTGGGAGGTCAGGGTGCTGATGGGTTACTGACTAAAGGTGGTGAGGGGAGTGACTGTAAGCAGATACAGAAGTCTTTAGGGTGAGGAATGGGGAAGAGGACCCAGGACCTCAATGGATGGCAATGACAAAGAGGAAGATGTCATAAATTCCCAATAGTTAGGGCACGTAACAGAGGGAGAAGGAAAAAAATTAATATTGGATATTCATCATGAAAGAATTCCTCAGCCATGGTGGAAGAGAGTTATTTATTTCTATTCTGTCATCCCTCTCTCCCTCTCCCATTAGAAGTCTATGGCAGGCAGCCTAGCTCAGCCCATCTCAGGGCAAGTAGACAGTTCACTCTCAATCTGATGACACTCAGCCATTAGAAGGAAAACAAATGTCCAGTTGAAGACAGTTACATTCACTCTCACTCCCACTGTTTCTCTGACCTGAAGTTTCCATTTTGACTTCATGTTTATTGTATATTGCACCTAATACTCATGTTTTATCTTAATTTTGGAACAGACTTTCTGTAATAAAATGTAAATATAGTCAGCTTACTGTCTTATTTACAAGTACATATTTTCTTAATGTATATGTATTACCCGTATAAAAATACCAAAGAAAGAAACAACTAGATGACCCTGAACAACATGAAGAATAGAGGCATTGACCCCTGCTCTGTCAAGAATCTGAATACAACATTTGACTTCCCAAAACCTTAGCTACTAATAGCTTTCTGTTGACAGAAAGCCTTATGAGTACCATAAGCAGTCAATTAACACATTTGGTGTACTATGTGCACTACATGCTGTATTCTTATAATAATGTAAGCTAGAAAAAAGAAAATATTATTAAGAAAATTATAAGAAAGAGAAAAAGCATTTACTTAAAACAGCTTGTTGCATGGCAAGAGTGAGGCCATCTTGAAGCAAAACTGCCATGAAGACCTATGTTTGATTCTTGCATAGTAGGCTTGTGTTCTGCAGCAAGATCTTTAAACAATTCCTGTGAGATAGATAACCCCTCATAAAGATACCTATCTAACCTCCATGGTGGTCATCACTCTTAGCAAGAAGAAAGTCAGATGTGACCAGCTGCACAAGTCTTTACCTTAAAATCTTGTTCTATAAGGAGTACCTTCTGGAGGGTGGTTTTGGGAATCCACTGTCTCACAGCCCTCAAGATATCCCTTCTGTCTGTAGTTTCTATTACATATTTCCTTCTGAGAAACTAGCTTTGTCAGCCTCTGTCTTCAACAGCTCAGCTCCCTTGGCCTTTGAGGGCAGATTTGCATGTACCTGCTCACTGTGGAACACTGTCCATTAAGTGAAACTGAATCATCATAAAGGTCTTTATCCCCATCGTCTTCATATTGAGTAAGCTGAGGAGGAGAAGGAAGAGAAGGGGTTGGTCTTGCTGTCTAAGAGTAGCAAAGGTGGAGAAAATCTCACATGTAAGTGGTCCCATGCAGTTCAAATCCATGTTGTTCAAAGGTCAACTCTATCAATTTCTTTCTGATCATGACAGAGAAATAGTTGCCAGAAATACTCTACTGAATGAAATGGACTTAATGATTTCCTCAGATGGACTGAATTTAGATAGGTGTATTTCTGAATATGGGACCCTGACCTTCATTTTCACTGGGTGTTTATTTTAGAAAACTTCTAATTGCAAGTTTGTTCATTGCCTCTTTGAAATATGATAAATCTTCCAGCCTCTTGACAGTTCTACAACCCGGAAATATCTTTCTTAAGGACACAAAAGCCACCTCTTTGAAATTTAACCACCAAAAAAAATTGCACACCTATGTCCCAATTTCTGTTGTAGGATAGAAGCCTGACTTCAATATGTGACTGCAAACGCTGATAGCCTAATCACACTGACCAGCCTCCTCATTAACGATCTCCAATACTTTACCATTACCCTACTGTAGCATTTAAAATTCTTCTTGCCTTTTGTTTTGGTGGCATTGAGTTCAGTCTCTCTCCCCTGTTGCAATAGTCTTGAATAAAGTATTACTTGCCTGTTTAACTCTGTCTAGTGCAATTTCTCTTTGACATTACCATTGCAAACAAGTATAAATTCAAAAATATATACATGAAGAAAATGTTTTCAGGCATTGAAAAACAGATAGAACAGGACTGAGATCCTAAAAAAAAAAGTGAGACACACAGATGGTCTCTACATTTATACTAGTTTTCCATCCAGGGGCATCTTTCAAACCATATTCCTTGCTGCTACCATACCAGATGAACACAAGCTTTAAGGTTTAAAAAAACAAAAATCTATTATCATACAGTTCTGAAAGTCAGCAGTCAGAAATGGGCTGAAATCAATGTGTCAGAGATGCTGTGTTTCTTTTGGAAACTCAGATAATCTTTTTACTTCCCTTTTTTGGCTCCTGGAGCCTACCTTTTTTATTAGGCTCATGACCCATCCTCATCTTCAAAGCCAGCAGTGTAGCATCTTCAGATTCTCCTGACTCTCACCTTTTGCCTCTCTCTTCCAGACTTGAAGCTTCTTTGATTATATAAGATCAGGACTCTTCAAAGATTGGCAGAAACCACTTCTGTGGACCTGTGAAATGAATAAATGGTCACACTGTGCTGGGAGATGTTAATATTTTGACCAATTAGAGTGGAGAGATTTTGCAGAAAATCTTTGAATTCAGTCGAAACCTCAAAGCCCACACTTTAGGAGTGTGGCTACATTAGTTCAAGAGTAAAGACTAAATTAGATCAATTCCCCCTTGCCTCAGAAAATCCTAAAGCCAAACCTGAAATATGATAAACTGATTCACCAGTAAAGTAATGACCTTTAAAGACAAAACTCTTTGAAGGAAGAAAACAAAATCCAGACCTGCAGAATATACATTCTTTTTACATGCATATGGAATGTTCATCAAGTAAACTATATGACGGGTTATAAAACCATTCTCAGCATATTTAAAATGAATAAAATCATAAAGCATGTTCTCTGTCCATAAGAGAAATTAATTACAAATCAATAGCAAAACTGTATTTGGGAAATCACCTGTATATTTGGAAATTAAACAACCCACATAACTTAAAGACCAAACAAAAAGATTAAAATTTTAAAGTGTATTTGAAATGAACAAAAATGAAAAGGCAACTTCCCAAAATATGTAAGGTGCAATTAAAACAGTGATTATAAAGAAAATGTATAGCTCCAAACCCTCATATTAGAAAAACAAGATATGTTTAGAAACAATAATCCAAATGTTCACTTTTAATACCTAGAACATGAAGAAAAAATTATACCTAAGGTAAGCAGAAGGACGGATGTAATAATACTAGGATTGAAAATCCATAAAATAGAAGATGAACAAATAGTAGAATGTTTATTAAGTAGTTCTTTGAAAAGATTAAAAATCCTGATAAATCTTGGTTAAATTGCTCAAGGAAAAAAAGAAAATATAAATTACCAACACTAATAATGAAAGAAGAATCATTACTATATCCTTCAGACGTTAAAACGTTAACAAGAAAATATTTTGGACAAGTTTATACAAATAAATTCAACCTTGTAGTTGAAATAGACCACTCCCTTAAAAAATCAAAACCAAAAACAGTTTACCCAAACTGAAAAATGGTAAATTAGAAATTATGTATTGCCCTACATATACAGCAAAGGAACTGAGTTTGTTTCAAAAGAAAAAGGAATCTTCCTAGAGAGAAATCTTCATTTAGCTCAAAGAGCATATGTGTGTGCCAGTGCTGTGGTGTATGTGAGTGCTGGGTGTGTGCATGCACACGTGTGAGTATTGTGTGTGACTACTACGTATGTGCATGCACACGTGTGAGTACTGTGTGTGCATGTGAGTACAGTGTGTGGGCATGCACACTTGTGAGTATTGTGTGTGAGAATACTGTGTGTGCAGGCACACGTGAGTACTGTGTGTGCAGGCACACATGTGAGTACTGTGTGTGCATCTGAGTAGTGTGTGTGTACTTTGTGTGTGTGTGCGTGTGTCTTTGTGTTTGAGCCTATGTGTGGATTCATTGCTGTGTATGTCTTTTCTTTCAACAATTGCACATGTTCAATGATCCAGCACAGGAGCATTTTCTCATATGCTCAATGCTGCACACATTGGGTACTGTACTATTGTGTTGCTCTAAAGGATTACCTGGGGCTGGGTAATTCAGAAATTAAAGAGGTTTATTTGGCTCACAGATTTGCAGGGTATTGAGGTGGGGGAGCACAAGTTTAATTATCATCCACTGATATTCTCTGAGCTATACGAGAAGCATGGCATCAGCATCTGCTTCTGGTGAGGCCCTCAGGGAGCTTCCACTCCTGGTGTAAGGGGAAGTGGAACTGGCTTCACATGGGGAGTTAGAAGGAAAGAGAGAGTGGGGAGGGAGGTGCCAAGCTCTTTATAACAATCAGTTCTCCTGGAACTCACTCATTATTGCAAAGGAGGCACCAAGCTAATCATGAGAGATCCACCCCCATGGCCCAACACCTCTCACCAGGTCCCACTTCCAACATTGTGGATCACATTTCGAGATGAGTTTTGGAGGAGACCAATATTTAAACTCTGTCACACAGTAATAAGAAGAAGACTAAGAATTATAAGTAAATAATTGATGCTGTTTCAGGTTTCTCTGGGAGAAGAAAAGAAGGTACTATTTCTGAAGAGAATATACTTTGAGAAATGAAGTATAAGATGCATATTTTCAAACCAATTTATCAAGTTTCCATTTTAAGCCTTCACATGTGGCACACGTGAATCATTCACTGTTTTAGATGGCCACTGGTAAAGAGGTTTATGGATATGTTTTAATGGCATCACAGCGTCACTCTGATGTTGGACACGTGGATTGGACACACTGTGAGTCTGTGGGAGCTGCTTCATGCCTATGGAAATTCTCAAGGTAACTTAGCATTTTTGCAGTTGTATCACTCATCGTTGCCCTCCGAGCACCACATTCACAATGCCTATGATTTCTTCTCCTAAATTTACCATCCATCAGCCAGTAGACACCTCAACATTACATGAATAGCCAGTTTTAATTTACTCTGGTGGGTCATTGCAATTTTTTTAAGTTGTTTCAAGAATCTGTAAATACAAATCATCATTATTAACCTGCAGGAGTTTTGTGTTTTCTGTTTTCTCTTTATCTTTTTAGGGTATCTTTGGAAAGCCAAGCACAGCTTGTTTAGGAAAGCAGATTTTTTTTTTTTTTTGAGATGGAATCTCGCTCTGGCACTCAGGCTGGAGTGCAGTGGCGCAATCTCAGCTCACTGCAACCTCCGCCTCCTGGGTTCAAGCAATTCTCCTGCCTCAGCCTCCTGAGTAGCTGGGATTACCAGTGTGCACCACCATGCCTGGCTAATTTTTGTATTTTTAGTAGAGATAGGCTTTCACTATGTTGGCCAGTCTGGTCTACAACTCCTGACCTCAGGTGATCTGCCCACCTCGGCCTCGCAAAGTGCTGGGATCACAGGCGTGAGCCACTGCAATCTGCCCCTGAGAACGGATTTTGCAGGCTATTGAGGTGGAGTAGCACAATTTTCATCTCAGCTCCTCCCTCTCTGAGGTTGGAAACAGCTGAGTGCCTTCTGTCTCTCTCTCAAGCCTCTGTTCCTCACCCCTGCCCTGGCAGCCTTTGCTCAGCTCCTAAAGCAATGGAGAGGTCTTTCTAACAGCAGTGAGTTTATTGCCCAACTGTGTGGGGTTCTGGGGGACGGGATTGGCAGATGAAGGAGAGAGGGCTCAGTCCCTGATCTGCAGACCTGTATTTTTCTTCCGATCAACACATTTCTTTTTATTATTATTATTATTATACTTTAAATTTTAGGGTACATGTGCACAACGTGCAGGTTTGTTACACATGTATACCTGTGCCATGTTGGTGTGCTGCACCCATTAACTCGTCACTTAACATTAGGTATATCTCCTAATGCTAACCCTCCCCGCTTCCCCCACCTCACAACAGGCCCTAGTGTGTGATGTTCCCCTTCCTGTGTCCGTGTGTTCTCATTGTTCAACTCCCACCTATAAGTGAGAACATGTGGTGTTTGGTTTTTTGTCCTTGTGATAGTTCACTGAGAATGATGGTTTCCAGCTTTATCCATGTCCCTACAAAGGACATGAACTCATCTTTTTTTATGGCTGCATAGTATTCCATGGTGTATATGTGCCACATTTTCTTAATCCAGTCTATCAGTGATGGATATTTGGGTTGGTTCCAAGTCTTTGCTATTGTTAATAGTGCCGCAATAAACATACGTGTGCATGTGTCTTTATAGCAGCATGTTTTATAATCCTTTGGGTACATACCCAGTAATGGGATGGCTGGGTCAAATGGTATTTCTAGTTCTAGATCCCTGAGGAATCACCACGCTGACTTCCACAATGGTTGAACTAGTTTACCGTCCCACCAACAGTGCAAAAGTGTTCCTATTTCTCCACATCCTCTCCAGCACCTGTTGTTTCCTGACTTTTTAATGATCACCATTCTAACTGGTGTGAGATGGCATCTCACTGTGGTTGTGATTTGCATTTCTCTGATGGCCAGTGATGATGAGCATTTTTTCATGTGTCTTTTGGCTGCATAAATGTCTTCTTTTGAGAAGTGTCTGTTCATATCCTTCGCGCACTTTTTGACGGGGTTGTTTGTTTTTTTCTTGTAAATTTGTTTGAGTTCATTGTAGACAGGAGGACTAAGAAGCAGCCTGAAAGATGAATTCCTGTGGGGAGGGTGAGGAGGCTGGGGATACACGGGCAGAGGCAAGGATCTGGAGGAAGCAGAAGTCAGATGTCACCTCCGTGAGCTTCACCAGGGCCCTGGAGTGCTCTCAGAAATTTTGTTCAGACTGGGCAGGAAGTGTCGGTCATCCCATCAGACCTCCTTTGAGTTTCTCTGCACAGAGTCAGGCCCACTGAGGAGGCAAGGAGAAGTCTATGGGTTCCTTATGCCCTGGAGCTCTGTAAGGAAAACGTGAGGACAGGGTGTCCTTTCATCACATAAGGCTAAACATCTTATGGAATATTATACATTCCAAGCTGAGAATACCAGTTAAGTTTCTTCATTTGAAGGTGGGAGAAGGCTTTGGAGAGATAAAGAGGCACCGACAGAAGCAAACATTCAGAGACCCAGGCTCATAAAAGGACAAGTGGCCCCAGGAATCTGGGTCTGAGCAGCCAATGACAGTGTCTTTGAGGGGTTGTCATAGTCAGAACACATAAATCTCAACCATTTCAAGCTCAAGATTTGTGGATAAGGAAATCTGTTTAGCCAGAGTTGCTCATCATTTGACTGAAAGAGGGAAGGTTCCTTAGTTGTTCCTTCAAAATCCTGGAGGATAGTGAAGGTTCTTGATGGTTCTTTACCCAACAGAAAATCAGGAGCCTTTTTGGCAGGTTACACATTGAAAGTGGGGCTGAGCCAGCAACACCTGCTTCTGGGTACCCCGGGGCACTGTCCTCCTTGATTGTCTTGTTGCCTGCAGCCAGCCGTCAAGCCTGACCACAGTTAGAGGCTCAAGAGTTGGAGGGGAGCTCCAAGTTTATCAAGAGCAGGCCGTGGGACCAAGTTTTGCTTGTTCAGTTGTTTGTTTGCATGTTTATCTCAATTTACAATCGATCGTAGACTGTAAAATGTCATAATAATGAAAAACAAAGATAAGACAAACAAGGAAGAGTAATTAGAAAAAAGTAAAACCAAAATAAATTTAAATGTAAAGAAATAATTGAAAAACAAAAGATAATAAAAGCAAAAAAAATCCCTGATTAGTTGGAGGTAGCAGCAATGTCAAATTGCTGTAAAGGTTCCTCAAAGCTTATCCCATCTTCTGTATGTATCTGGTCTAAGGATGATAACATCACTGATCTTGGCTGCCAGTTCTCAACTTTACACATTAGGGTGACCTGGAGAGATCTTCAAAGTGTTAATATATGGGGCGCCTCAAATATTTCAATTTAATTAGTCTGTTGTGAGACCTGTGAATTACCATTTTTAAAAACTCTTTAAGTAATCACAATGAGCAGCAGAGTGAAAAGCCACTGATCCAGACTGATGTTTTTTAACCTGCATAAGTGTGAGAATCACCATGGAAATTTATAAACGTACGTGCGCACAGCTCCCACTCAAATTTTACAAAATTCCAATTTCTGGTGGTGGTTCCAGGACAGTGGTGCATTTACAAAACACCACAAGGGATTCTAAAGGATACTCCTAGATTAGAGCCAGAAATTCAGTCCAAATACCTTATTTTACTAATAAGGAAACAGACTCTGAAAGGTGAAATGTCAAACTTGATCATTAGCAAATCTAGTTATCTTTTGAGAAAGAGAGGCATATTGAAGTTTTTAATAAACTTTAGCCAACTGTATCAGATCCTCTGAGGGTGAGGAAAGATAGCACATGCAGCCTTAAGCTGCCCTAATGAGGAGCCTGGAGACACAGCTTGCTGCAGCTACAGCAACTGAGCCGCTCTGTCTGTCGGTTTTGTTTGGTGAGTTGAATTGAAGCTAGTTTTTAATGAACTTTAGTTGTTGAATTTGTGCAGATCTAAAGGGTAAGGAAAGGAAAAGCAAATAGGTTCATTTAAAAAATGTTGTGCCCATGTTGTTTATAGCAAGAGTAATACCCAATTCACAACAAAATTAGATGGTTTTTAATGTTGTGATCCACGAGACTGCACCTCAATGATGAGATGTGTTGTGTGTAGAGTCAGGCAAGAGTGGAGGCAGGCAGGTTGCATCTGAGCAAACTCAGAACATTTGGGCTCCATGGGGAACACACACGGAGGAGGCCTGGACACTTCTGCTCCCAGGGATGTCCTGGATTTACGGAGAGGGAGGTTTGTGGCTGCTATGGCTCAGTGGTACCACATGCACTAATCAGCAGTGGGAGTGAAGACAGAAAGCTGAAGAGGTAACAAGCCTTAACCGTATTCATAAATAATTTTATTTAATTTGTAAAATAATTTTATTTTCTCTCACTGCTAATTACAGGCAATAATATAATGACTTAATAAAAGCAAGGAAACAAAAGTGACTTACATGTGCAATTATTCAGTGAGCAATTTCCAAATCATAAATATAGATTGCTCTGATCTGAAGGGAGCATGGTATGCAAATGCAATTAATATGTACAATTGTCAAGCTGCCCTGGGAAATAATTTGTTTTAAATAAAATAACGTTGGAGCTATAGGCAGGCCACTAGCACTGATGAGCAATGGTCTCCTCCTGTGAACTCTGCCTTGTTCCCCTGCTGCCGACTGAAGGCCAGGCCAGAGCAGTGTATCTCCACCCAGGAAACTGACAGCAGCACAGTAAATACTGTAGTCCTGTTTGAAGGATCAAAGGGGGCACCAGGATCTCCAAGGAAAAGCTTGGCCTCTGTGGGGCATTCTGGGAGGACAGCCCCGGATCCCCATTCCACACCGCGCCTTTCCTTTGGTGATAACATCCCTACCATGTCATTTAGATCATCCACTTGCCAACAGTGCGCAGAGCCTGGCCTCCCTCCCAGACCCAGCCCTCTTTAGATGGTCCACCCTACAGATGTGCTGGAGGAAGAGGAGCTCGCAGGCACTCCCAGTGAAGGCGTCCTGAATGCCTCTTTCTCTCACCATTCTGTCCTCACTTAAGTCTTTGTTATCTCAGTAAACGGCACTGCTACCCAACCAGCTGCTTGATTCCTGAATAAGAATATATTATTGACACCATCCTTTTTCTTTCCCTTACTTGAAATCTATAAATTCTTGTCAAACTTGCTTCCAAGACATATCTTTATTTATTTATTTATTTATTTTTTTGTCCCCCGGGCTGGAGTGCAGGGGCGCGATCTCAGCTCACTGCAAGCTCCGCCTCCCGGGTTCACGCCTTTCTCCCGCATCAGCCTCCCGAGCAGCTGGGACCACAGGCGCCCACAACCAGACGTATCTTAAAAGTCCTCACACCTCTAAGCAACAGCCGCCTTTACCATAATAGCCCTAGTTATTATGCAAAGATCTTAAAGTAGCCTTCCAACTGTTCTCTCTGGTTCCAGTCAAACTTACACTCAAATAACATTTTAGACCACAGCATTCTTTTCTGCTTAAGACAGATAAGTAGCTTATTGCATTCAAATTAAGTCCAAATTGCTCAACCTGGTGTCATGATTAGTTTTATGTGTCAACTTGGTCAGGCTATAGTACCCAGTCATTTGGTCAAACACTAATCTAGGTATTGCTGCAAGGATATTTTGTAGATGTGTTTAACATCTATAATCAGCTGCCTTTAACAAAAGGAGATTGCATTACCCATGTGGGTGTGCCTCATCCCATCAGTTTAATGTTCTTAAGAGCAAAGACGTAGATTTCCTGGAGATGAAGTGAGTTACCTCAAGACTGTGGCATCACTCTTGCCTGACATTCCAGCTTGCCTGTCTGCTCTGCCAAATTTGGAATTTCCAGCCCCCACAATCATGTAACCCAACTTCTTGAATCAATCTCTCTGTCTAAATAAATAGGTAGATGATAGAGAAATAGATAATGTATATACAAATATATGTGCATATGTTATACCCTTGCATACAACATGCATGTATAAATCCTGTTGGGTCTGTTTCTCTGCAGAACCTGACTGATACACCTGGAATGTAAGGCATTACAGAGTCAGGCCTCTCCCTTCCAGTCTGACCTCATCACATAAGCTTTCTCCACAGGTCACTGGCGTCCAGCTGCAGTGACCATTCAGTTCCTTGAAATCTACAGCTCTCCTGCCTCAGCATCTTCACACATGCTCTTCCCTCCCTCAGGAATGCGAACACGGTGCCCTCTCCCTGCATGTCTCCTCCTCACCATTCAGGGTGGCTGTGGTGAGTCACTATACCAAAGAGGCCATCCCGCCCTCCTGTTCAAAATAAGTCTCACTGCATCCTTCCTCCCTATTTCCTGACCTCTCTTGCAACACTTCCCATTGTTAGCTATTATGTTTTTATTCATTTATTTACAGTTTGCATCTGCCACCAGACTGTAAGTTCCACAATGGAACTGTTGTCACTGTTTCTATCATCTCAAAAAACCCAGGTGCCTGCCCCAGTGCCTGGTACATAATAGGCTCATTAATTAAAGCTGAATGGATGAATGTCCTCTACTGAAGAGAAACCCCCCCTCCCTGGATCTACTTTAGTCTTAGCCACCAACTCACTGAAAGACTTTAGGCAAATACTTTGCCTCTCCAGTTCCATATGGAAAAGATTGAGAATTGTGAAATTATAAGAGTCTTCCCCGTCCTGGGAGGGCCTCTTTGAGTCTGACTGGGGCTGCAGGAACCTCCTTCAGTGTGGCTCCTCACATGGCTAGTGAGGCAGTGCTGGCTTGTCCCCATGCCATCTCTCCATGGACATCTTCATTGTCCTCAGGGCATGGCAGAGAGCCCCCCTGAGCCACCAACCCAAGAAAGGCCAAGGGAAGACAGTGGTGCCTGTTATGATTCAGCCTTAGCGTCCTCTCCACAGTATTCTATTGGTCACAAGGCTGAGTCCTGTCTGATGAGGAAGGGGAGACACCAAGGCATGGGGATCAGGAAGGAGGATTACTGGGGTCACCTTGAAGGCTGGCTGCCACAGGGTTCCAACAGCAGTGTGTGTCCTCACAAGGCTCTGAGCACACAGGATGTTAGCACTTAAATTCCATTTGATCCTCCCAGTGAGGCTACACACACAGATGACAGATAAGCCATGGCAAATCAGAAAACTGCCCCATCCCTGATGCTGCCTGAGCTACTGTCTGCTGATAGGAGGGGACTTGGACCAGTTAATCTCTCCTTCACTTCTTCAGACACAATCAGTTATCATTCACAGCGAAATAATTTGCCATCTTGGAAGATCCAATAAGGTCTCCGTAGAACAAAGCTCTTGACTTTTTCTTCCTAATCTTCTCTTTTATTTGAAGCATTTCAGACATTCTCAGCTCCTCTTGCTAGCCTCCAACACAGGTGTAGCATTCAGTGATAGAAAAACACACACAGCAGCAAGATCCCCTCTGTTTTTTATTTTATTTATTTTTTGAGACACGGCCTCTCTCTTTCACACAGGCTGGAATGTGGTGCCATGATTATAGCTCATTGTAGCCTTGAACTCTTGGGTTCAAGCAATCCTCCTGCCTCAGCATCCTGAGTAGCTGGGATTACAGCTGTGCACCACCATGCCCAGCTAACTTTTAAAAATTATTTTGTGTAAAGATAAGGTCTTGCTTTGTTGCCCAAGCTGGTCTCCAACTTCTGGGATCCAGCAATTCTCTGACAGCAGCCTCCTAAATGGTTGGGATTATAGGCATGAGTCACTGTTCTCAGCATCTCTTTCTTTACATGGTGAGAGAAAAGGGAGAGAAGAGAGATTTAAAAAAGAATATGGGAGAGACAGAGAATAAAGATGAGAAATAAAGAGAAGAAGGAGGAGAAAGTTTGAAAAAAACGAAAGGAGAGGGGAGAAGAAAAAATGTGAGAATTAGAGAAAAGAGAGAAGAAAATAATACAAATTCTTTATTTCTGTGCCCAGAAATTATGATTTCTATGCCCAGCTGTGCCATGAAATATGCTACCAGTGAGAACTCTGAGTCTACTGCCCCGCTCCACACACACACACCCTCCCTGTGTTCATGAGTGGCTCCTCCCAGGCCTGGCAACAGTTCCCTCTTGCACTGTCCGAGGCCCATCCCCAGTGTCCTTGTTTGAGACACACTCTGAAAATGCTTGTAACACTCGAGTCTGAAATACTTGATTCTTCACAAAGACATTCCGTTGCCATTGGGGGAGTAGTTTTCCGGTTCTGGCTTGGAATGTCACTCCATGTGGCTAGTCATGTATTAAGAATACGGGAGTCATTCTTTGGATCCACTTTGACTTCCAGCTTGAGAATGGAATAATGTGCTTCATATACTTAAAAGAACTTTTTAAAAGTCTTTATTGTAGAATTTTGCAATAAATGCAACATCCATAAGATCTGCCTCGGACTCCGCCATGTGTGCCACAGCACTGTCAAGGCAACCCCTCTCCTCTGCCTCAGGTCCCTTCCTCAGCACACACAAGCCCCCAGCTTCCTCCTGGGTACCTGGAAGGCAGCCTGTGACCAGAACCCAGCCTTAAAGCTGCGGCCCCTGACTAGCTTATGAACTCCGTCAGCACTTTCAGTCAGCAGCAGCACATGTAGTGACACCTAGGTCCTTGGGAGGTCCCTGAACCTCGGAGCCCAGGCTTCTATGTAAGGCAGTAAAGGACACCCAACTCAGGTGTCTGGGGGCCTGGGCACAAGTCTGCAATGGTGAGTGCTGTGCCATTTATCCTGTGATGGTCCCACAGTACTAATTAGACAAATGGTGATTAGCACACTGAGTCTAGACCAGGGCAGCCAAATGGAGACAGGAGAGACCAGGAGCCTGGTGAGGAGGGAACAGGTGACAAAATAGACTGCCAGCCCAGACCCCTGTTTGTGAGACACAAATGGGATGAAGGAGCATGTGAAGGTTCTGAGTAATCCAACAGGTGAGGGCAGATGGCTCCCTAAAGAGACACAACTGTGACATGCAGACTCTCACTGCAGCAGGAAGTTCTGGGGCAAGACACCAGGGAGAACTTCCACACCAGGAGGATTGAGAGGAAGCACCCACACAGAGAAGCATGTGCTTGGATTAAAAGTCCCCCAGCTCCTATCCACTGTCATGTTTAATAGTCCAAACTGAGTGGTGCACGAGACAGAAAACAGGGTGTCGTGGGCAAGAGGCACCACTGGGCTCAGCCGCATCTCTCAGGAGGCCGTATGTTTCCTCACTGGGTACTGATCAGCATCTCAGCGGCACCTGCCTCTCCAGCACCCCCCACACTTTGGAACCAGGAGACCACAGACTTTTTGCTCCTCTGAGGCAGCAGAGAGCCCACCAGGCTCAGAGCTTCCCTTCAACAACAGGCGTCTCAGAGGGTGAGAAGCGAGAAGGGCTCGGTGCACAGATACATAAAAAATGGGAGAGGGAGTCACACCCCAGAGGCAGTGGGACAGCTGCCTTTGGAGTAGTGGGCTCAGTCCTAAATTCTGTTTAAAACACTACTGAGACAGATCACTGAGGTTGAATTTGGGCAGATGCAGATGCTTATGATAATTGAAAGTTGTCTCTCACACTGGCAAGATCAGCAGCCACGTGTGCAGGAGACCAGCTGTGCTCCATCTGCTGAAGACGAGCCAGACAATAGCCCTGAAAAGCAGTGCAAAGACTGGAGTTAGCCGAGGGTGAGTTCTCGCTGGTGGGTGGGCTGGGGAGGCGAGAACAGATGTGTCACCAGCTCGTGCCCTCAAGTCTTCCTATGTGACCTGCTAGGAGGTGACAAGTCTGCCAAGTTTCCACCACGTGCCAGGAATTTCTGAGACTGCTCCTTTTAATCCTTGCAAGAGTCTGAGAGGCAGGTGACTGCTATCTCTGTAAAGAGACCCTCCAGGTCTGTGCCCTTGCCTCTGAGAAGCCCCAGGTCGCCAGACCGTGGCTGAGGGAAGGTGCAGGGCTAGGGTAAGAATGAGTCGAAGAGACCAAACTGGAGCACTCCTGAAGCTGCCTCTGCCTGCCTCCAGAACCCAGGGGCCAGGATGTGCAGGACGGTCCCAGATCAAGACCCCCTCCCAGCCTGGGCCCCCAGCCCTCCCAGGATCCTGCATCAGGGGTAGAGTGGAGGGAGGCATTGGGCCCTTTCTCCTTGCCCACTGGGAGGCACAGGAATAAGGAAGCCCCAGTCCTTACCCTGTCTGTGGCCCTGCCATAGAAGCCTGAGTTGATCCACATGAAACCAACTCTGGGCACAACGCATGCTCAGAGAGGGCTCTCTGGATTCGCGATTTAAGCTCCAGGCTCAAACAGTGCTCCTGTGCCTCTCTGTGCTTGAAATGTCTGTCCTCAGAACAGGCCAGACATGCCTGCAGGCTCAATGTGGCCCTGGTTTCAAATTTTTCTTCTGCCACGTCTGCCACTTGGTTATCGCTAAGACTTAGTTTCTTCTTACTGCAAAATGAGAACATTAATGAAAGCTTCCAAGGAAGCTATACTGCTGATGACATCAAACAAACAAACAAAAACAAAAAGTATGTTTCAGCAGTCAGCACAGTGCCTGGGAAGCACTTGGTAAATGGCAGCTGTAATTTTGCTCTTAACATCACTGGAGACAGCCCAAGCATTATCTCCAGGATTTCTCTCTATGTGCACGGGTTACTTCTCTCCTGTGTGCTATGAGTGCCTTCTAGAGCCAGCCTTGTGAGTTGCAAGGAGAGACCCTGAATCCTCAGACCTGCATCTTTTACAACTGCAGTCCTGTCACTTAACGACAGGTATACATTCTGAGAAATGTGTCGGAGGTGATTTCATAGTTGTGTGAACACAATGGAGCGCACTTACACACACCTAGATGGCACAGCCTACTGCACACTAGGCTATACGGTAGAGCCTGTCACTCTCTGGTGGCACACCTGTGCAGCACATGACAGTACTGAATACTGTAGGCAACTGTAACATTATGGTAACTATTTATGGATCTGAACTTATCTAAACATTTCAAAGGTAAAGTAAAAATACAGCATTACAATCTTGTGGGACCACCATCATATATGTGGTATGACATGGATTGAAACATTGTTATATGGTATATGACTGCATACTGGGCAATAAATTTACTAATTTTTTTACCTAAATCTCAAAAAGACAAATGTTTTTAAGTTTGTCTGTATTTCTAGGCTTTATACAAAACAGGCAAAACAGGAGGTAACTTTGCTCCAAGGCTCAGGAATGGGTGGGTTTCTGTGTCCCAGCAGAACTCACACTAGGAGACACTCTGTGGTTTCATAATTAAGGCTAATCACATATTAAGTTTACTTTACCTGTATTTGTAGCACATTGTTTGGAAATGCTTCATTGTCTTTAGTAGGTTTATAGAACAAAAACTAAAGATGCTCACCCAGCACAGAAAGTAACAAGTAACCATCATTTTTTATCATAATCAAAGTAAGACTATTCTTGTTTTAAAAATAAGTCTAGTTTTGTTAGATTTTGCCTGATTATTTATGTAAGTGCAGCAAGAACAGGAGATGACCAGGTAGGTGCTTTCAGGTTTCTTTGCTGGAAGTTTTCATACAGAATCTCAGATTTCAGCTGCAGTCCTTATAGCTTTGTGTGAATTCCTGTCTTCTTGAAGTCCCCAAAATATCCCTAAATTCCTGGGTCTACGAGGAAATGACCTTCCTTACTAACCTGTAAGGCTGTGAACCGTGTAATCTAGGTATCAGGCTGGCTTTTCTGAGTGCTGTGTTCTTAGAGAGTGTTTCTTGGAGGAAAGTGAAAATCTTTCCTCCAAGTTAAGAATTGGGACATCAGGTCTCCCCAGTAATAGCTCCGTTTCAGTTTGAATTTACAGAACTGATGGGGCTTAATAACTGGCGCCCCGAGTTTGTTCGGGAGGTGGCCAGTAGGGGACGCCAGCCGTCACACCGGGAGCAAGAGGGCCCTGCAGTGTCCTTAGCTGCCAGGAGGTGGCGTAGGGGCACCACATCATGAGCAAGAGGATCCTGTAGTGACCCCAGCGGCCAGAAGGGGGCGTGCCGCGACTACACTGCAAGCAAGACGACCCAGCACTGTCCGTAGCTGCCAGCAGGGGAGCCACCCGCCAATACATTTGGAGCAAGAGGGCCAGGCAGTGTCCCCAGCTGCCAGCAGTCGGACGTGCTACCCCTACACTGCGAGCAACAGGGCCCTGCAATTTCCCGAGCTGCAAGCAGGCGGCCTGCCGCCACTATACTGCGAGCAAGACAGCCGGCGCAGCGCGCCTCTCTGCGCCTGCGCCGGCGCGGCGCGCCTCTCTGCGCCTGCGCCGGCGCGGCGCGCCTCTCTGCGCCTGCGCCGGCGCGGCGCGCCTCTCTGCGCCTGCGCCGGCGCGGCGCGCCTCTCTGCGCCTGCGCCGGCGCGGCGCGCCTCTCTGCGCCTGCGCCGGCGCGGCGCGCCTCTCTGCGCCTGCGCCGGCGCGGCGGCTTTGCGAGGGCGGAGCTGCGTTCTCGTCTGCAGAGACCCGGGGGACACCGCAAAGGCGGAGCAGGTTTCTCAGCACAGACCTTGGAGGCACGGCCTTCGTTTGGGACAATTCGGGGCCGCATCGACGGTGAATAAAATCCTTCCTCTTTGCAGCCCTGAATAATCAGGGTCAGAGATCAGTTAGGGTTAGGGTTAGGGTTAGGGTTAGGGTTAGGGTTAGGGTTAGGGTTAGGGTTAG